>NC_000019.10:44210570-44513601 GCF_000001405.40 Homo sapiens | reverse complement strand
AGCCTGCATGGTGGCAGGTACTTGTAGTCCCAGCTACTAGGGGAGGCTGAGGTGGGAGGATCACTTGAACCTGGAGGTTGCAGTGAGCTGAGGTCACGCCACTCCACTCCAGTCTGGGTGACAGAGCAAGACCCTGTCTGAAAAAAAAAAAAAAAAAAGCAAAACCAAAAACCACAATCTGATACCTCCCAACGACTGGAAAACAAGTGCTCACAAAATGTCAGTAGAGAAAAAGCTGCAAGCTTGGGAACGGGCTGGGAGCAGGGATGAGGGTGTGTCAAGCCTGGGTCTTGATTCTGTCTCCTTGCCCAGGTCCCCAGTCCTCCTCCCTGTCCTCAGGGGCCATCGCTGGTATTGTCATCGGGATCCTGGCTGTCATTGCTGTGGCCTCAGAACTGGGCTATTTTCTCTGCATCAGAAATGCCAGACGGTAACACAGGGATACAGGGAGGGGGATGGGGATGGGGATGTGGCCAGCAGGGGGCGCTTGCCGGGCGTGTTGCTGACCATGGTGCTGAGTCTTGTCTGGCACCTGGGGAATTCAGAGGGTTGTGGGCATTGTTCAAGAATGGACATGGGATATGGGCAGAACCTGTGGAGATGGGCAAGGACTAGAGGCACAGAATAATGAGGGCTTTGGGGTTTCAGGCCCTCAAGGAAAACAACAGAGGACCCCAGTCATGAGACCTCACAACCCATCCCGAAGGAGGAGCACCCCACAGAGCCCAGTTCCGGTAAGTGACTCTATGGTGGCTGATGCCTGGGGCAGGGGTGAGGGCTGGGGAAGAGGCTGGTGCTGGGGGCTCCCAGCTTTGCCACCAGGTCACTGTATGATCAGGGCAAGCCCTGTCCACTCTGAGCCTCTGTGTTCCCATCTGGAATTTGGATGAGATTGGAGTCAAGCCCTCTGATGGGTTCTGCCTGTTCCAACAGTCCCGGCAAAAGCAGGACAACAGGCTGGAATTCTCTCCTTTCTCAATCTCAGAAGACTTTTTTAACTGATTGTTGTAGACAGAATGAATCAACCACAACACTCCTTCCTGCTGAATCCAAATCCAGCCTCATAACATATCTCAGTAGAGTGCCTCGAGTGCCCTCTACTGATGGGTTAGAGTTAACCAAAGACAAAATGAAACGTATTTGCCATCTCTGGGTCTGGGATTCTGGAAGGATAGGCCTTTTGATATGGAAGGCTTTCTAGAAACTGTCCAATCCAGCCCCATTTTATAGAGACGAAAACCAAGGCCATTAGGGATAAAGGGCTAAATCCAGGCTACAGAGGACCCAGTGTCAAAACTGGGCTAGAATTTAGATTTCTCCCCTCATCTGTGTCACCAAACAGCCTTACCTAACCCAGACCTTGATTGCCAGGACATTCCTGGTCAAGCTCACTGGAAATATGACAGGGAGTCCTGGGAAGGATTTCTGCACTTCCTTCCTGGGGTCAGGGGTCCTGGAAAAACAGCCCCTTGCCCCATATCTCTTTCGAACTCCAGCTCCTGACTGAGATTCACTTTTTCTAGAAAGCCTGAGTCCTGAGTATCGCAATATATCCCAGCTTCAGGGACGGATCAGAGTCGAACTGGTGAGTGATGCTGCAGAGGGAACCCTCCTTGATCCCCTGACCAGGCTGCTATAGTCTTACTTCTTAGGGTGGGGGCTGGCATGATCTTTTGAGAAAACCCAGTGCCAGGTTAAGTCTCTCTGCATCTCCTCCTCTGACTTCTCTGAGGATCTCAAGACCCTCCCGGGTTTTTTCATCTCTTCTCCTCGTCTTCTTATTCTTTGACATGACAATTCCTAGCTTTGAGCCCTCTGGGAATCAGAAGTGCTATAATTGCCTCTGAGGCCAAAGCTATTTCTGAGCATCTCTTGGGGTAGCCCCTATTCCAAGCCCTATGACCTCTCTGCAACTTTGTTTTTCCCCAGATGCAACCACCAGACCTTCCAGAGGAGACCTATGAGGTACATTGGCCCTGCTGGGTTTGGTTAAAGAATCTATGAAGGAAAGACAATCTGAAAATTTTATATGTGATAAGCCTGAGAGATCATCTTGTCTAAACATTTCATGGCACATCACAGGGCCAGGGATGGGAAGAGAGTAGCCTAAGGCCTCACAGAGAGCTGGGTCAGATGCCATGACCCTGGATCCTCTTTCGTTCCTTCCACCTCCAGGGCTTGGAATTGGATTGCCAATGAGGTGGTACTGGACCAGCACATGCTGGGGTGAAAAGGAGGCTGGGAGTAGAGGTTGCAGATCCAGCAGGAAAAAGGAGAGTTCTGGGCCAGGGCAAGGGCCTGGGTTCTAACCCTGCTTCCACCTCTGATTCTCTGCAAGAACCTGAACAGATTCCTTCCACTCTCTCGGTCCCTGAAGAGTGTAAGTTGGTACATTCCTGGCAATCTGTGTCTGTGGGCCCTGCCTAATTTCTCTGCTTACTTGCAGACGAAGCTGCCTTCAGCAAGCCGTAGAGGCAATTCTTTCAGCCCCTGGAAGCCACCACCCAAACCTCTGATGCCCCCACTCAGATTGGTCTCCACTGTGCCAAAAAACATGGAGTCAATCTATGAGGTATGTTTATGCCACACTGAGTCTTTGGACAGGTGGAAATCTGTCACCAATCTGCTTTTTCTTCCCTACTAAAGAGTCTGTAGGATGAACTATGAAGAAAAATTTCCCTTTAAAAATCTTCTCAATTCCATCCTATCCATTTCCATCATGTCATTTTCTAGTTGGTTTTACTTCATTCCTTTCCAACGCACTCCATTTTATTGCATTCCATGTTTCACTCCACCCAATTCCTTTCTATCCATTTAGCTTTATTCATTTTCTGTATTTCTATATCACTTCACTCTGCCATTTTCTTTCCATCCCATTGGGTTTTATTTCCTTCCACTCTATTTCCCCCCATCCCAGCTCTTCCCATTCACTCTACTGTATTCCATGCCTTTTATTTTCTTTCTTCTCTTTCTTTCTTCCTTCCTTCCTTTTTCTTTCTTTCTTTCTTTCTTTCTTTCTTTCTTTCTTTCTTTCTTTCTTTCTTTCTTTCTTTCCTTCCTTCCTTCCTTTCATCTTTCTTTTTTTTTTTGAGACAGGGTCTTGCTCCATCACCCAGACTGGAGTGCAGTGACTCAATCTCTGATGACTGCAACCTCTGCCTCCCAGGTTCAAGGGATTCTCCCACTTCAGCTTCCCGAGTAGCTAGGACTGCAGGCACGAGCCATCACACCCAGCTAATTTTTGTATTTTTTGGTAGAGACGGGATTTCACCATGTTGGCCAGGCTGGTCTTGAATTCCTGACCTCAATTGATCTGCCCGCCTTGGCCTCCCAAAGTGCTGAGATTACAGGAATGAGCCACCCTGCCTGGCTCATTCCATGCCTTTTCATTCCATTCCACTCAGCTTTGTTTGATCCCTTTACACTCCTTTCCATCTCTTTCTTATTTCATTCCTTTTCATTCTTTTCCTTTCTTTCTATTGCATTTTATCCATTTTTATTTTTTCTTTTAATTCCTTTCAATTCATTTATTTTACATTCCATTACACTCTGTTTTATTCCAGCCCACTCAATTCCCATCCCACGACTTTATTTCGTTTCCATTCTTATTCTTCCCATCCCATTTCAGTCTTCTTATTTCCATCCATATATTTAATCCATTTCATCCGTTCTATTTCCTACCTCTCCATTCCTTCCTAGGCAATGTCCCTATTTACATTCATTTCCATTTGATTGGTTTTCACTTCATTCCACTACATTCCAGTTCTTATTCTTTATATTTCTTTTCCATTCAATTTTTCTTTTTTCCCATTCCCTTCTTTCTTTTCCATTCACTTTCTCTTCTCCATACCCTTCCCTTTCATTCAATTCTATTTCACTGTTTTCCATTCCTCTCCCTCTGTTCTCTTCAATTCCTTTCCCTTTTCATTTCTTTCCAATCCACCCCACTCTATTCTATTCCATTCCATTCTACTGCATGTTTTCTCACTTCATCCTCTCCCTTCATGCCCTTTATGGCACTTCATTCCCTTGTCTTTATTACTTTCCTTTTCAAGCTTTCCATTTAATTTCTTCTTTTCAAGTCATTCCATTCCACTCCTTTTCATTTCATTTAAGTTCTTTCCATTTCTTTCCAGTCCTTTGCATTTCCTACTCTTTATACCATTGATTTCAGTTTCATTTCATTTCATTATTTTATATTCCATGGCATTCCATTTCCCCCCTTTTCTGTTTTTTTTTTAATTTCGTTGCTTTATTTTTATTCTTTAATGTTATACTTTCCTTCTACTATATTACTTTTCTCTAATTTCCTCTCCACTTCTCTCCCCTCATTACCTTATTTTATTACTCTCTTTTCTGCTCCATTTTATTTTACTTTATTTCTTTCTTTCTGTTACAATTTTCCTTTTCATTTAATTTCTTTCATTTGCACTTCTTTGGACATCATGCCATTTTATTTCACTCCATTCTCTGCCTTTAATTTTTATTGTATTCCTTTCTGTCCTATTCAATTTCCCTCCATTTCATTTATGCCTTTGCCATCTCTTTCAGTTACATTCCTAAATAGTCTATTCCTTTTCATTCATTTCCTTTCCTTTCCAATCTTTCATTTCATTCATGATATTTACTTCCCCACATTTTTCTCATGGGAGATTTGAAGCAGTTTTTCCCATGGAAGATTTGAAGCAGTTTATATACAACACTACAAAATGGTGTTAAATTAGAAATAGAAATTACAATCAGAAAAAATATTTTTAACAATAGCAAGAAGTCAATATATGGGTAAAAAGTAAAAATATATACTGGGCCTACGTGATATCTGCCACTATATCTCTTATGTGTCTCTAAGCTTCCTGGTAACAATAAAACAGAGAGGTATGATTAGTTACATCATTCAAAAAGAAGAAAACTGGGCCAGGCGCGGTGGCTCACGCCTGTAATCCCAGCACTTTGGGAGGTGGAGGCGAGCAGATCACTTGAGGTCAGGAGTTAGAGACCAGCCTGGCCATCATGGTGAAACGCTGTCTCTACTGAAAATACAAAAATTAGCTGGGCATGGTGGCAGGCACCTGTAATCCCAGCTACTTGGGAGGCTGAGGCAGAAGAATCACTTGAACCTGGGAGGCGGAGGTTGCAGTGAGCTGAGGTCGAGCTACTGCACTCCAGCCTGGGCAACAGAACAAGACCTTGTCTCAGAAAGAAAAAAATAAAAAAGAAGAAAACTATTAGTTCATCCAGGCATAAGCAAAATTCCAGTAACAAGTTTAGAGCAGTCAAGTGATGGCTCCATAGTTCTAAGGACTAGTAGAATTATTTTAGAGAATGCAAGTGATCTCAACCCTGTCATCAGGACAGCCAGATTACTCCAATTCCAAGAATGGACTTCAGATTCTATATTCTGAACAAGCCAGTGACCAGTCAGAATTTATCCAGAGGAGGAATAAGAGAGAGGCCAGAACAGGGGCTCAAATCCATGTCCTACTGACAGGGTTTTCTTGGGTTTGGAAAAGAGAAAGTTTAGGGACAGAGAACTCCAATATTTTAGTGTCTGACAGGCTTCAAGTAGAGGGATAAATGTGTTCCTTGTTGTTCCAGAGGGCACATAAATTACCATGGAGGATAGGTAAAAGAAGGGTAGATTTTAGCCTAACAGACAGATAACTATTCTTGAAAAATGTGAATATCCTATACACCTTTTTAGTTTTTTGAGACAACGTATTGCTCTTTCACCCAGGTTGTGTGCAGTAGTGCGATCATGGCCAACTGCAGCCTCAGATTCCTGGGCTCAAGCGATCATCCCACCTTGGCCTCCCAGAGTATTGGGATTACAGACGCAAGCCACTGCACCTGGCTGAATGTTTCATATATTAATATCTTAGTCAAGAATTTTTAATGTTAAGAAAGTTAAACCCTTTGAATGTAGTTCGAATGGGGATTAATTGAGAGAACACTGAGAAATATCAGATAACTCAATTTCAGAAATTACTCCTGGGCCTCTTGGCGACTTGAATGCTATCAAGAAGCTGTTTCTCTCTTATTATACAGTTTCTCATTTTCACTAATCTATGAATTCATCTCATTCTTCTCAATCCAGATTGAATTTCTATGTAAATGTCCTGGTCATTGCTTCTCTATAACTTCAGAGTATATATAACAACATCTTCTGCTGCCCTTTAAGCATTTCTAGGTTCAAATTCTCCATAGAAGAATCAGATTGATTCAGGCCATGGTATGGATCATGTTTAGTTTTGTCAGCTCTCTAATCAGCTTTGAACTGGTAAAAACTTAGCCACCTAAGTCCCTCTCTTCACCAGTGTCTGCGTAGGGGAGCCATGTTTGTTTCCTATTATTAGTCGGGCAAAAGGTCTTCCCAGAAATACCACCTAGTAAGCTTCCTCTTATATCTCATTAGCCAGAATAAGGTCATATGGTGCTCCTTGTAGCAACAGAGGCTGAGAAAGTGGTACATTAACATTCCCAGCCTCTTCAATAGAAGCAAGCAAGGGAGGTGGTGTGGGGAAGAAGGTTAGGTCAGTCAACTCAGTGAACTCAGTGTCTGCTACATTCTGGAGGGATTAGAAGGAGCAAACCATGCAAACAGTATGAAAGGAAACATTCCAACTTGAGAGGCATCAGTAAAAAAGGCCCTGAAGAGGGTGTAGAGTTATCAGTTGCTGTATAATGAATTACCACAGACTTTGCAGCTTAAAACAACATGAATTCATTATCTCACAGTTTCTGTGGGTCAGGAGTTCAGGCATTGCTTAGTTAGCTCTTCTGCAAGGCTGTATAATCAAGGTGCCAGTCAAAGCCCAGGTCTCATCTGAGGCTCAGCTGGGGATGGATCCACTTCCAAGCTCATGTGGTCATTAGCAGCATTCAGTTCCTTGCAGGCTGTCATAATGAGGGCCTCAGTTTCTTACTGTCAGCTGGAGGTCATCCTCAGTTCTTTGCCATGTGGCCCTCTCCACAGGCAGCTCACAACATTGCATCTTGCTTCTTCAAGCCAAGACAGAAGTCATAATCTTATGTAACAGAATCACATACATGCAATCATGTATATCCTGCCACCTTTGCCATATTCTATTGGTTAGATGCAAGTCACAGGTCTTGCCCTCAAGGGGAGGAGATTACATAAAGGAATGAATACCAGGAGGCAGGGATTATGGGGACCACTTTAGAGTCTGTTTACCACAGTGGGGAAGTACATGGGCCATTCCAGGAACAGAGATGTGCCAGGGTTACTAAAGTGTGATGAGAATGGAGGAAGATTTTTGGAATTTCCAAAGAAAGGAAAGCTCCAGGCTGTTTGGGCCCCAGACTACAGTGAGTAGACTGGGAGGGTCCACCTAGCAAATGGAGCTCACATTTTCTCTTTGTTTAACAGGAGCTTGTGAATCCAGAGCCCAACACTTACATCCAAATCAACCCCTCCGTCTAATGGAAGCAGAGATCTTTTCTCCAGGAGTCCTAGAGAAACCATGCTTGATCATATATTTAATGACATTTATTAAGTGCATATTATAAGCCAGTCATTCTCTGTCATCTCTGTAGACCTTGTGATGTTCTACTGCAATGGGTTGGTCAGGCCCTGGCTTCCATAGAATCTTAGATTTTGACTCATATTTTTTTTCAAAGCAATAGTAAGGGTAAAAATGACAGCCCGTGGATCTAGAGTTAGAGGACCAAGGTTTGAGACTGAACAGCTTAGGATATCATAGTTGCAGGCTGAGGATGAGCAAACACTGTTGGTGGACTCCAGAGAGAAGAGTGAGTCTGAGTCAGCCAGAGAGGAGTAGGGGACAAAGACAGGTGTCAGAGAAGAAGTGGCTTTTCAAATCATGATAGAAGATAAGGAACAAGGAGCTCTTAAGAAATTAAGAGCTCTTAATAAAAGGAGAAAACACGTAGTGAAGTGAGGGATTGAGGCTCCTGAGGAGAGGTAGGCATGAAATGCTTAGAATCCTGAGAACTGCAGGGGCGGAGAGAGTCAGAATGAGATTTGCTGAAGGTAAAGAGAGTTAGGAGACAAGGATATCTCCATGGTTTCTTGCCAGGGCAACTGGATGATTGGCAGGTCACTTTCTGAGAAACTTTGGGATAAGGAGAGAAATAAAGAATTTGCTTCATGTCAAGAATTTAGACATGTCAAGAATCAGTTGCAGAATCAAGTAGGCAATTGTTCATAAAAATCTAGACAGATCATGGCTGGAGATACACATTTGAGAGTTGTCAGTGGGACTTAAAGTTATGGGGCTGGATGAGCTCCTCTGTCAGGGGGGTCCCCAAGACCACCTCATGCTCAAAGATTTTCTAGAGGAATTCATAGGACCCAATTGTTATACTCATGGTTATAGTTTATTACAGCAAAAGGATGGAGAATAAAATTAGCAAAGGGAAAAGGTGCATGGGGTGAAGTCTGGAGGATACCCTGCACCAGCTTCCAAGTGTTCTCTTTCAGTGGAGTCACATGGTGTATTAGTCTGCTTTCTTTGGCCTATAACAGAATATCTAAATCTGGGTAATTTGTTTTAAAAAGGAAATTTATTTCTTACAGTTATGGAGGCTTAGAAGTCTAAGGTCTAGGGGTTGCATCTGGTGAGAGCACTTCTTGCTGGTGGGGACTCTCTGTGGAGTCCTGAAGTGGTGCAGGGAATCACATGCCAAGGGGACTGAGTGTGGTAACATGTTAGCTCATGTTTCTCTTTCTTTTCTTATGAAGCTACCAGTTCCACTCCCATGATAACCCGTTAATCCATTAGTCCATGAATGGATTAATCCATTCATGAAGGCAAAACCCTCATGAGCCAATCACCTCTTAAAAACCCCCACCTCTCAATATTGCCACACTGGGGATTAAGTTTCAACATGAGTTTTGGAGGAGACAAATATCCAAACCACAGCACATGGGAAATCCCCCAGCAATGATGTGTGACAACGTGTGTGAAGCATTGCCATCGAGGGAAGCTCACCTAAACCTGGGTGTCCATGGTTTTTATAAAGGGTCAGTCACTGAAGCTCCAGACTCCTAGAAGGAAAGCAGATGTTCCTCCATAAATTACACTGTTAGTATAAACCATCTGGACAAAGTGGTACAGCATGGCTCAAGGCCTCAGGCAAACAAAAGCACTCTTACCAGATAGAACATTATGAGAGCTCAGTTCCCAGAGCTGCCCAAAGGCTAGTCAGGAAAACAGGACCTTCTGGGGAACTTACAGAGTTTGAGCAATAGGCCTGTTATGTCAACCCCAAGCAGAGTGGATGAAGACAAGGCAAGGGACAGGCTGACAGCTGATTCCTGGGTTCCTCTGATGTTTACAGGAGAGATCAAGCAAAGGAGACAAAAAAGGACTGTTAACACAGGGGGAAACCAACACTGAAAACTCCTGGAAATGAAGAGTTTTCAGAATGCGTTGTTGCTATCCTTGGAGCTGAATGGCTATCATAATGATGATAACATTAATTCAGATTTTAAAAATTAATCATTAGATGTGATACAAGAGACCGGAATTAGGATCTTAAGGGTTGCACTCAGTAGTACCAGAAACACCACCCTATTTGAACCCTGAGAACTTTCCTCTTCCCTGCCAAGAAATGTCCCCCTCCCCCTGACATCCTAGAGACAGATCATGCCCTTTTACCCTCTCGTTACTCTTACTTTGTTTTCTAGTATTTATAGTAAATGGATTCATAATCTTCTTGCTCTTCACTGTATCTTGAGCCCTTATCCAATTCATGGCCAATAAACAGAATCTTAATATAAACTTTGGTCTCAGCTCTTCCCGACAGTTGACAGATAAATCTCTAGATTAGATAGGCATCTTTCTAGAATGTTCCTGAGTGGTAACTCTTTAAAATTTTTATTTATTCATTTATTTATTTTGAGACAGGGTCTGGCTCTGTCGCTGAGGCTGGAGTGTAGTAGCATAATCTTGGTTCACTGCAACCTCTGCTTCCTGGGCTCAGGCAATCCTTCCTGCCTCAGCCTCCTGAGTAGCTGGGACTACAGCTTGTGCCACCAGGCCCAGCTAATTTTTGTATTTTTTGTAGAGACGGGGTTTCACCATGTTGCCCAGGCTGGTCTCAAACTCCTGGGCTCAAGTGATCCTCCTGCTCCGGCTTCCCAAAGTGTGGGGATTACAGGCGTGAGCCACTGCGCCCAGCAGTGGTAACTCTTCTAAAGTCCCTGTAATATTCAGGTTAAGTCAGGATTTATAGGTTCCTGGAAGTAAACATTACCACCTTGTTCATTGTGAAAGAAAATAAAAAAGACTAAACAAAAGACAGATAAACAAAGTCAGTTTTACATTACATAGTACTAACGCTTTATTTTCTGAAAATTGTTTTTTTTTTTTGAGATGGAGTCTTGCTCTGTTGCCCAGGATGGAGTGTAGCAACGTGATCTTGGCTCATTGCAGCCTCTGCCTCCCAGGTTCAAGCGATTCTTCTGCCTCAGACTCCTGAGTAGCTGGGATTACAGGCGTGCATCACCATGCCTGTCTAATTTTTGTATTTTTTAAGTAGACACAGAGTTTTGCCATGTTGGCCAGACTGGTCTTGAACTCTTGACCTCATGATTGGCCTGCCTTAGCCTCCCAAAGTACTAGGATTACAGGTGTGAGCCACTGCGCCTGGCCTATTTTCTGAATATCTTAAACAATTAGCAGAAAAATAAATGAAGTGAAAAAAGGAAGACGACCTAACACTCAAAGCATCCCATTCTGATTTTGTCATATTTGTATTTGCAGATCAATCTGCAAGATTTTACATCTTTACAACACACAGCTAGCAACACAGCATTTCTATTTGTCCATTTTTCTCTCTCAGTAAGGTTTTGAGGGTTTCTTCAGATGACATATTTATCTTACTAAATTTACTTATAAGGCTTTTTTTTTTTGCTTTTTTGTGAATACATACGAACTTTTTCTGTTTTGTTTGCAAACTTAGTATTGCTTGCACGTAGAGGAAAGATACTGATGTGTAGACAAGCGGCAACATAATGTAAAAGTTAAGAGCATGGACTCTAGAGTTCAACATCTTGGTCTCAAATGCACAACATAGGTGGAAATACAGATGAAACAAGACTGAGTGAAAATATTTAAGTTGGATGACATAGGTCTTGGGGAGTCATTAATTGAGTCCCTACTTTTGTTTTGAAATTTACAAAATAAAAGGTTAAAAAAATAAGCTACTTACTTCAATGTAGAAACCGATGTCACATTTAACCCTCAAACTTCAGAGATATGTCCATTAAAAGAACACAAACAAGAATGCCTCTTTTAGTAATACTTTTTTGGAAATGGTAGCCAATATAATCCAACATGAAAGAGAATGTCTAATTTAAAATACTGGTAAGGAAAAGATGAAATTGTAGATAACTGTCTCAATAGAAAAGCCAAGAGAGTCAACTGGAGTATTGTAAGAATTAATAACATTGCAGTAGGTTAACCAGATACAAAATAAGTATTTTTTAAAAGATCAACCACAATAACCAATAATAAGAAGCTTTGGGGATAGAGATTACATTTCAAATAGTAATAATTCATTGTTTTTAAAGGTCAGAATTTACGTGAAGAAAACTACAGGAGTGCTTTGACAAGCATTTTAAAAACTAAAAAATTATGTATTTTCATACAGCAGGGCTCCAATTTTCAGCTACCTCCCTGGTAGGATGAAAATTAACACAACTACCTCATAGGCTGATTGGGCTTGGTAATGAAATATTAAAGTGTTTAATACAGAGACAGGAACCTTTATTTAGCCAACGAATATTTATTGAGCATCTATTATGTGCCAGGTCTCTCTCTTTTTTTTTTTTTTAGGTGTTGGGGATGCAGCAGTGATCAACATCGATAAAATGCTTTTCCTTATGGAATTGACATCGTAGTGGTAGGTCGGACAGTAGACCAAATAAATAATTAAAATATATAGTGTGCTAGATAGTGAAAAGTTCTTTAGAGAAAAAAATAAAAGATGAAGGGGGAGGCACAGAGCATGTGGGGAGGGAAGCGTTTGCTTGCAAGTTCACAACGGGTGGTGGGGCAATGCCTCATGAGAAGATGATATTCCCCTAATTACCAGACGGTGAGAGCCAAATGAATCCCTCAGGAGAGGCTGCTAGGGAGTGCAAAGAGCACCTGCAAACGACCAGGGGCTGGAGTCTGCTGGATCTGTTGGAGAATGGGGAAAATGTGCCAAGCAAATGGGCAAGAAATGAGGGCAAAGAGAAAAGGGGACTACGCCTGTAATCCCAGCACTTTGGGAGGCCGAGGGCGGATCACCTGAGGTCAGGAGTTGGAGACTAACCTGGCCAACGTGGTGAAACCCCGTCTCTACTAAAAATACAAAAATTAGCCGGGCGTGGTGGCTGGCGCCTGTAATCCCAGCTATTCAGGAGGCTGAGGCAGGAGAATCGCTTGAATCCGGGAGGTGGAGGTTGCAGTGAGCCGAGATCGCGCTATTGCCCTCCAGCCTGGGCGACAAGAGCGAAATTCCGTCTCAAAACAACAAAACAAAACAAAACAAAAACAGAGAAAAGGGGAGAGGTGGGGGGAACAGATCCTTCAGGCCTTATAGGCAGAGAAAGAACTCAAAATTTAAAAATAAAATGATTATATTTTAGTATTATTAAATGTAAAAACATAGATTCCTGAAGGGTTCGGTAGACGCTCCCTCCACTGTAAAATGGGGATGTCGCAACTGTCTCACAGGTTTCCCCTAGGACTAGAGGAGACAAGGGGTCGCGCGCAGCGTCTGACAGGCAGGGGGCACCCAGAAAGGGTCCCCGCCATTTCTATTGGATTCTGACGTCACGCCAGAGCGACTCCCCATGCGTCGCTGCACTGGCCTCGGCCTCCCGGCGCCGCGGCTGGTCTTAGTGCTCCCCCTAGACCTGCACATGCACAGGTGTGGCGCCCCCCCGGGCCCCGGACGAGGACGCCCTCTTAGCTTCTGGCCCGGTCCCCCGCCCCACTTCCTTGGAGAAGCCGGAACCCCGCCTACTGACCGTCCGCGCCGCGGAGGCTTCTGGGAATTGTAGTTCTGGCTCTCCGAGCCCAAGTGCACTTCCGGGTTCGGCCACAAGAGCAGCCATTGTCCCGCGCGCGGACGCTTGCTGTCGCCGAGCAGCTCGGCCCTTCAGACTTAACCCCCAGCGGCCTTGCGGATGCTGACTAGGAGAGGGGACCGAACTAGCTTAACCCGAGTCGGCCGTGTTGCAGAATCGGGGCAGGGGGTTGCCTAACCCGAGTTCGTCCTGCCGCAGAGCCGTGCTAGGCACTGAGGCGGTGACAGGCCCAGCCTGGGCTGCGGGCCAGCGGACGCCCAGGTTGGTAGGGGCGTGGGGCAGCGCTTGGTGTCCGATGCGCGCATGCGCAGGGTCTACGCGGGAAGCTGGAAGCGGTGGTGAGTGTAGCGGGGAGACCTGGTATCTGTGCGGGTGGCGCTTTAGCCTCGGGTCACCGGGGTTGATGGAGTTACTGATACAGCTGTATATTCCGCGACTGTCCTCTGCGTGCATGCGCGGGTGCTTGGTCAGGTGGTGCTCTTGTCTGGGGCCTGAGGATGCCCAGGTTGCTGGAACACAGGGCACATGCATTGATGTAAGGGGACATCTTGAGAACTCCCCTCCTCCAATGCCGGGCTTATTTAGTGGAGGCCTGAGGATGTCCGGGTTGATGGAGTGCTCCATTGCAGATTGTGGTTTCTGGAGAGGAGGGGCTGTGCCACTGTCCCTTTACTCTTGATCAGGTATTTGGGTAGGAAGCAAAAGGTTGTAGGTAAGATTCCGAGCAGGTGGCTCTGGGCCCCTAGAGCAGACAACGCGCTTCTCCAAGGTCTGGGGGCGCTGTGGTTGGTGGAGAGACCAGATTGGAGTTGCAGATTCTTGTGCCAGAAGAGGCAGTGTTGCTAGTGAACCCTTGGTGGGAATTACCCATGGGCAGCAAACTCCCAGGCTGAAGGAGGGTATCAGGGCCTAGAAACAGGTTCTGGGCAGAGGGCCCCCTGCACGTCCTGGGGGTGTCTGAATGGAAAACAGAAACTTGAACTGATAGTAGGGACCTATGTAGGATAGTGCAGAGCTCTAGAGCATTCAAGATGGGCAGAGACTCCGGGTTGGAGATACAGAATTTAAGTCCAGGAAGGACAGAGCTGCAACAGCTGCCATCAAATTGGTAGCTGGGGAGGAAGCAGTATGTTGCCAGCATCGTTATGAAGCAGGTGTTGCTGAGACCTTTACTTGGGTACGCTATTTGCAGGCGTGAGAATGTGCAGGTTAGTAGAGGGACAGAGCCTGTGCTGCAGATTTGGTCCCGGGAAGAGCTGACTGCACAACACCCAGGCCGTCATGATTGGGCAAGAGAAGGACAAAGGGCCCAGTTCCCATTGAGCTGCTGTATCGTAGGCTCGAGAACCCCCACGCTGGCGAGTGCCCAAGTCCTGGGGCTGATTATGGAGCTGTATGCTCAAGCTACTGTTTAGTTGTTGTAGTGTCCTGGCTGCGGGCAAATAGTGGGGCAGTTGACCCCAGAACCTACACAGAGGCTGTGGGTACCTGAGATGTCCCAGGCAGGTTGAGACACAGGGTGAGGGATGTAGATTGTTGACTCAGGAGCATGGTGTGCCCCCAGACGGGCAGAGGAGCCAGGTCCTGGATGCAGATTGTGAGCACGAACCTGCTCTGTGGCTGTATCAGTAGGAGGGAGTCTAGGTGGGTGGCCCGTGTGCAGTGGCTGTGGAATAGAGGCCTGGGGGCTCCAGTTTGGATCTGGTCTTAGGAGGCACGGGGCTGCTCCAGCAACACTCTGCACGTGTGCTGGCATTTGGGCAGATTGGGGAGGCATGGGCAGTCCTAGGACCCTGATTCTGCCTGAGGATGCCCAGGTGTGTGGGGGGGAGCAGCTGCAGAGGGGCGGGACTGTGTCAGGCACCCCTTGTGCACACACACCGGTGTTTGGTTGGGAAACAGGAGGCCGGAGATGAGTTTTAGACAGAGGGTGCTGGGGTCTTTGTGTGATTGGAACCCTGATCACAGCCTGATGGTGCCCAGTTTGGTGGAAAGACAGGATCTTCCTGAGCCACAGGTGCCCCCGAAAGATGTTTGGTCAGAATCTGGGCAGGTGTGGCTCAAGCAGGGGGCTGTGGAGTAAGGTGGAGGAAACAGTTTGGGTGCAATTTCAGGAAACAGCTGCATTGTGAACCTACGCTATGCTGCGTGAGAATATGGTGGGAGCAGGGGAGAGAGTAAGTGGGAGAGATGGAGTGCAGAGGGTGGGGTGCCTAGGGTAGGATTTGCCCTCTAGTCTTGGATCCCAAAACACCTAGTTGGTACAGAGGCACCTGAGCTTCTGAGACATGTATTTAGAGCCTGGGTAGGGCTGCTTTTGTCTGGCTTGTGCTGGTGTCTGTTGGAGGCCCCCAGCCCTATGCAGGCCTTGTTGTAGTTTCAGGCCTGAGTATACCCAAGTTGGTGGAGGGACTGGTTTAGAGCTACAAATTCAGGGCCTGGGAGGGTGTTAGGGTGGGAATCTGGCTGGTGCTGTTCGAGTAGGAGCCAGTGGACCCCAGAAGTGTGGAGGGAACAGGATGTGGGTATAGCTGAGCTCTGTGCATAAATGCTTGGCTATTTGAGCAGGATGTGGGTGGCCCTCTGTGCTGAGTTGCTGGAGGGACAGGTCTGGCTGATGGAACGGTAGGATCAGTCTTAGTTGTTGAATCAGTTCCTGGGAGCAGTGGAGCTGTGTCACCAGCTTCATGCAGTTAGGCAGTGAGTGTGATTCTGGCCCTAGGAAGAAGTGCTGGTTTGGGGCTGTAGATTGAGGTTGGTAGGGGTAGGATGGGGTGAACACCAGGGGGTCCTCAATATGCCTGATATTTGTGGGGATCCCAGGGCCCAGTGAATAGGAGAGGGATGGACTGGTGCTGCAGACTTTGGTGGTGGGCAGAAGGCCATGTTGGGCACAAGCTGGGCTTACAGGTAGATGGTCCAGGGGCCCAAGATGGTGGAGGAACCAGGTTGGAGCTGCAGAAACTTGACCTGGGAGAGGGACTGAGGGACTCTCAGTACATACACAGGTATTTGGGCAGGAAGCTGGCAGGAACCTCCAGAAGTGCATTTGCTATGGGAATGCATCCTGCATCCTGGGAGCAGGGGCTAATGGGGGTGGGGGGCCCAGCGGTTCCGGCAGACCTACATCTTCATGCTGTACTTGGGGCTTCTCTCAGTGCAGCTCAGGACCTCAGCACCCTGCTGTGCCTGGAGGAGAGCATGGAAGAGCAGGATGAGAAGCCCCCAGAGCCCCCGAAGGTCTGTGCACAGGTGAGTGGAGACCCAGAGCTTGGGTCTGTCTGCAGCCTGACCCTCTCAGCTTGGGAGGCTGTGGCTCCTCCCTGACTCTCTTTGCAGCCTTTTAGGGGGTTTGAGGCCCTCATGGCCATCAGGCTTCTAACACTTACTATATATTTTATGAATCTCCCTGCTAGTTGCCTCACCTTTTTAGCCCAGATAACTCTTTCTGGAAGGAATTTGGCATCCTGAATCAAAAGCCCTTAAAATGCTGATTCCCTTTTGGCCAGCAATTCACAGCTTTGAGAATGAACAATTGGAAATATACTAAATGTGCAATGTAAGAGGATAGCTGAATGAATTACGATAAGACCATGAAATAGAATACACTGTAGCCATTGAAACTGATGATAATGCAAATTTAATGACAGAAAAAGTTATTTATTACCTATGTTAAGTAAATTGCACTTAGAAATCATCACTTTTTAAAAAGAGATATAGTTTTTGGGTATATAGAAAATATGTTAGAAGACTATAAATATAGCAATCAGTTAACAAACATTATCTGTAGTTGTTTTATCATTTATTTATCTGTATTTTCTTTTTCTTTTCTTTCTTCTTTTTTTTTTTTTTTTTTTTTTTTTGAGACAGAGTCTTGCTCTGTCGTCCAGGTTGGAGTGCAGTGACACAATCCTAGCTCACTGCCGCCTCAAACTTCTGGGCTCAAGCCATCCTCCTGCCTCAGCCGCCTGAATAGGTGGGACTACAGGTGGGCACCACCAAGCCTGGCTTATATTTTTTGTGTGTGTGTATTTTAAAAATTTTTTGTAGAAACGATATCTCACTATGTTTTCCAGGCTGGTCTCGAACTCCTGGCTTCAAGCCATCCTCCCACCTCAACTTCCCAAAGTGCTAGGATTACAGATATAAGCTACCACACCTGGCTTGTATTTTCATATTTTTGTACAGTACACTTTAAGGTAAAAATATTGACAATTGGCCAAGCACAGTGGTTCACACCTATAATCCCAGTACTTTGGGAGGCCGAGGTGGGAGGATTGCTTGAGGCCAGGAGTACAGGACCAGCCTGGGCAACATAGTGAGACCCTGTCTCTATAAAAAATTTTAAAAATTAGCCAGGATAGTGGTGTCCACCTATAGTCCCAGATACTTGAGTGGGTGAGGTGGGAGGATCGCCTGAGCCCAGGAGGTCTAGGATGTAGTAAGCTATGATTGTGTCACTGCACTGCAGCCTGGACAACAGAGTGAGACTCTGTCTCTAAAAAACAAGTTAACAATTTAGAACATTTCCCACCGCAAATATTCTTTGAAAACTCTTAATTTCTTAAAACTGTTAAATTAGAGCTTCTCCTTTCTCTTCCTGAACAAGTCAGCCTTGAAGCCGTGAGGTGGGGCAGTGTTAGGGGGCACCTACAGTTGTCAGGACTGCCTGCTGTGAAGAGAGTGTCCATGTGCAGGGTGTCAGTGACCAAGCAGGGTGAGGAGTGCATCTGCACAGGATGACATCCCAGCATAGTCAGAGCCCAAGTGGAATGAAGAAGTCGCTTGTGCACGTGGTGCAGCCCAATGTGGGTGTCAGAGCCCAAGTGGCTGAGGCCAGTGTCCATATATGGAGATCTGGTGTGGGGTGATGGGGTCAGAGCAGGTGAGCAAGGCATCCAGAGAGGGGGTGCTTCATTGTGGGTAGTTGGAGCCCAAGTGCAGTGAGCAGGTGTCCATGGTAGATGGGGTGTTGGAGCCAGAGTGGGGTGAGATGTGCACCTGTGTTGGGGGTCAGGTGCAGCCTGGTGTGGCATGTCAGAGCATGAGCATGTTGAGGGCATCATGCGTGAGGGTGGCCTGCAGGGGTGTCAGAGCCCAGCGGCATGTGGAGGGTACTGACACAGTGGGGTGGCCTGACGTGGGCTGTCCAAGTCCAAGTGGCAGAGGAGTGAGTCTGAGAGATGGGGCAGCCTAGCCCGGGGAGTCAAAGCCTAAGCAGGGTGAGGAGCTCCCCTGGGCAGAGGGTGGCCGAGTGTGGGGTGGCAGAGCCCAGGGAGTCTGGGAAAGCATCCATAGGGAGAGGGCGTCATTGTGGAAATGGGAGAGGAACTACCTACAGGGGGCTAGATCAGATAAGTAAGTGTATATATAAGGGACTGGAGCCAGGCGCCTTGCCATCAAATCAGGGAGGTACAGATACGGCAAGAAAGAACATTTGAGTGGACTCTGGTGTGCAGTGGGAATTGGAGGTTTTATTGTGGGCTCATGGTTTTCAGTACACATTAATCTAGAAATATATAGAGATGTGTGCTTGTATCGGTGTGCGTATGTGTGCACACAGATTCCCTGTCTGTCCGCGGAGGGCTGGGAGCAGTGACATCCTAATACCACTACGCATACCTAGTGCCCACATTTCACCTTCTAAATATGTTACAGGTTTTATGGGTTTATTGTTAATGGCTCTTTAGTGTTACATTTTTTTGCTGTTACAAATAGCATTGATATAAATGTTTTGTATGGGATTCCATGTATACATGTGCAATTGTTTTAGAAAGAGTTAAGCAAATATAAGTTTACATTTATATCTTTATCAAAACTACAGGTAAAATGTGTGGGGTTTTGTTATTTTGTTGTTTTTTAAGAGACAGGGTCTCACTCTGTCACCCAGTCTGGAGTACATGGCACACCAGCATAGATCACTGCAGCCTGGAATTTCTGCGCTCAAGTGATCCTCCCACCTCAACCTCCTGAGTATTTGGGACTACAGGTGCACACCACCACGCCCAGCTAATTTTTTTATTTTTTACTTTTTGTAGAGACAGGGTCTCGCTGTGTTGCTCAGGCTGGTCTCGAACTCCTGGGATCATGCCATCCTCCCACCTTGGCCTCCCAAAGTGCCGGGATTACGGGGTGAGCCGCAGTGCCTGGCTGGTAGAATGTGTTTTGATGTGGTCATTGGTGTTCTAATTTAAGCGAGGCACTAGGTGTTTTCTGGGACTCTTAATGGTCCTTTTACCATTTTCTTTTTTGTGAGCTGAATTAGAAGTCTGTTCATTATATGACTTTTGTCACATATTTATTGACTGCCTAACCAGTGTAAGGCCCTGTGCAAAGCACTGTGGGGAAAGATGAGACAGACAGCACTGCCCTGCACGACTTAGTTCTCACAACCAGAAACGCGCTTCTTATACTTTCCAAGGCTACATAGGGAAAGCAAAAACATCCTGTTTGTTGTATTAGTTATCTGTTATTACATACCCCAAAATTTTGCAGCTTAAAATAGCCAATGTTTATTTCGTCACACAATTTCTGAGGGTCAGGAATCCAGGTCAGCTTAACTGGTTGTTTCTGGTGCTCAGGGTCCCTGATGAGGTTGCAGGCAAGTTGTTGTCTGGGCTGCTGACTTCTGAAGGCTTGACTAGGTGGGAGGATATTGTTGCAAACTCACTCAGATGGCTGTTGGCAAGAGGTGCTGTACACCAGAGAGGCCTCTTTCCAGGGCGTTCACAGCATAGCAGTGGATTTCTGCCAGAGCAGGTGATCCCAGTGAGAGAGAGAGAGAGAGCAAGAGCACTTAGTTGCACACAATCAAGATGAAGCCACAATGTCTTTTATCATCTGATTTCAGAAGTGACACACCATCACTTCTTCCATATTCTGTTGGTCACACAGACCCACCTTGGTACCATTGGTCAAGGACTACACAAAGGCATGAATACTAGGTAGTAAGGGTCTTTGGGAGCCATCTCAGAGTCTGGCTACCACACTTCTCAACTCTGAATGTCCTCTAGTTAATTTTAATTATTATCAGAAGATGAACAAGTACTTGATTTGGACCTGAAGGATATTAGAACCCTGGAAGGGAGAGAAAAATCAAGGGAGCCAAAGTCTTTGCTTTGAACGAAGGCCACGAGTCCAGTGAGCTGATCTAGGAAGAAACCATCTGGGTATTGGGGCATCACCTTAGAGATTTTAGTGGCTCATACACAGGAAGTAGCAGCTGGTCCAGCGAAGGCCTTGAGCCAACTCTGAGCCCTACCTGCCTTCAGGGACTGAGACCAAAACTGCTGCCAAGTAGGTGGTAGAATCTCACCCATCCACTGTCATTCTCAACATTCGAAGTTGTGCAGGTTGTTGGTGGCCCTATGTGGATGGTCTATTCTGTGTATTTCAGGACAGTGAGAATTATTCATGGATGATAAGGTGGGGCAGGAGAGGGAATTTTCTTGTGCGTGAGGACTAAAGGGATCCTCTTGTCAGGATGATTTCTGAGAAAATCAGGGAAGGGAACCTTCTTTCCAGTGCTGTAGTTTGTGAATATTGGTTTTACGCCTTCTAGATTTGGTGATTAAGAAACCTCAGGGCCTCCCACATGGGCCCTGTGGACGCCATATCCCTTGAGCTGAAATGTGAGCTCCACCTTCCAGCTCCCAGGGCAGGAAGAGATGGAAACACACCAAGAAGTCTGCCTGTGTGACGCCTGTGTTTTCTAAATGTTCTCACAGATATAGAGGGTTTCCTGCCAGTAGACCCCCAAAGCAAAGCTCTGAGAATTGAGTCCAGTAATATTTCTGTGATTTGATTAGAAACTTCATTTTATTGCCCCAAGAATACCTCAGATTGGGAAAGGAATATTTGGTCATCTCTATTTATAGGTGAGCAAATAGCCCTAGCCCTAGGTCTGATTTGACCACTGTCTTACTATGAAGCGGACAGGTCACTCCATGATAGCTCTGCTTGTCTCTTTCCCCCTGCTTTGGTTCCCATGGGGTCCCACATACATTACAGAAGGAACAATTATTATCTCCTGCCCACAACCCTTTTCTCTGTGCAAGTCAACAGTCTAATTCCTGTTCCCATTTCGTAAAGTCTGCAAAGAAAAAGGGAAATGCTCCTTTATGACCTAGAGAGGTGACTGTTGAACAAGAGGGTAATTTAAAGATGCTCCAGAGCATACAGAAAGTAGAGTAAAAGTTTTTAATTCTATTCCTATGTCCCAAACTCTGCACGTGTCTCTAGTCTTGTCAAATGCAGAGAACTTTTATTGTGCTCCTACTCAATACTGAGGAGAATACAAAGATAAAAAATACACAGTGCTTTCTAATATAGAACCCAGGACCCAGGGGAGAGGTATATAGAAATGGTAGTAATATGAAGAGAATAATTTTACTGGTATAGTAAAGGGCCACCAAAGCTAAGAAGTCCTGAGAGAAGAAGAGATGAAGCTTTCTGCTATCTGGGAACGCTTCATGGAGGAGGTGGCATTTGATCTGGGCCTTGGGTGATTAGACAGACTTTGGTAAGACAGTGGGAAGCAGAAGAGTTTGTGTCAGGCAATCAGTGGACTTAAATGAGCTTACTAAACCTTATTACCATTAATTTCTGCATTGGTGAAATAGAATAGACATATTACTCTTTTCTTCAAAAAAAAGTTTAGGCCAGGTAAAGTGGCTCACACCTGTAATCCCAGCACTTTGGGGGACCAGCATGGGAGGATCACTTGAGGCCAGGAGTTCAAGACCAGCCTGAGCAACATAGTGAAACTCCCACCTCTACAAAAAATAAAAACAAAAAAATTAGCCAGCTGTGGTGGCGTGCCTCTGTAGTCCCAGCTTCTTGGGAGGCTGAGACAGTAGGATAGCTTGAGCCCAGGAGTTCAAGACTATAGTAGGCTATGATGGTGCCACTGCACTCCAGCTTAGGCAACAAAATGAGACCCTAGCTCTTAAAAAAAAAGTTTAGATGATTTTGTGAGATGGAAATTCTGTGTTGAAGTACTCTATGTATTACTAAAAATACTAGGCAAATGATAGATTACATTGACATTATCTGAAGGAAACTGAGGGAGCTAAGATGTAAATTCAGGAGATATTCCTAAAATGGTCAGTAATCCAAAGTGAGTAGAACCTGGGGAAAAATTCAGGGTGTGTGGGTGTGCATGCATGCACGGGCTCACATGCATTTGTTGCAAGCTTGTTTCTGAGCATTTAGTTTGTAAGAGTAAGTTGGGAGCAGGTTCTGGATACTGACACTTTGAATTTTCTGCAAAGAAAAGGCACCCAACAAAGGTTTCCTCTAACCAAGGGAGGGGCTTGAGCTCAGCTTTGCTTTAGTGCCTCCAGGGACCCCAGGGACAAATGCAAAGTTACAGGTAGCACATTCCATGTCCCTTCTCCTAGTGGCTGTTTATAGTCAGCATACATTTATGAAGAGCCTGCTATGTGTCAGTAGTGATCTAAGCATGGTGGAGTCACGGTAAACAGGACAGACAAGATCTCAGCTCTTATGAAACTCACTCTAGTGGAAGAGTTAAATAAAAAGCCAAAGGTAGAAGAATATATGTGATGTGAAGATATGAAAGCAGGGTAAAGTGATAGAGTTGACTGCTGGGGTCAGGGCAAGGAAGGACATTTCATCCAGAGTCTACCTTGAGGAAAGATGAGCTTTCTTTTGTTTTCTTGTGAAAACTTTTAAACAAAAAGGTGCTAAAAACAGTTTGCATTCAAGAGGAGGTGCAACCATATTCTGCAAGTATAATAGTTTTAGCAGTTATGGCAGATAGTGACATTTTGGAATTTTGTTTCTGCCAAGTACCTGCTGAGAAAAACATTAAGTTGTCCAATTCTTGGTATTATTTCTTAACTGATATTAGCTTTTTTTTTTTAATTAACAGAGTGTGATATTATCTGAAGGAGTTTGTAATAACTTAAAATACAGGTTAGCATTTACAAATTTTCCTTTCTTGAGTAACTTTTCTCATTTCCCAGGCATTTTTTTAAGAAAAGATGTATTTGTCACGGGTGTATATCAGGAATGTAATTTTTCTTTCAGGCCAGATAAGATTGAATCCATTAACAGTTTGGGGTCAAAACTTGTGGCTCCCTTGTACCATCTGTAGTTTGGTTGTGGCTATTTTTTGGCATTGTGAGTTTTATTTTTGTTTTCTGGCATTTTGGGCTATTTTGTAATGTTCATGCAGCAATTTCAAGGCAGTTTAGGCCAGTTGTGGTGACTCACGCCTGTAATCCCACTTTGGGAGGCTGAGGCAAGAGGACTGCTTAAGAACAGTAGTTTTTTTTGTATTGTCTTTTCTCTTTGTTTTCTCTTTTTCCTTCCATCCTCCCTCCCTCCCTCCCTCCCTCCCTCCCTTCTCCTATTTCCTTTTTCCCTTTCTTTCCCTTCCCTTCCCTTCCCTCTTTCTTTCCCTTCCTTTCGCTCTTTCCCTTCCCTTCCCTCTTTCTTTCCCTTCCTTTCCCTCTTTCCCTTCCCTTCCCTCTTTCTTTCCTGTCTTTTTCTTTCTTTTCTTTTCTTTCTTTCTTGCTTTTTCTTTCTTTCTTTCTTTCTTTTCTTTCTTTCTTTTCCCTCTTTCTTTCCTGTCTTTCTCTCTCTCTTTCTTTCTTTTTCTTTTCTCTCTTTCTTTCTCTCTCTCTCTCTTTCTCTCTCTTTCTTTCTTGTTCTTCTCTTCTCATCTCTTCTCTTCTTTTCTTTCTTTTCTTTCGGTCAAGTTTATTTATTTATTTATTTATTTTTTCCCATTTCTAAATTTTTCTTTTTTTTTTCTTTTTTTCTTTTTTTTTTATTGATCATTCTTGGGTGTTTCTCGCAGAGGGGGATTTGGCAGGGTCATAGGACAATAGTGGAGGGAAGGTCAGCAGATAAACAAGTGAACAAAGGTCTCTGGTTTTCCTAGGCAGAGGACCCTGCGGCCTTCCACAGCGTTTGTGTCCCTGGGTACTTGAGATTAGGGAGTGGTGACGACTCTTAACGAGCATGCTGCCTTCAAGCATCTGTTTAACAAAGCACATCTTGCACCGCCCTTAATCCATTTAACCCTGAGTGGACACAGCACATGTTTCAGAGAGCACAGGGTTGGGGGTAAGATCATAGATCAACAGGATCCCAAGGCAGAAGAATTTTTCTTAGTACAGAACAAAATGAAAAGTCTCCCATGTCTACTTCTTTCTACACAGACACAGCAACCATCCGATTTCTCAATCTTTTCCCCACCTTTCCCCCTTTTCTATTCCACAAAACCGCCATTGTCATCATGGCCCGTTCTCAATGAGCTGTTGGGTACACCTCCCAGACGGGGTGGTGGCCGGGCAGAGGCGCCCCTCACCTCCCAGACGGGGCGGCTGGCCCGGCGGGGGGCTGGCCCCCCCACCTCCCTCCCGGACGGGGCGGCTGGCCGGGCGGGAGGCTGGCCCCCCCACCTCCCTCCCGGACGGGGCGGCTGGCCGGGCGGGGGCTGACCCCCACCTCCCTCCCGGACGGGGTGGCTGCCGGGCGGAGACGCTACTCACTTCCCAGACAGGGTGGCTGCCGGGCGGAGGGGCTCCTCACTTCTCAGACGGGGCGGCTGCCGGGCGGAGGGGCTCCTCACTTCTCAGACGGGGCGGTTGCCAGGCAGAGGGTCTCCTCACTTCTCAGATGGGGCGACCGGGCAGAGATGCTCCTCACCTCCCAGACGGGGTTGCGGCCGGGCAGAGGTGCTCCTCACTTCCTAGATGGGATGGCCGCCGGGCAGAGACGCTCCTCACTTTCCAGACTGGGCAGCCAGGCAGAGGGGCTCCTCACATCCCAGACAATGGGCAGCCAGGCAGAGACGCTCCTCACTTCCCAGACGGGGTGGCAGCTGGGCAGAGGCTGCAATCTTGGCACTTTGGGAGGCCAAGGCAGGCAGCTGGGAGGTGGAGGTTGTAGCGAGCCGAGATCACGCCACTGCACTCCAGCCTGGGCACCATTGAGCACTGAGTGAACGAGACTCCGTCTGCAATCCCAGCACCTTGGGAGGCCGAGGCTGGCGGATCACTCAGGTTAGGAGCTGGAGACCAGCCCGGCCAACACAGCGAAACCCCGTCTCCACCAAAAAAATACGAAAACCAGTCAGGCGTGGCGGCGCACGCCTGCAATCGCGGGCACTCGGCAGGCTGAGGCAGGAGAATCAGGCAGGGAGGTTGCAGTGAGCCGAGATGGCAGCAGTACAGTCCAGCTTCGGCTCGGCATCAGAGGGAGACCGTGGAAAGAGAGGGAGAGGGAGACCGTGGAAAGAGAGGGAGAGGGAGACCGTGGAAAGAGAGGGAGAGGGAGAGGGAGACCGTGGAAAGAGAGGGAGAGGGAGACCGTGGAAAGAGAAGGAGAGGGAGACCGTGGAAAGAGAGGGAGAGGGAGACCGTGGAAAGAGAAGGAGAGGGAGACCGTGGAAAGAGAGGGAGAGGGAGACCGTGGGGAGAGGGAGAGGGAGAGGGCAAGGGCGAGGGCGAGGGCGTCAAGTTTATTTTTAAAAGTAGTCTGGGCACGGTGGCTCACGCCTGTAATCCCAGCACTTTGGGAGGCCAGTGTGGGCAGATCACAAGGTCAAGAGGTCAAGACCATCCTGGCCAACATGGTGAAACCCCATCTCTACAAAAAATACAAAAATTAGCTGGGCGTGGTGATGTGCGCCTGTAGTCCCAGCTACTTAGGAGGCTGAGGCAGGAGAGTCACTTGAACCCCGGAGGTGGAGGTTGCAGTGAGTTGAGATCATGCCACTGCACTCCAGCCTGGGGACAGCGCGAGACTCTGTCTCAAAACCAAAACCAAAACAAACAAACAAACAAAAAAGTAAAAGAATAAGGAATGGCTACTCCATAAGCAGAGCAGCCCCAGGGGCTTCTGGTTGCCCATTTTTATGGTTATTTCTTGATTTTCTGCTAAACAAGGGGTGGATTATTCATGAGTTTTCCAGGACTGGGGTGGGCAATTCCCAGAACTGAGGGTTCCTCTCCTTTTTAGACCATAGAGGGTAACTTCCTGACAAAACTGTCATGGCGCTGAGACCAGCAGTTTGAGACCAGTCTGGGCAACATGACGAGACCCTGTCTTCTACAAAAAATAAAAAGGCAGTTTAACTGTTGTAGTATGTGTGGTAGTAATGCAAGCAACACAACCTCTTGGCTTTCACATTGGGCCTTCTTTACATTGCAGCAGCTCTGGCTCTTTGATACTTATTGTGAACCTCACAACCTACCCAGTAAATATACAGTGGTGTTTTTAGGTTTGGAGAATCCTTTCCTACCTTTAAATACATTAATGCTAGCCATTTTTAATAACCATTCCTACTGTAATAGTAAAATATTTTCTAGATAGATAAGGAGAAAAAATTGACACACTTATACCTTGACCTCTCCACATCAAGTGATCCTCCCATCTTTGCCTCCCAAGTAGCTGGGACTGTAGGCACATACCACCGTGCCTGGCTTATTTATTTATTTATTTATTTATTATTTTTTGAGATGGAGTCTCACTCTCTTGCCCAGGCTGGAGTGAAGTGGCATGGTCTCAGCTTGCTGCAAACTCCAACTTCCGGTTCAGGTGATTCTCATGCCTTAGCCTCCCAAGTAGCTGGGACTACAGGTATACCACACCTAGCTAATTTGTATTTTTTTGTATTTTTAGTAGAGATGGGGTTTCGCCATGTTGACCAGGCTGGTCTCGAACTCCTGAGTTCAGGCAATCTGCCCACCTCGGCCTCCCAAAGTGCTAGAATTACAGGTGTGAGCCACCATGCCCGGCCTATTTTATATATTTTGTATAGACAGGGGAGCCTCACTGTGTTGCTGAGGCTGGGCTCGAACTCCTGGGCTCAAGTGATCCTTCCACCTCAGCCTCCCAAAGCACTGTGATTACAGGTATGAACTGCTGCACCTGGCCACTTTTATTTTCTTTTAGTTTTTGATCCAATGGCTTCTAAAGAAATGAGTTATCAAAAATTAGCAGTAGTTGCTTTTCAGTGTTTGATTTGAGGAGGAGCAAAGTATCCTTGAATGGGCTATCATTTAACAGACTGAATTATTGTATCCTGTAGGAAAAAACCTGAGGACACTACAAAGGAATTGCGTTGTTTCAAGGTGATTTTTAAAGAGGGAAGCACCTTTCCTGGTTTCCAAATATTTAATTAAAATAAGTGGTTTTGAAAAACATGGATGCAGCATTAAAAGAGAGACAGTGAACCTGCTCCTCAGTTCTACCCCTTCAAAGAATAACTCCTTTTAATGCTTTTGAGAACATCTTTCCAGATTTTTCCGTGCATATTTATATTTTATAGAAATCTATTCATCTTCTGTATAATGTTCTTCATTTTTTCACTCAGCAATATATTATAGACATCTTTCTATTATTTATATGTATCGGTACATGCAAATTTATTTCTTCTCTTGGCTGCTAAATAATATTCAGTCATCTGAATAAAGCATAATTTATTTAACCAGGCACTTCCTAGTGGACATTTAGTCTCCCTTCCCATCTTGCTATGATAATGTAACTTGCTAATGAGGTTTCTTGTATATGCATCCTGATGTACTTTATGTTATTTCCTAAGGATAAGTACTTACAAGTAGACTTAATGGATGTTACATTACACTTTTAAAAATATTGCCTTTAAAAAAACAAAAATAAAAGAATGTACATAAAAATGGAATAAACTCTGTACATGAATTAATAATATTGTACCAAAATTTCAATTTCCTGGTTTTGACAATGTACTGTCATTATATATGATATTACCAGGGAAAGCTGAGTGTGGCTCTATTTTTGCTACTTCTTGTGAATCTTTAAGGATTTCAAAATAAAGCAGTATTTGTAAATACAGATATTTAATATATAGCCAATACAGGAGGGTTGTATCAATTTATACTTCTTCTAAGAATATATGAAGCTCTTGGCCAGTGGGCTGCCAGAGCTGGAGTCATTAGCAACAGACTAATGACTGTGACTGTCACAAAAACACCCGACGTGGTCAGGATGTTGGTTATGTACAGGGCTTGAGCAAATAAGTAAATATAAAGAGGAAAATGGGAGCCAGAGAAAGAAAGTATACATAAAGAAAGGAGAAAAGCTAGACAGAATAAAATGTGTTATTGAATTGTAATTGGAGGTATCCATGTGAACTTATGGTCTCTAATATATACAGATAAAGAAACAGATGTTTGATTTTGATGTAAAGAGGCGAGCATCTGTTTGTATATTCACAGCAGTTTCTTCATAGTTGCATGTGCATTTTTCTTTGTCAGTTGAGGCTACCTTTTACTGATTTGGAAGAAGTCTTAATAGTATAGATTCTTATTGATCATGTGGCACCTTTTGCTAGACTTTTTTTTTTTTTTTTTTTTTTTTGAGATGGAGTCTTGCTCTGTTGCCTAGGCTGGAGTACAGTGGCATGATCTTGGATCACTGCAACCTCCACCTCCTGTGTTCAAGTGATTCTCCTGCCTCAGCCTCCCAAGTAGCTGGGACTACAGGTGCGTGTCACCATGCCCGGCCAGTTTTTGTATATTTAGTAGAGACGGGGTTTCACCATGTTGGCCAGGCTGGTCTCAAACTCCTGACCTCAAGTGAACTGCCTGCCTCAGCCTTCCAAAGTATTGGGATTACAGGTGTAAGCCACCGCACCCGGCCTGCTAAACATCTTATGAAATTAATTTGTTGATCTTTTTCTTTATGATTCTGGCATTGGTTATGCTGTATTCCATTTTATTTGCTTATAATTTTGTGACCCAGGAATTTTGGCAGGTCCCGCTGGACAGTTCTTAGCGTCTTAGTGCTCCTTAGTGTCTTGGATCACTCAGTCAGCTGCATTTAGCTGCAATGGGCTGGCCCAGAAGACCCAAAAAGACCTCATGTCCAGGTATCTGTGGGCCTTGGTGCTCCTCCATGTATCTCCTCTCTCTCTCCACATGGTTAGCGGAGCTTACCACTAGGAGGAGGGAGGAGAAATATGGTGGGAGGGATGCGTTAAAATAGGTGGTATGTCAAATCTTAGCCCACTGACCGGAGGAGATTTGAGCTGCCACTTAGCTCCCTGATTATTTTCCTTTTTCTCATCTGTTTTGCCTTTTCAGGATTCTTTCCTTCCTCAAGAGATTATCATCAAAGTCGAGGGAGAAGACACTGGGTCTCTGACCATCCCATCTCAGGTAGGTTGGGCAAGGCCTCTGTCTTTACACTGAGAAATGTGCATGGCTGGGAAGTGAGTAGAAAGTGAGGAAATAGGCCGGGCGCGGTGGCTGCCAGCACTTTGGGAGGCTGAGGCGGGCAGATCATGAGGTCAGGAGATCGAGACCATCCTGGCTAACACGGTGAAACCCCGTCTCTACTAAAAAAATACAAAAAAAGTTAGCTGGGTGTGGTGGCGGGTGCCTGTAGTCTCAGCTACTCGGGAGGCTGAGGCAGGAGAATGGTGTGAACCTGGGAGGCAGAGCTTGCAGTGAGCCGAGATTGCGCCACTGCACTTCAGCCTGGGCGACAGAGTGAGACTCCATCTCAAAAAAAAAAAAAAAAAGAAAGAAAGAAAGTGAGGAAATGGAGACAAAAGTGGACAACTTTTTCAAGAAGTTTGGTTATTGTGTGGAAGGTAGAAGAAAGTGAAAACTTCAAGGACTTTTGAGATTGAGGGTTTTTTTTAAAGGGATTGAAAATATTCAATTCAGTTTAAATGATTACAGGAAGGAGTTAGTAGAGGAAAAAAAGTTATTCATCAGGCAACAAGAGAGAAACTATAAAGCACAGTCCTTGGTTAGCACCAGAGAAATTAATTCAGAACATCTTGAATAAATTAGCTCTATATGAGGAGAAGGATTTATATAGGAACAGTGAGGTTGAGGGAATTATTTGAAAGCTTGATCTTTCACTGCGAAAAATCAGATGAGCATGATGGTGGGAATTGGAATGGAGAGATGTATGACAAGGGTAGAGAAGGCTTAAAATAGCAATTTTGGATTATGAGAGGAAACAGGCTGCTCCAGTAAATGTAATAGGATTGCTGGTCAATCTGAAAGTTTCATTCAGAGATAGTGGCCATTAATTTATAATACTCTATCCTGCTGCTTTTGTGGATTTTTCCCTGCAGTGGCAATTTGTAGCCCACTTTCCACAGATAGCAGATTGACATTCAGATTCATTTAGTTTTTGTAATTTGCCAGGTCCACTTCCTATGGAGTGGACACTCCAAAGGTCAAGGGAATACTTGAAAGAGAATTTAAAAATACGTCAAGTAGAAAGATTAAAAAGAATGATCCATGAACCTTAAATTGAGTAATTAATATGGAAGTGATAAAGAGCCCACTAAGTAGAAATGAAAAAGAATATAGGCTGGTAGTGGTAATAGTAGACATTTCGGTAGCATAATGGCCTTAAACTTTCAAGGAACAAGAGTAAAGGGAAAAAACTGAGCCAATACAGTGGAGCAATCTGACATTGTAGTGAAACGTGGGCAGTTTTGTATTTGTGATTCAAAAGGTGGAGTGTTTTATGACAATTTCAAGGTCTGGGGTGTCCCCCGAAGAATGAGCTGATGAAGAGCAGCTTCAGAATATGAGACTTGGGTTAGCCATATGAACTGATGACTGAGAACACAGTCATCAATGTGCAAGCTTGAGGTTTTATCCCTCTACTACTAACCTTAGGCATATGTCTTAATTTCTCTGACTCCCTTGGTCTTCATAAGAAAAAAATAATACTGCTAATAGTGTTTTCTCACAGGAGCCCTTTGAGAATTAAATGAATAATCCATATGACATGTTAGCACAATGCCTGGCACCATGGTGGTGCTTCATGCAAACTCATAAGTGCTTCATTAAAGTCAGTTATTTTTATATTCTCATCAGCTGACTATACAAGTGGATGCTATAGACAATATGAGATAAGACACTACAAGTTCTTATATTAGAGGATAAATCCCAAGTATGAATCTTCAGTGAATGGGGTGGGGGTGGTGTTCAGGAGGTGGGTAGGACAGAGCTCCAAGAAGTGAGGTAAATGGCATGAGTTTCAGAGTAACTGGGAGGACATGCACTCCTTCTTTGATGCTGAGATCTAGGATGGGAGAGTATGAGCATTCTTAGCCTCTGAGGACTGAGGAGGAGGGAAGTCATCAGCAGGAAGTATAAGTCTCCATTAACACAGGGATGTATAGGGAATGTTTGGTGAAGGATACTGAAACTGCAATATTTTATTGTTATTATGATTTTGAGACAGGGTCTCACTCCAGTTACCCAGGCTGGACTGCAATGGTGTGATCATGGCTCACTGCAGCCTTGAATTCCGAGGCTCAGGTGATTCTCCAAACCTCAGCCTCCTGAGTAGCTGGGACTATAGGCATGCACCAGCACACCTGGCTAATTTTTTGTGTTTTTAGTAGAGACAGGGTTTCACCATGTTGCCCAGGCTGGTCTTGAATTCCTGGGCTGAAATGATCCACCCACCTCAGTCTCCCAAAGTGCTGGGATTATAGGCATGAGCCGCCCTACCCATCCTATTTTATTGTTACAAAAGATGAGTTTCAAGGGCAGTTGAAGATTTTGGGAAGGAGTTTTCAGGCATGAGGAATTTGGGACAAGTGAGAAGAATAGAATAAGTGGGATAGAAGTCCAGAAAAGCTAGTATCTGCACATTGAGGGGCCTTTTCAAATGGGTATGTGGTACAGCTTGTGAGATTCAGGTGAGGGGGGATGACTTAAATCAATTTGGGTGAGGGTTATTTTGATATCTTATAAGGTTTATTGATAGTGTTCATTCACTTACTGAAATAATTTGTGAAATATAAATGTAATATCTACTATATATAAACACTATGCTAAGCATTGGAGTTACATTTGCAAACTGTAAATACTTGTCCCTGCCTTCATGGATCATGGCCTAGTGACAGAGATGACCATTCTGCAAATAAGAAAGTGTGATTATAGAAGTCCATGGAACTTTGAGAATATATAGTTGGGAGTGGAGTGGGGGTGCTAATCTAGTTTAGTATTATCTGTTTGACATTTGAACAAGCTTTATACTAAAGAGACCTATATTACACAGAAAGGGGGAGTGTTTATTAAAAAGAAGCATGCATTACAGATTGAAAGACAATACCTTAAAGATTAATGTTAAATACAGGCAGCAGTTGGCGAGTTATTTTTTGAATTTCACGTTGGGCTAATCATGAAAACATTTGAGGTTTCAGTGAAATTTTTAGGCTCAAACTTAGAGGCATATACAGCAGTATTTTGCATGTGCTTTCATGGCATTCAGGACCCTGTATCCTATTCATGAACTGCAGCTCAAGAATGCCTGGTCTATTTAAAGAGCCTTTAGTGGCAAGAGGCATTCGACTTCCCCTTGCCTTTGCTGTGCCTGGGTAAGGACAGATCACCCTTAGCACTTCTCTTTTGGATTAAAATTCCTGCCCAGTTATCTTAAGAACAGGCCCTTTCCTGCTTAGAGGAGGCAGCCCAAGAGACCCCATTTATATGGCAGTAATAACAGCAAACGTCTCCTAAAAGGCTCTGCCATGCAGCTGGATATGGATAGAAACAGAACTGTTATTTGAAGACTGAGAGTTCAGAATAAAGGTCACTTTGGCTCTCAGTTAATCTTTGAGGATCCTGAGACCTACTAATCATAACAGTACAGGCTAAGCACCCCTAATCCAAAAATCTGAAATTGTCCAAAATTGGAAGGTTTTGGAGCCCCAGCATAATGCCACAAGTGGAAAATTCTACACTTGACCTCATGCGACCACTCATAGTCAAAACAGTCAAAACTGTTTCATACACAAAATTTTTTTAAAAATTGCATAAAATTACCATTAGGCTATATGTTTAAGGTGTATATGAAACATAAATGAATTTGTGTTTAGACTTGGATCCCATCTTCAAGGCATCTCATGTAAATGCAAATATTTCAAAATCTGAAATCCAAAATTCTTCCAGTCCTAAGTATTTTAGCTATGGGATACTCAGCCTGTAATTGCTGGCCTTCGTTGTTTCATCAGTAAACTCTGCTAGTGGCTTTTCATAGATCATCGTAATTATTCATTCAACCCAATGATTTAGGTATTATTAGGCCTAATAAATAGAAATGGAATAAACTCGCCAGGGAAAGACAATTGGGTCAGGTGTGGTGGCTCATCCCTGTAATTCCAGCACTGTGGGAGTCTGAGATGGGAAGATTCCTTGAACACAGGAGTCTGAGACCAGCCTAAGCAATATATTGAGGGTCTGTCTCTACAAAATTTTAAAAATTAGCCAAGCACGGTGATGCACACCTGTAGTCCCAGCTACTTGGGAGACTAGGTGGGAGGATCACTTGAGCCCAGAAGATGGAGGCTGCAGTGAGCCATGATTGTGCCACTGTACTCCAGCCTGGGCAACAGAGTGAGGTCTTGTCTCAAAAGAAAAAAAAAGGACAGATTGTCAGATTAGATGTATTTCTTAAGCAGATATATGCCCTTTATAGGTGAGAAAGCCAAGTCTTTGTATCTTCTACATCCAGTGTTCTTCACCTATACATACTGCTTTTCATCGAGGTCCACATTTCATTTTCTGTCTCATGCATTAGCAAAGTACAGCCTGTGGCTGTTTTTGTAAATAAAGATCTATTGTAATGTAGCCACACCCATTTGTTTATATATTTTCTGTGGCTAATTTCTTGCTATAGCAGCAGAGTTGAGTAGTGTGATAGAGACTGTATGGCTGGCAAAGTGTGAAATATTTACTATCTGGCCTTTGACAGAAAAAAATCAACCACCCCTGTTTCATTAATTTCTTGGGAATTTAGAGGGAATTCCTAAGTGGGAATTCTATATTCACCAGTGCAAAAGTCAGAATAAGCATCCTTTTTAAGGCAGACAAAATAAAATAGTTTATATCAGTTCTTATCTGGTATTCCTCTTTGGAGTTGTAAAAACAGGTCCAGCATCCAAAACCCAAAGAGCTCACCCAGAAGGCACCTGTACATCTTGACTGGAATCTTTTGGGCACTGACAATTTAAGGACAACTCCCAGGTCACCAATTTTCCTTTTTCCATCTGTCAGACTTTTCCTCCTCCATGAACTTTGGAAGGAAATGATGCCCAGCTGAGCAGGAATGTGTGTCCTTTTTTAGGAAGGAGTGAACTTCAAAATTGTGACTGTGGACTTCACACGGGAGGAACAGGGTACTTGCAACCCTGCTCAGAGGACCCTGGACAGAGATGTGATCCTGGAGAACCACAGGGACCTAGTCTCTTGGGGTAAGAATACACTCCTCTTTAATGAAGATCCATCTACTGAAATGATTTCACATTCTGATCGATTAAGAACTGTGAAATTCAGCAGCCAGAATGATTTTGGCTGCATCTAGATTGTGTTTGTGCTCTTTATTCCCCAGTGAAGATTAATTTTAGTTTGTAGGGTAGAAATAGTGCAGATTCTTGGGCTTGAGATTTTCAGTCTTCATGTTCCTAAAGACCAAAGGCCAGGACCAGATTCTGCAGTAATTTTCTTTTGTCCCCAGCTTTGAAAACTCAAATTCCTGTATCTTTCCTTGTCAGCTTTTTGAAGCAGATACAATCTCCTAGTTGGAGCAAGGGAAAGAATATAAAAAGAATTTTCCAATACATGTGTTCAAGTGAGAACCAGACACATAGGGGTCATTACAGGTGTAGAAGGTCCATTTGAAAAAATCCGCATAGAAGATGCCACATTTTTTCTTCATTTCCCACCTCCTGGTGGACTGTATACATGACTACTTTTTCCATATATACTCTCTATTGCTTGACCTAGTAGCCACCCAGGCTACTAGGAGCAAACTTCTAGTCTCTCTCAGTTGGAATCACAGAAATTTGTGGGGCTTTATTGGTTCCTAAGGTAGTTAGGGAACTGGATAATAATGCCCCATTCCTTTTCTTTTGTTCACAAACATAGTTTCCTCATGCCTCACTGACACAGAGTAGAGTATTTAGCAAGTTTTATGCCTTCAGAAATTCCTGGATATGTAGACACTAATCTCTTAGTGAACATCTGTGTAGCACTAAAGAGTGGAAAAGACTCTCTATACATATTGCAAAATTGGGTTGCAATTCTGTAGGTTCTATGTAGATGATCTTATTTTGGAATATGCAGGTATTTGACATCCAGAGTCTTATTTATTCAGACTAAGATTAAACCAAGATTACAATAGTTCCATTTTAATGCTCTGTTGTAATATTGGGCTGTGGTAGTTCTGTACTTAATACTTTATCTCACCCTTTTGCTTTTTCAACCTAGGTTATCGGTCAGTATTTGAAAACAAATTCATATATATTTTTCATACTTTCTTGTTAGCTTTATTCCATTTTTCCATCTCTAATATTTTTTGACTAAGATGTCTTATATTGCTTTCTTTCAGACTTGGCAACTGCAGTTGGAAAAAAAGATTCAACTTCAAAGCAGAGGATTTTTGATGAAGAACCAGCTAATGGAGTGAAGATAGAAAGGTTTACAAGGGATGATCCTTGGTTATCTTCATGTGAAGAAGTGGATGATTGTAAAGACCAGTTGGAGAAGCAACAGGAAAAACAAGAGATACTTTTGCAGGAAGTGGCATTCACTCAAAGGAAAGCAGTTATTCATGAGAGAGTCTGCAAAAGTGATGAAACTGGGGAGAAGAGTGGTCTGAATTCCAGTCTATTTTCATCCCCAGTTATACCCATAAGAAACCATTTTCATAAACATGTATCACATGCTAAAAAATGGCATCTTAATGCTGCTGTAAACAGTCATCAGAAGATTAATGAGAATGAGACACTATATGAAAATAATGAATGTGGAAAACCCCCTCAGAGCATTCACCTTATTCAGTTTACAAGAACTCAAACAAAAGATAAATCCTATGGATTTAGTGACCGTATTCAATCTTTTTGCCATGGTACACCCCTACATATACATGAAAAAATTCATGGAGGAGGAAAAACCTTTGATTTTAAAGAATGTGGGCAGGTTTTGAACCCCAAAATATCCCATAATGAACAACAGAGAATTCCTTTTGAAGAGAGTCAATATAAATGTAGTGAAACCTCTCATAGTTCCTCCCTTACTCAAAACATGAGAAATAATTCTGAAGAGAAACCTTTTGAATGTAATCAGTGTGGGAAATCCTTCAGCTGGAGCTCGCATCTTGTTGCACATCAGAGAACTCACACAGGGGAGAAACCTTATGAATGTAGTGAATGTGGAAAATCCTTCAGCCGGAGCTCGCACCTTGTTTCCCATCAGAGAACTCATACTGGAGAGAAACCTTACAGGTGTAATCAATGTGGGAAATCCTTTAGCCAGAGTTATGTCCTTGTTGTGCATCAAAGAACTCATACTGGGGAGAAGCCTTATGAATGCAATCAGTGTGGAAAGTCATTCAGGCAGAGCTATAAACTTATTGCACATCAAAGAACACATACCGGAGAGAAGCCCTATGAATGTAATCAATGTGGGAAATCATTTATCCAGAGCTATAAACTTATTGCACATCAAAGAATTCATACTGGGGAAAAACCCTATGAATGCAATCAGTGTGGGAAATCCTTTAGTCAAAGTTATAAACTTGTTGCTCATCAGAGAACTCACACAGGAGAAAAACCCTTTGAATGTAATCAGTGTGGGAAATCCTTCAGCTGGAGCTCTCAGCTTGTTGCACATCAAAGAACTCACACTGGAGAGAAACCGTATGAATGTAGTGAATGTGGAAAATCTTTTAACCGCAGTTCTCACCTTGTTATGCATCAGAGAATTCACACTGGGGAAAAACCGTATGAATGTAATCAGTGTGGGAAATCCTTCAGCCAGAGTTATGTTCTTGTTGTACATCAGAGAACTCATACTGGAGAAAAGCCCTATGAATGCAGTCAATGTGGGAAGTCCTTCAGACAGAGTTCATGCCTTACTCAACATCAGAGAACTCATACTGGAGAGAAACCATTTGAATGTAATCAGTGTGGAAAAACATTTAGCTTGAGTGCTCGACTTATTGTGCATCAAAGAACTCATACTGGAGAGAAACCCTTTACATGTATTCAGTGTGGAAAAGCTTTCATTAATAGCTATAAACTTATTAGGCATCAGGCAACTCATACTGAAGAGAAACTCTATGAATGTAACTAGTTTGTAAATCAGCTGGGATTTCTTCCTTTTTATTTCATTCTTTTAAAAAATTTATTTTAAGGTAGTACATGTAGTTGGAAGAACTACTATAAAAACAATATATGTGGGAAAACTTCCAGCCCTCTGTTAATTGTGTGTCTCAAATTTGTTCTGGAAAAGAAAGGGGGAAAGTCTATGAACGACTTTTCAACCTGGCAATTCCATATACAATGTTAAACTTGATTCTTATGACATATTCCTATGAAAATAATAAATACTGGCACTTTTCCTTGCAGAAAGCACTCAGACCTGAATCAGAGAAAATCATATGCCAAAGCCAACTGCCAGTGTTAGACCTCTTTTTCCATAAAGAGTAAATGGAATGCTAACACTAGTGGGCTTATTGAGAAAATTTAAAGGTTGCTGTAGTGTTTAGAACTTAGGCTGGAAAACCATATTTTAGTGCATCATTTTACTACATGATCTTCCAATTAGATAGCTTGTAATCTGTTCCTTACAGCACTTGCTGTTGTTACATGTGAAGATTTTATAAATTTTAGGAAAGTGTCTATGATATATAGTGAAAAGTGTGGGAAAAGAATATAGAAATAATATTCACTTCTAAAACCATTATGATAAAATATTTGTGTATGGATTAGAATAGAAAGGGATTATGGATGTATCTATTCAATTTCTCAGTTTATGTTGGGCCTTCCTTTTTGGAATGTACGCTGTTATGCTATGATAAATGATATAATGAGTAAAAATTATTCAAAGCCAAAAATGAAATACAAAGATTTCCTTCTTTGACTATTTAGGAAAGACTAAGCAACCAAATAGCAAAGATCCCTCAGGATAATGAGGTTTATGTTTGGAATAGCATGAGCAGATTACTACTTAGGACATAGATTCCTAGGAACATTCCTCATTGAAAATAAAATGGATTCCTGGAAATAGGTAACTAGAAATTTTGGCCAGAAATGGTTTCATATGAAGAACTGAGAATGCGTGGGAAGTATAGAGGGCAAGTGGGCTTATTTTCATATATGCAAAGCAATATTAAGGAACTCTATTTTCATGTTTTAGTTCTTCCCCTCATGTAGCATTGTCTCTTTCCTCTGGGATATGTTCCCTGATGTGAGAGTCCTCTGAATAGAAGGGTGCTTCCCTGGCTCAGTGCTGACCGTCTAAATTATGCTTGCAAAAATGCTTTCATGAGGCAAAGTTTTAGTTACTCTTTGATATTTAAGATTTGATTAACATGTCTTTCTGACCTTTCCCTTGAATCATGAATTTGAATCCTGTGGATGACCATATATTGAAGCCTCTGATCCCAGAAAGGTAATAAGCTGAAAGTTGAACTGAGAGACCAGATAATAGAGGTTAATACCCTTGGGATAGGAAAGAAAACTTAAAGGGTAACTGATGGGGTTATCCTTAGCAAAATTCTATCCCTATGAGATGACCCTAAGTGGAGCCATCTCTATGAGGATTAATCCAGAGATTGTTGCACACCTGGCAGTGTCAGGTCTGGGAAAACAGTTGCTGATGTTTTCATGGAGTGTGAAATACTGAAAGCTGCGGGCATCCCTTGGGGACCACTGACCCACACTTTGAAGAACCCTCAATGAGTCTGAAAGAGGTTCAGTATCTCTTGGGAAGGATGTGTTCCAGGCTCCAGGCCTAGTCTTACATGGCCAGTGGGGTTGAAAGACTGTGCCCCTGCAATGGTCTTTTCCTAAGACAGTTGAACAAAGTTCCAAGTCTGTCTGTCCTATTTTAACCATCTTTAAGAAGCACAAAGGGGATATGAGAAAAACAGATGCTGAAATGAAAATTTTAACTGATATCTTACTTATCTCACAAGTCGTGTAAAGAAAGAAATGATATGGTCGAATATTAGATTAGATGGTTTAATGATGTTTTGAGTGTTATATATGAGCTATGATGAGACCTAGAAAATAAAGTAAAAATAAAAAATATATAAGCCATGAACATTCTTCATATTCAGTGACAGTCTGCCTGCCACACCCAGGAATTACAGAGACACTCATAGACCTCACGGGATCCTCCCCTATGTCTCCCATCTCTTCACCACCAGCCCTCAGGGAGTCTCATGTCTCCCAATTACTCTCCAATCATTCCTAGATTTCTGTAACAGTCAGGCCCTGACACCCATGTAACAAGCAGAAACTCAGGGACCTCACAGGGCTCTGGCCCCATGTCTCCCAACTCTTTACTCCAGGCCCTCAGGTACTCTCCTGTGTCTCCCAGATTCTCTCAATCCCCAGCTTACTGCAACATTCAGCTTCCCAAACCCAAGTATCACCTATAGACAAAAATCTCAGGGCCCTCTTCTATCACGTCTCCCATCTCTTCACCTGCAACCCTCAGGGACTCTCCTGTGTCTCCCAGCTCCTCTCCAACCATCCCCAGATTTCTCCTTGGGTCAGCCCTGAACACACAGGAGTCACCCAGAAACTCATAGACCTCACTGTGCTCCTCCCTTATCTCTGTCACCTCTATACCACCATTCCTTAGGGCCTCATCTGTGTCTCCCAGCTATTCTCCAAGCATCCTCAGTTTTCTGCAAGAGTCACCCCTCAGCATTCAGGAGAACCCTAGAAATTCACAGAGCTCACCAGATTATTCCCCAACTACCTCCACCTACACAGCAATGGCTCCCACATACTCCCTGGGGGCCCCACACCTATCTTCCTTTACACTCAGAGACTCCCAGGGCCTCACAGTCACTCCCCATTATCATCATTCAGCTGTAAGTCCTTGCAAATCTCCTGGCCAACGTGATGCATTTACCTGCCCATTTCTCCACATTCCTGCTCAGGGTCCCACACCTAGCCGCAGAAGAGCCCCTTCCGCATTCCAGCCTCAAATACAGGCTTGTCCTTCTACTTCATACTGCCACACACTTGCCGGCAGAAGAGGCGCGTCTAATGGCCGACATCACCACCCAGGCAATCATCACCCCTCAGCTGTGCAGCGGGACCCTCCTGCCTGCCGATGTGGCTGCCGGCGCCTGTGCCAGCGCGAACCCCCAGCCTGTCATGCTGACCTCATCGATGGCAGCGTCCCTGTCTTTTGCTCCCCCAGCCCTCCCAAAGGCTGAGTTAGCCTCTATCATCTGGAATACAGTGTGGCTTCTGTTTTCCTAATTGAACCCTGACTTACTACCTTTATAATGTTTCTCTCTGCTTATGTAGTCTTTGATGAGTCAGAAGGTCCTTGCCACGCTCACAATGTGTGTACTGTGTCTCATCTATATGCACTCTCTGATGGGCAAGGAGGTATGAATTACGACTGAAGCCCTTACCACATGCCTTACACTTATAGGGCCTCTCTCCTGTGTGGACTCTGAGGTGAACACGAAGATCTGAATTCCGACTGAAGTCTTTACCACACTCATCACATTTATATGGTTTCTCTCTGGTGTGATCTCTTTGATGTAAGTGAAAATATGAACTGTAACTAAAGCACTTTCCACACACTTTGCATTTATATGGTTTTTCTCGAGTGTGAACTCAGATGAGTGTGAAGAACAGAGCTATACACAAAATCCTTTCCACACACATTGCATTTGTATGGTTTCTCCCCTGTGTGGACTCTCTGGTGAATGTGAAGGTGTGTACTTTGGCTGAAGCCCTTTCCACACTCATCACACCTATAAGGTTTCTCCCCTGTGTGAAACCTCCAGTGGACTTGAAGAACGGAGCTTGAACTAAAGCACTTGCCACACTCACTGCATTTGTAGGGCTTCTCTCCAGCGTGGACTCTCTGATGGACAAGAAGGTTGGAGCTCTGATCAAAGCCCTTCCCACACTCTTCACTTTTATAGGGCTTTTCCCTGTGTGTACTCCCTGATGAATACAAAGAAGTGACCTAAATCCAAACCCTTTCCCACATGCATCACATTTGTAGGGCATCTCCCTTGTGTGGACTCCATGATGGTTATAAAGGAAGGAGTTGCACCTGAAGCCCTTGCCACATTCTTTACATTTGTAGGGTTTGTTTCCTGAAGGGACTTTCTGATATCTGGGAAGGTCTGAGCTCTGTTTGCAGCCCATAGGCCATTCGTGGAATTCATAGGGAGTCTCGCCAGAGTGAGTTTTACAATGAACGATAAGATCTTGGCTCTGACTAAAGTTCTTTCCATACTGGTCACATTTATAAGATTTTTCTCCTAGGTGAGTGCTGTGATGGACATGAGGATCTGTATCATCTGCAAAGGGCACCCCACAGTTATTACATGTGAAAGGCTGTGGTAATACATGGACTGCATTATGTTGTTCAACTGTTGATTTCATACCAAAGTTTTTCCTGCAGTTGGGATGTCTACCAGGGTCCTCTCCTTTACATTCTTGGGACTCATGATGATCATGTGAGGTCCAGTTGAGGCTGTCATCATGCTGAGCACGTCTGTACAATTTCTCTTCCATGTAAATTCCCTTATATCTTCCCTGAGAGTTCTGGGGCTCGGTCATTATGTTGGCTTTCCTCCACGATTCTGGGGTAAGAACCTGTGTCAGGCTTTGCCATGCTGTGATATCCTGATTTTTGATAATGACATTTGCTACATAGTTTTCATTTTCAGAAATCTGAAGAGACTTGCCTGCTCACTCTTCACAGAGGGAAACATTTTTAAATGTGGGGAACACTCTTCTTGAAGGTTCATGATATAATCCTGACTCCCAGTTAAATCCTGGATCCTTTGTTTCGAAATCTGCCAGCAATGAAGCACTTCTTGTAAAAGGTAATTCAACCCCTTTTCCTGAAGATTCAAAATGTTGTTTTTAATCCCATCTCTTATGAGAAGAAAGAGAATGTGGCTAAGAGACCAAGTCAATCATCTGTCCAGAGGTTTTGAGAAAACGAAATATGATGGGGTGGGAAGTTGTCCCTGGCTTCTATTGACATATGAAACAATTAGAGCCACGGTAATTCTAACCTGTGAGCTGCCAATTGGAAATCAAGTGTTGTAGGGAAATTAAAAGAAATCTTGGCCAGGTGCAGTGGCTCATGCCTGTAATAGCAACACTTTGAGAGGCTGAGGTGGGAGGATCACTCAAGCCCAGGAGATCAAGACCAGGCTGGGCAATATGATGAGATCCCATCTCTACAAAAAAATTAAAAATTGGCTCAGTTTTGCCTATGATCCCAGCCACTTGGAAATCTGAGGTTGGAGGATTGCTTAATCCTGGGAGGCAGAGGTTGCAGTGAGCCAAGATTGTGCCACTGCATTCCAGCCTGGGTGACAGAGCAAGACCTTTCCACCCCTACTCTGCAAAAAAGAAAAAAAAGGAAATCTTAGGAAAAATTTATGAAGGAAGAAATTCACCTCCCTGCTATAAGAGTAGTCGATAAAAAGCCTTTAATAATCTTGCTACAAAAGGTATGGGAAAGGCTCCCATTTTATGTAGTGTGTGTGTGTATATAAATAATACATATTGATGGAGTGTTTTTTATATGTTGGGCAGAGTAAGGGACACAAAGGGTCACAAGAGGTTTCAGAAACAAGCAACAAGTCCTATCTCCTGATGGCTTCCCTTCCTTCACATCACTGTCATATGGAGGACTATCATGTATGTTTGTGTACAACCTGCACAACTGTACATGGTGAGCCTAAAGGGGATGGGGATAAAAAGGCAATGGGGATTGAAATGGGGTAAACATTGTGAAATATGGTCCTGGCGTTGTGCGGGGATGCGTATGTAAACCTCTGAGACAAGCTTTAAGAGACATCCTTTTTATTTTCCCCAAGGTTCTTTGTCTTCATGAAAAGATAGAGACCACTCAGATCCTACAATCCATTTCCTTAAGTTCTGCCCTTTTAAGTTGTTGCAGAATCTCAAACAGCCATGACTATGAAAATGGGGAACAGATACTGTGGCACTGTCAATGGCCTGGCACCCAGGGAAGCAAGACTGTGGTATATAACAAACAGGGGGCTGAGGCAGAAGAGGACGATCATATTCTTGGGATCCTAAGATGGGTTTCAAAATGGCATGAATATCATGGTCAAGTCCCACTGGATACTGCTTCTGGTTCAAGGTCCTTTCTGGGTTGTTTTATTGAAAGTGACTTTAGTTTATAAGATAGTATCAGGGAAAGGGAGACCACGAGCTGCCCTGAATAGGGTTTAAGCAGTGGTTTCCCAATTGTTTTGATTGTAACCCACAGTAAAATCAGCATTGTGACTCAGTAGGAATAGGCACAAACATCAACACAGACTGCTCACTAAAACTTGCTCAGCTGATAGTTACATACTGTGTGCAATGTACTTTGATAAATTCTTTTGTTTTCTGTTCTATTAATCTATTTTGCTTTTTAAAAATTGCTAGTTATGACACAGTAATTTGATTTCAGGACTCACCAAGAGGGTTTTATCCTGCAGTTTGAGAAACAACTGCAGAGATATGCAGATTTATGCAAAAGGTCCTGTGTCTACAGTTTACGCTTTGGTTTCATGAGGTTATTTATTAAAATCACAGGACCTAGGACCAGATTAGGAGGGTTCAAATCCTAGTTCTTCTTATAAGCTGTGTGATTGTGGGCAAGTTATTAATTCTGTGACTCAGTTGTTTCATCCATTGATATGGCTTGGCTGTGTCCCTACCCAAATCTCTTCTCGAATTGTAACTCCCATAATTCCTATATGTTGTGTCTCATAATTCCCACATGTCAGAGCCCCCACACACAGTGCCTACCAGGGCACTGCCTAGTGGAGCTGTGAGAAGAGGGCCACTGTCCTTCAGACCCCAGAATGCTAGATCCACCGACAGCTTGCACCATGTGCCTGGAAAAGCCACAGACACTCAACAGCAGCCCATGAAAGCAGCCAGAAGGGAGGTTATACTCTGCAGAGCCACAGGGGCGGAGCCGCCCAAGACCATGGAAACCCAACATCAGCGTGATCAGGATGCAAGACATGGAGTCAAAGGAGATCATTTTTGAGCTTTAAGATTTGACTGCCCTGCTGGATTTCAGACTTGCATGGGGCCTGTAGCCCATTTGTTTTGGCCAATTTCTCCCATTTGGAACAGCTGTATTTACACAATGCCTGTACCTGCACTGTAGCTAGGAAGTAACTACCTTGCTTTTGATTTTACAGGTTCATAGGTGGAAGAGACTTGGCTTGTCTCAGTTGAGACACTGGACTGTGGACTTTTGAGTTAATGCTGAACTGAGTTAAAACTTTGGGGGACTGTTGGGAGGCATGATTGGTTTTGAAATGTGAGGGCATGAGATTTGGGAGGGTCTGGGGCGGATGATATGGTTTGGCTGTGTCTCCACCCAAATCTCATCTTGAATTGTAACTCCCACAATTCCCATGTGTCATGGGTGGAACCCAGTGGGAAGTGACTGAATTATGGGGGTGGGTCTTTCCTGTGTTGTTCTCATGACAGTGAATGAGTCTCATGAGATCTGATGGTTTTAGAAAGGGGAGTTTCCCTGCACAAGCTCTCTTCTCTTGTCTGCCACCATGTGAGACGTGCCTTTCACCTCCGCTATCATTGTGAGTCATCTCCAGCCACGTGGAACTGTAAGTCCGTTAAACCTTCATATTTTGTAAATTGCCCAGTCTTGGATATGTCTTTATCAGCAGTGTGAAAACAGAGTAATACATCCATAAAAGGGGGATAATAACATCAACTATCTGTATTAGTCTGTTCTCACGTTGCTAATAAAGACATACCTGAGATTGGGTAATTTATAAATGAAAGAGGCTTAATTGACTTACAGTTCCATATGGCTGGGGAGGCCTCACAATCATGGTGGAAGGCAAAGGAAGAGCAAAGGGACGTTTTACATGGTGGCAGGCAAAGAGAAATCTTGTGCAGAACACCCATTTATAAAACCATCAGATCTCATGAGACTTATTCACTATCATGAGAACAGCACGAGAAAGACCCCCCTCCATGATTCAGTTACCTCCTACCAGGCCCCTCCCACAACCTATGGGAATTATGGGAACTACAGTTCAAGATGAGACTTTGGTAGGGACACAGCCAAACCATATCACTATCTTATAAACTAAACTTAGGTAATACCTAACTGTACATGAAACTTTGAGAAATGAAAATGAGGTTGGATATTTATCAAAAAGTAATCAAATAAGCCAACACTTAGATTACACTTACTATATACCCATAAGTGTTGGCTGTTGTAACTTCCAACAAAATCAAAGTTCTCCCATGATTCCATTAACACTGGTTTATCCAGAACATTGGATAAACATTGACTTTTCTCCAGAAGCAACAAATAGATCAAGGTCCTTGGTGGTGTGTGAATTTTATCAGTCTCATTCTGAGAAATATGAGGAAAGAATGAGAGCCTAAATATGTGAGTAGGGGAGGAAGGGCTTACTTCCTGCAATGAATGCCCACAGGCCAGGGGTGGAAGATTTGGGGAGAGCTCCCTCACAAACCCATCACAAGGAGCCACATCCTCACAATGATCTGTAAAAGCTCATTAACTGCAGGGTCCTAACTTGTGCATGCAGCTCTTAGGATTTTTCTCTCCAGTGGTCAAAGTTTCTCTTTGTGGTCTAACTGGAATATTCTATCTGGCTTGAAATGATGATTTGAGGAAACAGGTCCAGTGGTCTGATGCTCAGTTACTCACTCACTGACATGAGGTTCCTGAAGTTTTCCAACATCACATCTTGGTACAGGTTTATCTGGGCTTTATCCAATAGTGCCAGCTCTTCCTTGGTGAGGACAACAGCCACGTCCTTGAATATCACCCTTTCCTAAAACATCAACCACATGCCACATCAATCATCCACACAAATGACTGGTCTTAGTCTGTTTGGGCTGCCTTAATAAAATACCATAGTCTGGGTTAGATTAAACAAACAAAAGAAACTTATTTCTCACAGTTCTGGAGATTGGAAAGTCTAAGATCAAGTACCACCAAGATAGGTTTCATTCAGGTTTCTTCTCTTGGCTTGTAGACAGCTGTCCTCTCACTGTGTCCTTACATGGCAGAGGGAGAATGAGAGCAAGCTCTGTTGAGTCTCTTTTCATAAGGATACTAATCCTATTGAATCAGGGATTCCCAAAGGACAATATTAATCAAATTATAAAATATGGCCCAGGACACAGGCGCAGATAAATCTATACTAAGGTGTTGTGCTGATACATAAGTCCAGTAGTGTTTCATGAGTTCATTTCCCATCACACACCAAGGTTTGGTATTTTCACTTTTTCATGGCAGATTAATCTATTTTTATCATGTTAAAGGAAAGTAAGAAGACAGGGTAACTTAAAGCATTGGCTCCTAGATTCAAAAAACAGAAAAGGGAAGAGGGAGATTATTAGGATAATTTAGAACATTTGGATATCAACTATTAAAAAATAATGGTATCAATGTGAAATTTCCTGAGTATGTTAGCAGTAATGTGGAAATGTAGGAAAATGCTCTTATTCTTAGGAGATATAAACTGACATATTTAGGGATGAATTATAATGATGTCTGCAATTTATCCCAACTGGGTCATCAAAATAAAATATAGATATGTGTGTGTATATACACATATTATGCATATGTTTGTGGTGATTGTTAACAATTGGTGAATCTAGGTGAAGATTACACATTATGCTATTCTTTCATTTTCTCGATAAATTGAAATTTCTTAAAATAAAAGGATGCGGGGAATAATCTGATATTAATAACCATCTCCTAATCAAGACACCAATTTTTACATAAAATATTTCTATCACTGCATATGTCACACTGCTCAGAGTCGAGTATTTACAGATATGTTCTCTCAATAGATTCTGCATCTCTAAATAAAGCAGAGCTTTCAAACGAAAGTTGTAAGCAGTTATAAAGGACTTCAAAAAGAATATGTTACTAACAATTGTCCAATTACCAAAATCTGACAATGATTAAAAACAAAATCTAGGGGAGTCAGCACAGTTGTCCTAATAGCACTGCTCTGTCAGTAACACTACTGTATCCTTCTTCTGTGGGAGGCAACAAAATTGAATTGGAATTAATCATTCAGGAAATACAGATACCCTGAAGCCTACTTGGGGTGGTAGGAATCCTAGGCAGGGAATGCCATAGGATGCAGGTACAAGGACAGCCCCCAAATATTAAGAAACCAAATTTATAAACCAATAAATACATGCAAAACATCTTTAAATCTTTTCCTTTGTGAAGTATTCTTGTAAAACCATCTATGAAATATTCTTGTAAAACCTTGAACCTGAATCTATTCAAGCATCTGGTGCTTCCACTTACAAAAAATACTGTGGATAGAGTAACACACTGAAAGACACCAAAAGGAAGCAAACAAATGCATTCCAAATGTAGGAAAGAACACAGGACACCAAACTTGGTTTCTACGACAAGTCAACAGCAGGAGAGAATAAAGTAGATGGGCAGATTTCTCTAGATTAAAAGACATTATGAGATACAACAACCAACTATATGATAGTATAGACCTTTTTAAGATCCCATTTGAACAAAGCAACTGTCAAAATTTTTTTGAGATAATCAGGGAAATTTGATTATTGTCTGGGTATTAGATAATACCAAATAATTATTGATTATCTCATTAGTCCATTTTTAAGGAAATATATACTGAAATACATAGAGAGTGTGTTAAATTAGATTGCTATTTAGAAATATCCTCTTCCATGCTCTCCAATCTCACTAAAGGACCAGAGTGTGTTTCCTTACCTCTTTAGTTTTGACTTGGCAATGTAACCTGCTCTGGCTACCAAAATGAAGCAAAAGTGATAATGTGCCAGTTCTAAGCCTGGGCCTTGAGAAATCTCACATGCCCACTTGCTCTCTTGCCCCTCTGTCTTTGCTATGAGGACATACCCAAGCTAACCAAAACCAGCAGAGTGCTACCAAATATTCATGGCATTGGCTTTAGGTCCAGGCCAAAACCATTGAGGACACTGTTACAGGAGGCTGGAAAAATGGTGACCTGGGTGATGCAGTGGTGAACATTTGGTGAACTGTTGCTGTAATTTAGAAGATAGAAAATGTACCTAATGAATCTTGGACTTGGGCAAGATGGTTTCCAGGCAGAAGGATAAAAGTGTGAGCTCATTCATTTTAGTTGCATATATAATAAGGTACTATACAAAAGTGATATGCTCAGAGAAAAACCAATACAGTGTAAAATACCATGCCTCTTTCAAATACTTTGGGAAAGAAAAATACTGAAACAGAGATTAAGCAAATCTCTTTGGCAAAAAGTTAATTGTTGAAACTGCATGATGGGTACTGCAAATGGAGGATCATAAGACCCTTTGCCCTTTTTTGTGTATTTTCATCATTAAATTTTTCATGATTAAAAGAAAATCCTTCTGCCACACTGTGATGGTCTTTTTAATGTGTCAATTTGGCTAAGCTACAGTCCTCAGTTATTGAATCAAACACTAATCTAGGTATTGCTATGAAGATAATTTGTAGATGTGATTAAAGTCCATAATCAGTTGACTTTAAGGGAGATTATTCTAACTAATCTGAGTATGTCTGATTCAATAAACTGAAAGGTCTTATGAGCAGAACTGAGGCTTCCCTGGGAGGGGGAGAAATTCCACCCACAGACAGTAGCTTCAGTCTGTGTCCAGGAGTTCCAGCCCACCCTTCCTGAGGGGCTGCCCTATGGATTTTGGACTTGCCTAGTTAGCCCCCATAATCATATAAGCCAATTCCTTACAATAAATCTTTTAAAATATATCTCCTATTGGTCTGTCTTGCTGGTTGAACTCTGACCAATACATACCCATTCAAATCTTGCTACTTATCGAAGTAGACCAGTGACATTTAGAGTATGGTCATGTATATGCTGCCCATGCACTCGGATGCTGCGGCAACACCAAATTGCTATAAAAGTTTCTGAACTTACTTTTGATTCTTTTTCCCTCATGGGGCAGTGACAAGGAGTTCATGGACTGGTACTGATACATGAACTACACTTAGAGTAGCACCAAAGTAGACATCTTGAAATCTGTGAGTTTGTTTCTTCACTTCTATAAAGGGAGTCATATCACCTGCCTCACAAAGTCATTATGAGCAGATAAAGTACCTAATACATAGTAGTCACTCAAAAAATGCTGACCTTCTTTCAGAAAACAGAAGTGTCTCGTTCCTCAGAATGAACAGTATATTTAAAGTGAAAGAAACCCTTAACTTACCTGGAACTTAATCATACCGTCTTCCTTTTGGAAAGGGCAGAATTCTGGAAAAGCAGAACTGCAAAGAAGAAAGAATCCATGAGATCATGGATCCAACAAGTTGTGAATGAACATTGGTTCCTTCCTTATCTGTACAAGTTTCTCACACTTTCTCCTCTCCCTAGATATCATCTCTTCTCACTCTGAACAGACTGAACTCCCACCTCCTCAAGACTTCCCTCGATTCGAACCCAGTCCCTCAATCTCAGACCACTGTGTAACTCCTGTCTCTCTCCTCAAGCTTTTGGGTCAAAACCTGCACATTGTTTTCCATTTCTCAGACTTGTGAATGAACTGACATAGTCTACATCTGAATTCCGCTGGAAAAGAGGCTCTGGAATTGCTGATTAAGAGAGCAATCTCAGGGCTAGGCACAGTGGCTCACACCTGTGATCCCAGCACTTTGGGAACCCCAGACGGGTGGATCACTTGAGGCCAGGAATTTGAGACCAGCCTGGACAACATGGTGAAACCCTGTCTCTACTAAAAATACAAAATTAGCTGGGCATGGTGGCGGGCACCTGTAATCCCAGCTACCCAGGAGGCTGAGACAGGACAATCACTTGCACCTGGGAGGCGGAGGCTGCAGTGAGCCGTGATTGCATCACTACACTCCAGCCTGGGCAACAGAGAGACACTTTGTCTCAAAAAAAAAAAAAAAAGAGAGCAATCTCAGGATGACAGCGACCTTCTGCTATTTCCACTTTCATTTGCAAGACTTAATCTTGTATGGCCAGGCCTGTGGTCTGAAGGACTTGTAGTTAGCCAAGACATACAAATTAAATCCCGATTTTTATTATTATGTTAATCAATAATACAAATTTTTAAACATCTACACCTTGACTCTTGTCTTCCTAAACTCTCTCTCCAGCACCCATTCTATCCCCTGCTTTTGCAAGTATTGATGACACACCTATGACATATAAGACACATTCTCTGCTCTGCAAATGCTCACAGTATACTGAGCTATAAATATCCTCAGACTGCAGGTAGACCAAAGTGGGTAGACAGAGACCTTCTAAGCTTGCCACTTCATATACACTAAAGCCCCTTCCTGTTCTGCTTATATCAGTGGATTCCCTTGCCAATTAGCTTCCAGTTGGGTTCAGCCAATGGGGAAAGCCAGCAAGAGATCCAGGGAAGGGACAAGAGTGAAGTCAGAATATTTATTCCCCCAGGTTTTTCCCTAGAGGTTGCTGTGGAATGGCTATATTCCATATCCATTGACCAAAGGTCATGGCCTCCATCAGGCAGCTGTCATCCCATAAATCTTTCTTCAGGTTTTAGTGACTGCCTCCTCCCTTAGCCCTTCAGTCCTAAAGCCAGTAATTTACCCTGCTATCACTAGCTCTGAAATATTGCAGTATCCTTTGTTGATTACCACAGCCTGCCTACGACTTTATAGACTGTCCCTTTATTAAGCTCTTCTCAAATTACCCAATTTGAGTGTTCTGTTTATTTTTTCTTGGGATTCCATCTGATAAACTCTGTAAACACAATTGCCTCTGGCCTTCGTGGAGAAACTTACTGTATAAAATTGCCACTTTAGGCACTGTGGAAACTCCGAAGATTAAAAAATAAAAGGCCAAAACCAGTTTCTGTCTTCTCAGATAGTGCTTCTCACACTAACTGTGATAAAGGACTAGTTTTTAAATTATTATTACGGTTACTTTCAGTCTGTCACAGACTGATATTTTGGTAAGATACAGTAACAAGAAATTACTGGAAAAAGAAAATTAAGAAGGTAAGCAAATTAAAGCCTGATTGTTATTATTATGTTAATCAATAAGACAAAATTTTAAACATCTACACTCAAGTTCTCAAATTATCTGGTCACAGACCAATATCATTTATTGGCACTGGTCTGTGGGCTACCCTTTGAATTGCAGCTCACAGGGTTATAGAATCAGGTTAATAGAATATGAAATGTCTTTTTGGTAAATCCTTGGACTCTTTTTCTCTCCTTTCCTACCTTTAAGAGACATCATTAATCACTTCTTATTTTGGGCTCCAACAAAGGCCAAAATAAGGAGTGTTCAACTCATTAGTACAGCATGAATTACATCATTTTACAATAGTTAAAACCTACCAAGAAAACACTCCTCCTTTCCCCTGTCAAAAAACTACAAATCCTAAAAAAAAAAAAAATAACCAAGCTGTAGTCTTTTATCCACTGTACTTGGTAAGGATCTTATCATTTAACAAGCACTCAATCAATGTTTCTCAATATTAACAAATGCACAAATAGAATTGGCTTGGATATTATACATTAGATGCACGTGCAAAGACATAAACTCACCCTCTACTTCCAGTACCTGTTCTCACTGAAGAGCCAATAATGGGACAGGTTTATTTTGAAGCACACATCTACACACATGCACTCACATATATATGGTTGGGGGTTTGGTTTCCTGAATTTCTGGCTTCAGACACTACCTGCCTGTATCAAGTCAGGGCCGTGGCACGAACCAGATGGCACATTGAAATTTGAGGGGAGTTTAATAAACAGACGGCTTACAATGGTGTTGGCTGGGGGTAAGGAAGTCACAGTGGATAAGGCTCTGTCCTGGGAAGTGACAGGGAGGTGCCATTATAACACCTGGGCCTTAAGAGGTAAGGGGAGGGAGCAGTCCCTGGAGCCTGGAACTAAGAGGACTGTGTGGCCAGGGCCGCCTAAACTATGACCTGTTGTTTAGAAGGGCAGCTAATCTGTGACAATCCTGCAGAGAGAGAACTGGGGGACAAGATACTCCAACTCACACTTCTTCCTCTCTCCAAACTTTCCTGTTGAGACTTCCCATTGGCCAAAGACAAGCAAGGCCAGAAGGCAATGGCGGCCTTTCAGGGCAGACAGCAGGGTGGAAAAGGCGGGGAGCCAAAGGCATGGGACACATGGCACCTCAAGACTCTTGTTTTTTCCCTATCTGCCAAAGTCCACACAGCTCTCTCACACAAATGCCTTTCTCATCCCTCACCCTGACAACTACTCTGATCTGAGGAATGCATCAGGAATGAGACCAGATGCCCATATCAACCTCTTCAGGGAATGAAGACCTAGAGGAAAAGTGCAGCTGAATCTGGAACTGCAATTGCCCAGAAACACGATCAGAAATGTAATAAATGCTGCTATTACACCTAAAATAATTAACACTAAATCTCTAATTTTATCAAATATACATAGAGCGTTCAAACTTCAAATTTGTTGAGTGTAATTTAACAACTTACATTTGCTCATATGCTTTATAATCCTCAAAGTCCCTACTCCCTGGCTCACAGCATGTGAGGTGAGAATGGAGTTAATAATTTGGGGCAGTTCTTTTCTTTTCTCTTTTATTTTTTTTTGAGATGGAGTCTCGCTCTGTCGCCCAGGCTGGAGTGCAGTGGCGCGATCTCGGCTCACTGCAACCTCCATCTTCCAGGTTCACACCATTCTCCTGCCTCAGCCTCCCCAGTAGCTGGGACTACAGGCACCTGCCACCACGCCCGGCTAATTTTTTGTAATTTTTTTTTTTTTAGTAGAGACGGGGTTTCACCGTGTTAGCCAGGATGGTCTCGATCTCCTGACCTCGTGATCCACCCACCTCGGCCTCCCAAAGTGCTGGGATTACAGGCGTGAGCCACTGCACCTGGTGTAAAAAAATTTTTAAATGAAATATTAAAAATTAAAAAGGGGGTGAAAGACATAACGCAGTGAAAAGAAAAATGATGAAAAGGCATCAACGATGACCACCTTGATTGTTAGCAATAAAATGAAAACCAACATCCTTTTTATACATAAATTTGACAAATATTAAACATTTTTATTATAAATCACGTGATCCTCAATAGCGTGAGAAACTGGACACGTTTACATTTTAGGCTGAGTGAAAAAAACAAAAACTGTTTTTCCTCCGTTCTCACATCACAACAATCAGCACAGAAGATTTCTGTGAGGACATGTCTGGGGATTTCTTTCAGTCAGTCAAGCACACAATCCATTCTGCTGTGGACACCAGCTGGGTGTCTTCTAATTCCATTATGTCACTATCTACCTGGACATAGCATTAGATTCCACAGGGCTCAGTTCCGCAGACTGGCCTCCCACTCTAATAACAATGGGAAGCCCTATGTTTTTTTTACCTCGCTTCTCACCAAATAGCTATAAATCAGGTTTCCACCACTCCCTGATTTAGTTGCATGAATTTGCTGGAAGAGCTCACAGCACGCAGGGAAACACTTCCATTTACCATTGTATGATAGCGGATATTGCAAAAAATTCAGAAAACAGATTTTGGGCCCGGCATGTGGGGAGGGGTGCACTACCTTCCGGGAAGTTTTATCCAGAAGCTCTCTAAACCCAGTCCTTTTGGGTTTTTATGGAGACCTCATTCTATAGGCATGATGGGTGAAACCATAGGCGATTGGTGATCAACTCAACCTGAGGCTCTCAACCCTCCCTGGAAATTGAGGTTGAGGCATTGCCATTCTCAGTCTGAGTAAAAGAATTTACACAAACGGAATTTTACAACAGATTAGCATAACTGAAAACTTAATTAGATGATTGAATTATCTGGAGCCACACCTTTGATATTCCTAAGCCAAGCACCCTCATCCAATGAATGCTCCACCCAACTGGCTCTCAAGTCTCTACGTGGTTCCAGAGCAAAAGAATGTTTATACAACGCATATCTCCACTCTTTCTTAAAAGTCTTTTCACTTACACGGGTAATTCTTAAACTGCCATGCATCAGGGTCAGGGGGAGGGCTTGTTACAACACAGATCTGTGGATCTCCGGGGTTTGAGGGTTGCAAGGATGCTGCTGGTGTCAAAACCACAATGTGAGAACCACAGAACCACTAGATGGTTTTCAGTGTTTCAGTGCATGTAATTCGTAATATATTTGGCCAAAAAAACTCGTAAGTTCTTAGATTGTCCCAAATGTGGCGCATGAAATCAAATCAGGAGAGCAGTTTCCTACGCGGTGTAGCCTGGGAAAGTTGGGGGTGACTGATGGAAAGGAGGAGTGAAGCTCCGCCCTTTCCGCTGCCAGGCTGCGCCCGCCCGAGGCTATTTAAACCCACCCTGGCGGGCCTGTACTCAGATCTTCACAGAGCGGAGCAGCGGCCGGAGCGTTTTGCGGGCTCTGCGTGGACTTGGAGCTTACAGCGTCTTGCGACTTGGAAGCGGATTCAGAGGACAGGACAGAACACTTGGGTAAGTGAATCTCTGTCTGTCTGTCTGTCTCATTGGTTGGTTTATTTCCATTTTCTCAAGGAGCACATACCTCACACCACACACACACACACACACACACACACACACACACACACACTCCTTCATTCTGCGGGTTAGGAAATTGGTAGGGGTCCTTGGGAGCTGCAGGTTTCCTAATCATGTCTGCACCTAAGAACAGTAGGGTCTTGTCTGGCTCTTCTTATGAACCGTCCCCCAGCCCGGACTCCCCAAGATCCATGCTAGCCTCACCCAGCTTCTCCCTCTCTCCTCTCAGAAACTCAGACTTAAGAGGAAGCTCCTCACCAGGGATCCGGAGCTACAATTCACCACCCTCCAGGGCTTCACCACACTCACCTCTGTCATCACCAGAATCCCACAAGCTCCCATTTCCCTTTCCTCACCGTGATGGGCAATCAATGAAGCCATTGGGTTCTCCCGCGTCCTCCTCTGGGGATTCTTTAGAATCACCACGTTCATCAATAATATACCACATGTTCTTACTGCCATCACCCAGCAGCTCACCCGCAGCTCTCGGGGAGTCTCCCGTGTCTCCCAGCTACTCCCCAAACAACCCCAGATTTCAGCTGGAGTCAGCCCCCCACACCCAGGAATCACCTACAAACTCACGAGCCTCACGGTGCTCCTCCCCTGTGTCTTTCATCTCTTCACCCCCAGGCCTCAGGGACTCTCCTGTGTCTCCCAGTTACTCTCCAACCATCCCCAGGTTTCTGCGAGAGTCCGCCCCATGCACCCAGGAGTCCCCCAGAAACTCACAGGTCTCGGGAGATTATGAGCGGTCCCCCAGCCCTGACTCCTCAAGATTCATGCCTGCCTCACCCAGCTTCTTCTCCCTCTCCCCTCCCAGAAACTCAGACCCAAGGGGCAGCTCCTCACCAGGGATGTGGAAGTACTCTACATCATGCCGCAGGGCTTCACCACTCTCACATCCACCATCAACAGAATTTCACAACTTTACATTTCCCTTTCCTGACCAAGCAGGACAATCACTGATGTCATTGTGCTCTCCCGTGTCCTCCTCTGGAGATTCTTCACAGTCACCTCATTCATCAATAATATACCATATGTTCTTACTGCCATCATCCAGCAGCTCACTCCCAGCCATCCATGACTCTCCTGTCTGTCCCAGCTACTCTCCAACTACGTCCAGATTTCAGCGGGAGTCGGTGTCCCGCACCCCAGAAACACCTACAAACTCACAGACCTCAGTGAGATCCTCGCCAGTCTCTCTCATGTCTTCACCCCCAGCCCTTACGGACTCTCCTGTCTGTCCCAGCTACTCTCCAACCACGCCCACATTTCAGCGGGAGTCACTTCCAGGAACCCAGGGATCACCACCAAGCTCACCACTTTCACTGAGTTAGTCCGCAGTCTCTAGCACGTCTTTATCCCCAAGCCTCAGGGACTCTCCTGTCTGTCCCAGCTACTGTCCAACCACGCCCACATTTCAGCGGGAGTCAGTTCCAGGTACCCAGAAATCACCACCAAACTCACCAATTTCACTGCATTACTTCCCAGTCTCTCTCATGTCTTCACCAGCCCTTAGGGACTCTCCTGTGTGCCCCAGCTACTCTCCAACCACGCCCACATTTCAGCGGGAGTCAGTTCCAGGCACCCAGAAATCACCACCAAACTCACCAGTTTCCCTCAATTACTCTCCAGTCTCTCTCACGTCTTCACCAGCCCTCAGGGACTCTCCTGTCTGTCCCAGCTACTCTCCAACCACGCCCAGATTTCAGCTGGAGTCAGTTCCGGGCACTCCGGAATCACCACCAAACTCACCAGTTTCACTGAGTTACTCCCCAGTCTCTTTTGTGTCTTCACCCCCAGCCCTCAGGGACTCTCCTGTGTGTCCCAGCTACTCTCCAACCACGCCCAGATTTCAGCGAGAGTCAGTTCCAGGCACCCAGGAATCACCTACAAACTCACCAGTTTCACTGAGTTACTCCCCAGTCTCTCTCATATCTTCACCCCCAGCCCCCTGGGACTCTCCCGTCTGTCCCCGCTACTCTCCAGCCATGCCCAGATTTCAGCGGGCGTCAGACTCCTACACTTAGGAATCACCTACAGACCCACAGACCTCACTGAGATCCTCCGCGTTCCCTCTCAGGTCTTTGCCGTCAGCCCACAGGGACTCTTGTGTCTCTTTCAGCTACTCTCAAAACTTCTCTAGATTCCAGCTGGAGTCAGTTCCAGGCACCCAGGACACACCAGCAAACTCACCAATTTCACTCAGTTACTCCCCAGTCTCACTCATGTTTTCACCCCCAGCCCTCAGGGGCTCTTCTGTCTCTCTCAGCTACTCTCCAACCATCTCCAGATTTCAGCTGGAGTCAGCTTCCCACACCCAGGAATCACCTACAAACTTACGGACCTTACTGCCACCCTCCCCCATTTCTTTCACCTCTTCACCCCCAGCCTTCAGGGACTCTCCTGTGTCTCCCAGCTTCTCTCTGGCCTTCCCCGGATTTCTGCCGCTGTCAGCCCCAGGCACCCAGGAGAACCCTAGACACTCACAGGCCTCACGAGACTATTTCCCTATGACCTGTATCTATACAGGGGTGGCTCCCACGTATCCCTCAGTGACCCCAAACCCATCTCCACTTACACTCAGACACTCCCAGGGCCTGACAGCTACTCCCCGTTATTGTCCTTCAGTTCGAAGCCCTGGCCAATCTACTAGCCAACATGACGCAGTTACCTGGCCATTTCTCCACATTCCTGGTGAGCGCCCCACACCCAGCCGCAGAAGAGCCCCTCCTGCATTCCGTCCTCACACACAGGCCTGTCCATCTGCTTGCTACTGTCACACTCTTGCCAGCAGAAGAGGCCCCTCTAATGGCCGATATCACCGCCCAGGCTATCCTCACCCCACAGCTGTGCAGCGGGACCCTCCTGCTGGCCCACGTGGCTGCCAGAGCCCATGCTGACACCAACCTCCAGCATGTCGGCGTCCCTGCGGGCGACACTACCGGTGACATGGCCAGCATGATCCTCCTCCCTGGCAGTGACACTGTTGATGTGAGCCCCAGTTTCAGATCTGTCATTTGTAAATAGGACCATTTTCCCTTTTCTCTCTCGCTTCCATTCACAGGGCTTTTCATTCTCTCTGTTTCTGCCTCCATTTGAGATATTTACTCACCTTTTTCTCTTTCACTATGTCTGCCGTGGTCTCGACGAGAGTGCGCCACATAAGATTCCCCCATTAAAAGTCATGAATTGAGTGGCTTTTAGTATACTTGTGGTTGTGCACGTTCAATTTTAATTCGCAATCCATTTGAGAACATTTTATCACCCCCGACCAGAGAAAAACCCGGTAAACGTGAGTCACTCCTCATTCTGTCTCAAACCATCTCGCCGATCCTCAGCCCTAGGTAACAATTACATAGAGCGCTCAACCCTATATCCATAGATTTGCATATTCTGGACTTTTCCTATCAACAGAATTATACAATATGGGAGCTTTTATGACTGACTTTACACTTAGCACAGTATTTTCAAGGTTCATCCACATTGTACCATTACCCAGAGTGGGAAACCATTTTTTCTTTTTTTGGTTTTAGTAACACCAGGTGTTTTCTCCTTCCTTCCTTCCTTCCTTCCTCCTATTTCTCTCTTACTCCTTCTGCCGTCTCTCTTTCATATGCCTTCGGTGCATCCTACTTTCTGTGTTTTTTTGGGAAATCCTCGACAGTTGCAGGAAAATTGTGTTATTGTTTTTATTTACTGGTATCTCTCTTTCACGGTTCTCCATCAATTGTAAACATCTATTGGTTTCTCTCAAGTCACTGAGTATAATTTAATTAGGTACACCTGTTTTCCTTTATACAGCTATTTCTGGAGTATAGGGTCACATACTGATAAAGCCAGTGTAACTCAGAAATGCATCTAATGTCCCAATAAACCCATCACAAAGTTGAAAAATCATAAATCAAACCATCATAAGTCACGGTTTGTCCGTGGATATGGGCTTCATGGATTCCATTGTATTCAATAACGCTGTACACCATTAACAATGGCAGACTGATAGGGAGTGGATATTGAGAGCATTTTAAAAATCAGTTATTAGAGGGATACTTTAACCTGACTGAGTAACAGATGTAATTGTATTAGTGTTGTGCATAATTATGTGAAATGTTTTGAGACAGAGTAGTACATTTGTGAATGAGATTTTATGGCTTTTTTCACTTACTAGGAACCCTTGTGTGTGGAAAACTGAGAAAATTGCTTTCTGCTGTACACTCTGGCATTCATTGTAGATTAAAGCTTATTTTTCTGTGAATAAATCTTATTCAATAAAATACTAGTCTTTAAAATAGAAACAAAACACTAGTGATGTGAAGTCATTGTCCTCAGCAAACTAATCCAGGAACACAACACCAACCAGCACATTCTCACTTATAATGGGAGCTGAAAAATGAGAACACATGGACACAGGAAGGGGAACAACACACATTGGGGCCTGTCATGGGGTGGGGTTGGGGGAGGGAGAGCATTAAGGGAAATAGCTTTTGCATGGCTGGGCTTAATACCTAGGTGACGTGTCGACAGGTGCAGCAAACCACCACGGCACACGTTTACCTTTGTAACAAATCTGCGCATCCTGCACATATACCCCAGAACTTGAAAACAAAACGAAACAAAACAAAACGAAAAAAGAATAGCAAAACGCTAGCGGCAAAATAAAGTTTCAAACTGAGAAAGTGACAGACCACCTTTTGGTTCAAATCATGGTTCCCAATCCAGGTGCCATAAAGTCAGGACAAAGAATTTGATTACATATTGTAAATAAGACATACAGCAAATGACTAGAAAAATTATTCTCAACATACATGTGTCTTCTAATTCAATGATGACGCTATCTACCGGGACATAGCATTAGATTCCAAAGGGCTCAGTCCCGCAAGACTGGCCTCCCACTCTAAGAACAGTGGGAAGCCCTACGTTGTTTTACCTGTGCTTCCTAGCAACTGGCTATAAATCAGGTTTCCACCACTCCCTGATTTAGTTGCATGAATTTGCTGGAAGTGCTCACAGCACGCAGGGAAACACTTCCATTTACCATTGTATGATAGCGGATATTGCAAAAAATTCAGAAAACGGATTTTGGGCCCGGCATGTGGGGAGGGGCGCACTACTTTTCGGGAAGTTTTATCCAGAAGCTCTCTAAACCCAGTCCTTTTGGGTTTTTATGGAGACCTCATTCTATAGGCATGATGGGTGAAACCATAGGCGATTGGTGATCAGCTCAACCTGAGGCTTTCAACCCTCCCTGGAAATTGGAGTTGAGGCATTGCCATTCTCAGTCTGAGTAAAAGAATTTACACAAACAGAATTTTAAAACAGATTAGCATAACTGAAAACTTAATTAGATGATTGAATTATCTGGAGCCACACCTTGATATTCCTTGATATTCCTAAGCCAAGCACATCCAATGAATGCTCCACCCAACTGGCTCCCATGTCTCTACGTGGTTCTAGAGCAAAAGAATATTTATGCAACGCATATCTCCACTCTTTCTTAAAAGTCTTTTCACTTACACGGGTAATTCTTAAACCCTCAGGGACTCTTCTGTCTGTGACAGCTACTCTTCAACCATGCCCAGATTTCCGCGGGAATCAGTTCCAGGCACCCATAAATCTGCACCAAACTCACCACTTTCACTGAGTTACTCCCCAGTCTGTCTCATGTCCTCACCAGCCCTCAGCGTCTCTCCTGTCTGTCCCAGCTACTCTCCCAGCATTGCCAGATATCTATCGGGGTCTGCCTCTCTCCCGCAGCAATCACTTAGAAACTCAGTGACCTCCCTGTGCTCCTCCCCAATGTGTTCCATCTCTTCATACTCATCCCCCAGAGACTCTCTGGTTTCCCCCAGCTCCACTCCAACCAGCCCCAGGTTTCTACAACAGTCAAACCGACACACCGAGGCAACACTCAGAAATTCACAGTTCCTACTGCACTCCTCCCCTATGTGTCCCATGTCTTCACCCCCACCCCCTAGGGACAGTCCCACGTTTCCCAGTTACTCTTCAGACCTCCCCACCTTTCTCAGCTAGTTAGCCTCCCATACCAAAGAAACACCTGGAAACTCAGCGTCCTCACGGGGCTCCATCCCCATGTCTCCCAACTCTGTACTCCAGGCCCTTGGCTACTTGTGTGTGTGTCCCAGCTACTCTCCCATTATCCCAAGGTTTCTGCAACACACAGCCCCCCACACCTGGGGGTCACCGAGAATCTCACAAATGTCGGTGCCCTCCTTAATCATGTCTCCCATTTGCTCATCTGCAGCCCTCAGATGCTCTCCTGTGTCTCCCAGCTCCCCTCCAGCCATCTGCAGATTTCTCTTGGAGTCAGCCTCTCATGCTCAGGGCATCACCTAGCAACCCACAGACCTCCCTGTGCTCCTCACCTCTGTCTCCCATCTCTGCATCCCCATCCCTCAGAGACTCTCCAGCATCCCCCTGCTCCTCTCCAACAATCCCCAGATTTCTCCTGGGGCCAGCCCCTAACACACAGGACTCACCTGGAAACTCACAGACCTCACCGTGCTCCTCCTGCTCCTCTCTGACCTTTGTACCGCCATTCCTTAGGGTCTCTTTCCTGTCTCCCAGCTACTCTCCAACCATCCCCAGTTTTCTGCAAGAGTCAGCCCCCAGCACACAGGAGACCCCTGGAAATTCACAGAGCTCACCAGATTCTTCCCCAACGACCTCCATCTACACAGCAGTGGCTCCCACATACTCCCCTGGGGCCCCGCACCCATCTTCTTTTACACTCAGAGCCTCGCAGGGTCTCACAGTCACTCCCCGTTATCATCATTCAGCTCGAAGTCCTTGCCATCCTCCTAGCCAACGTGATGCAGTTACCTGGCCATTTATCCACATTCCTGCTGAGGACTCCACACTCAGCCACAGAAGAGCCCTTCCCGCATTCCGGCCTCACACAAAGACCTGTCCTTTTACTTGCTACTGTCACACATTTGCTGGCAGGAGAGGCCCCTCTGATGGCCGACATCACCACCTGGGCTATCATCACCCCTCAGCTGTGCAGTGGGACCCTCCTGCCTGCTGACGTGGCTGCTGGCGCCCGTGCCAGCGTGAACCCCAAACCTGTCCGTGTTTCTGCGGGCGACGCCACCGGGGACATCCCTAGCTTGACCCCCTTTCCTGGCAGTGACACTGTCGGTATGATCCCGCGTTCTCAGATCTCTGATGTATACGTATGACTGTTTTCCCTGCGCTCGGTTTCTTCCATTCACAGGCCTTCTCATTGTCTCTCTTTCGGCCTCCATTTCAGACATTTCCTCATTCTCTTTCCCTGTGTCTGCCCCTGTCTCCACGTGGATGCCCTGGATAAGATTCACCCGTTTAAGGTGATGGATTTCTACTTCTTTGAATAATGCTGCTATGAACACTCCTGTACAATATTTAGTTTGGACAAATGTTTTCTCTTGGTTCATACCTAGGTGTGGAATTGCTGCATCATTTGGAGACTTCTATGATGTTTAACATGTTGAGGATCTTCCAGATTATTTTCCAATATGGCTGTAGATTTTGAAATTCCTACCAGCAGTGCCGGAATGTTACAGCTTCTTTACATGATCGTCAGCATTTTTTATTTTCTGTTTTTTTTTTGTGTGTGTGTGTGATTTAGTTTCACTCTTGTTGCCCAAGCTGGAGTGCGGTGGTGCGATCTCGGCTCACTGCAACCTCTGCCTCCCGAATAGCTGGGATTACGGATGCATGCTACCACACCCAGCTAATTTTTTGTATTTTTAGTAGAAAAGGGGCTTTACCATGTTAGCTAGACTGGTCTCGAACTCCAGACCTCAGGTGATCCGCCCACCTCAGCCTCCCAAAGTTCTGGGATGCAGGCGTGAGCCACTGTGCCCAGCCTATTTTCTGCTTTTCAATCCTGACCATTCTAGTGAGTGTGAAGTAGCACCATTGTTTTGACTTCCATTTCCCTAATGACTGAGGATGTGGAGAGTCATTTCATGTGTCTCTTGCCTATTTGTTTATTTTCGTTTAAGATATGTCTACGGAAATACCTTGCCTACTTAAAATTGGGTTATTTTTTCTTAACAATAACAAAACTGTTAGGGAGTCGGAAATTACAGCAGTTTCAAATTCAGTTGACACACGGTTTCTACAGTGTTTTGCAGTTTGTATGAGGTAGGATGAAGGCTGAATATTTACCTTGGGCCTTGGAATGGATTCATCTACCCACACTTTGTGCAGGTTGGCTCTTAGCTTCCAGGTCAAGACACCTTTTTAAAATAATTATTTTTATGTTTATTTTATTATTATTATTTTTTGAGATGGAGTCTTGCGCTGTCGCCCAGGCTAGAGTGCAGTGGTTTGATCTCGGCTCACTGCAAGCTCCTTCTCCCGGGTTCATACTATTCTCCTGCCTCAGCCTCCTGACTAGCTGTGACTACAGGCACCCCCCACCATGCCCGGCTAATTTTTTTTGTTTTCTTTTTTGTATTTTTAGTAGAGATGGGGTTTCACCGTGTTAGCCAGGATGGTCTCGATCTCCTGACCTCGTGATCTGCCTGCCTCGGCCTCCCAAAGTGCTCTGATTACAGGCATGAGCCACCGTGCCCGGCCAAGACACTTGATTGAATTGCTTAAGTGCTTCCCATGTGCCAGAGCCATGAAAGGTAAATAAAGAAAATAAAGAAAAAGAAGAGTCAATTATTTTGATGACTTAGAGATCTGACCATGGAGGCCATGTGAAAGGTGGTAACCAGCAATTTAAACCATGTGTTGCTGGATCCCAGAGTAATATAATTTATTGATTTCTCGGGGAAATGAGAATGTTCTGAGAGTGGTATTTAACATCCACTACACTCGCATGAAATTCTCCCAATCACAGACTGATCTGTTCATTGAATTATGATATAGAGTTCAAAAACACTCGATAGAGGAAATTATATTCAAGTTGTGTCTTAAATATGGAGTAAGATTTTAATAGTACAGGAAAGGATGGACTTACAGAGGGAAGAACAATAGCAGCAAATTCAGACATTTGTAAAACTGGAGGACACAGGATGGGAAGTAGGACTGTGTCTACCCAAGCAAAGAGGGGTGGGTTTGGAACCAAATATCTGAAGGGCTTGGATGCTTTGGAGTCAATTGGCAATTTTTTAGAATTTATCAAAACAATTCGATAATCTGTTTATAAGAGAGAGTTCTAGAACTTCTAGGATGAAATTTTTGAAACACAACAAGGAGGGAGAGATAAGGAAATGAGTTATCACTGTAACTGAAACCTTTCATCATGGCACAGAAAAAGCAATCTCTATCTTCAGAACACACTTGTATCCCAGAAAATATTTCATTATATATATAGTAATGTAGTAAGTGATTAGGATGCCGTTTAAATCAGAAAGGAAAGAATTAATATTTATGTAAATTTTGTTAAGAAAAGTAGACAATCCTTTGGTGAAACAGGAAACTCCATCTTCCTTTCATATCATACACTTAAATGAATCACGCGGTGATTCAAAAGAAAAATGAAAGAGCCTGAAATGAATATAGATATGCACTTATTGGGAATCAGGCTAAGGAATGTCTTTTTGGTCATACTGGAGAAAAAAAAGAAGCCACAAATGAAAAGACTGATATACCTTGTCAGATGAAGTTTTTTGTTTTTTTTTTTTTCTAAACTACTTTATAAATGTTGAAACTGGGGGAGCAATTCATCACTTAGAAGCGATATCATTCATACACAGAGAGTGTATGACAATAAAAGATGACAATGAAATGCAATCGGTAATAAGCATATTTACTCTGTCAAATTGGGAAAATAAGACAGGATATTTAGTCCATCAAATTGGGAAAATATTAAAGAAAGTGATTGTGTGTAGTTTTGATATCATAAAATTAGAAGTGTAAGTTCAATGCAGGACAAAGGGGTAACTTCCCTAAAAACTAAAGAATGCTAGGCAAGTATTGCAAATAATTTGTGTTTTTTTATTATCTCTATGTATCTCTACGTCTTTTGTGACATACAGAACTATCCACGATATATGACCTGTGGCAAGAAATGATTACAAAATATTATGATGCCATTTGGGAAATGGGATTCTTAAGAATTCATATTTACTCACATAAACCAGGGATTAAGTAAGAATTTTTTTTAAACCATTCTTTACATGTAATATGAACTACTTTTGAAATAAATATTTAGTTGGCTTTTACACCAGAAAATCAATAATGCTTTATATCCCTGGTGATGGGATGATGGGCTTGTTTGAGAATATAGTCAGGTTTGCTACAACGCGAATATGTTAGTACTGAGTAAAGACATTCTTTTCAACTCAGAAACACCTTGCATGCCGCCTCCCGCCGCCTCGCAGTGGGCGTGACTCGAGGTGGACGCGCATTTACGACACCATCGCCCCTAGGATCGGACTGCGCTGCGGAGGGTTCTGGGAAAGGTAGTCCCACACCTCGAGTCGACTACTTCCGTTTCCGGTGGGCGCGTCACCTTGATTGCTTCTTAGGCAGTGGTGAGGCGTCTTAGAGACGTGCATCTCCATGCGGTTGTACTGTCAGGCCATGGGAATTAGGATCGGCTCTATAGGACCAGTGTGAAGGGACAACGTGCGGCGGAGGGTCGAAGCCCACGGATTTCCATGAGCTCGGCCTGGTGAGGCAGGGGTGTAAGGAGGCGCACGTATCGAACATTCTGAGCGCCTGTGCGGGGTGGGCCCGGGTCGGCAGCCCTCGCAGTCCAGGCTTGGAAAAGCAGTTTGAGGCCAGCTCTGGCTTTGAGATGAGATCTGCAGTGCGGGAGACTCCACTGTGTCAGTTGCGGATCGATGACATGAATTTTCTCAGGGTAGCCGCCCACCCACTTGTGGAGTAATTTCAGAGTTTTCTGCGAAGTCATTTCTGTAAACAGGAAGTTGATTCCCTGTGTTCTAATTTTATCCTTTGAAATGTATTAAGCGCTGTGCAAGTCCTAGGAGTTGGTTTGCTGTATCGTTGCTGGCTCTGCTTTTTGTAGCCGCCTAAGCACACACAGGCAGAATTTCACTTGTAAGTGTCCCACAGCATGTGACAGTCAGCTCTGGATTAAAATCTTGAGATTTTGTCTTGATTCTCCTTGTCTCCTGAAAGGGGCAGTGAAAGTAGGCTTGTAGACGGTTTCTTTGGGCATCAGGAATGGCGTGTCCCTTGTACTCTGAGTCCTGTAGGAAGAGAGGTTCTTTTCCTCGGCTCCTGAAGCAAGTAGCGAGGGTAGATTACAGGAAGGGGTAGATTACATCCAGCTGGCACTGAGAGATTTCCCCCTGTGGCGTGGTGGGAATTGGGATTAAATCATGTTATCCTGCTGTTCATTTTTCTTTCACAGGCTTCCTTCTTGGAATTGTTCGTTTCTCGGAGATAATTGTATAAAAGAAGGAGAAATAACCCCACATCTCTTGACACTAGAGCTCCAGGTGAGTGAACTTTGGTTCTCTTTTGTGGCAATGCCAGGTCTCTTGGTGACCTCATTCTTCATCCCATTGATATCACAAATGTTCATTCAGACCCCTTAGCCACACCTGCCTTCCCCTAGAAATGGGGGAGGTTTGAGGAATTTCCCAGTGTCTTTATTTAGTGTATTCTCTTCTTGGCTCCTAGTAGTGTGTCACTGGGTCAGTAAAGGCTTACACTGTTTCAGCGCCATGCTGAAGAAACGCAGGGTAGAAATAATTAGAGTAACTGTGATGGTGTATATTAACTGAGTGCTTACTATATGCCAGGTATTATTTATCCATGGTGTCTAGGACAGTGCCAGGCTTGCCAATAAATATTTGAATAAATGAATGTATTTCTATTGAATTTTCTGAGCAAGTTTGTATGTTAGCTATTATCCCCATGTCACAGATGAGTTGCTAAGGTTTAAAAAGTTAAAAAAACTTAACAGGTAAGACCTGGCCAGGAGACCTTCTAAACAGAAACCAGGTCTTTGCGCTTATGCTTCCTTCTGGACTTGTCTCATCCCAGCTTTTTTCACAGCTGATTTATTTGTCAGGCAGCTCTTAGAGACTGTCCCTGACCACCTGATTTAATGTTGCTCTTTCCACAGCTGCCACATATGTTCACCTGATAGCACCTACATTCTTGTTGGAAAACAGGAATCTATCATGTTTGCTTTATTTTCTTCATAGCCCTTTTTGCAACCAAAGGTCACCTAATTTGTAGAGAGATTAACCCACCCGAAAGTAAGCACCATGAGAACAATTACCTTTTCCATCTTAATTTACTGCTGTATGTCTAGTGTTTATTCTCCTAAGATGTTGTTAGACACTGAATGTACATTTACTAAATGCATGAGTTCCTGTATTCCTAGGTTAATGCTGGGTTGGGTCAATGGTAATAGTATATTGATGATTTTCTGTGTACCACGTACTGGGCTTTGAAGTTTATTCACATAGGCATGTGTGTGTGAAAGAGAGAAAAACTTAAATTATTTTAGTTTTGCAAGTAAGGATTATCTTTATTTGACAGAAGTACAGACTCATTCAAAAGGTTAAGTCTCTCCTGTGGTGTTAATATAACTACAAAGTGGCTGAACCAGAATTCGAACCTAAACCTTTTGATAACTCCAGTTTTGAGAAACTAGAGCTGCAATTTTCAAAACCCTGCTTTCCCTTTTGCTATCTTATTATTTTATCATAACTTCATAATTTACCTGTTTTCCTCAGACTTCAACCTCAGAATCATATTTATTTCTCCTCCTCTTCATCCCTACATGGAATTATTCTTTTAGTTTTGTTATTTCTACCTCTGCAATTATCTCTTATTCCCATTACTTCTTTGTCCCACTGCCTTTGTACCAACTCTTTCTGTCACCCTCTTTCTCCCCCAATGTGAGCTCCATGCAGTCCAGAAATGTATCCTAAGCACATGGAACACAGTAGATATTCATTATGGCTGCTGATTTCCACCTAGAATGTTAGCAGCTGCATGAGCACAGAGTCGTTGTCTGCCCTGTTCACTCTTGGGTCCCAACACAGCCAGCATAGTCCTTAGCACCCAAATTACTAAGTCCATGAACTGGAGAAGAAAATCACTTCTGCTGTGAAGATGACATCAAGAGGACCCAAGGATCCATATCAGCAAGCTGAGTTCAGGTTACTCCCGTTCTCCCATTTAAATATTTATTGAGCACCTGCTGTGTGCCAGGTGCCAACTGAAATACTGGCCCTCATAGAGTTCACATTCTTGTGGGTGGAGAAAGATGGTCAACAAGAAAAATAGACTGTAGGTAGGGTGTCAGTTTCATGGAGAAAAATGAAGCAGAGGAGGGTGTAGGAAGTGCTGGTTTGCCAATTTGAGAAGGATAATGAGGGATGAATTTCACTGAGAAAATGGTGCTTGAATAGGGACCCAAAGCAGGTGAGGGGCCTGCAGGCATCTGATGAAAAAGGCAAAGAGAACAACACGAAGGCCCGGTGATGAGGGCATGTGAAGAACAGCAAGGAAGCCAGAGCTGAGCAGAATGAGAAAGAGGGAGGATAAGTGGGAAACTGAATATTGGGAAGGAAGATAGTGTAAGGTCTTTGGGCCATTGAAAGGACCTTGGTGCAAGGTTTTGAGTAAAATGATGGTTTTGGCCAGAGAAGAATATGAGTTTATATTTTTAAAAGATCACTCCAGCTGCTGTGTAGGAAGTAGACTGAAACGAACAGGAGTAGGAATGCAGAGGCCATTTAGGGGGCTGTCACGTTAATGCAGGTGAGACATGATGGTGTGGACGGTGGCAGCAAGAATAATCTGATTCTGGTTCTGATTTGTAGGTATTTGCTGATGGATTGGATGTAGAGTACGAGGAAGAAATCAAGGATGACTAGAATATTTCCTCTTCATTTCAAAGGAGAGAAGTACCTCTAGGGGCAAATCTGGACTTTTCTTTTGAACATGTTTTTTGAGTTGCTTTTTAGACATAAGAGTGGAGATGGCAGGTTGCCATGGAGTCATCAGTGTGTAGATTGTGTTGAAGGCCTGAGGCTGGATATGTTCACCAAGGGAGTGAAAGAAGATAGAGAACTTTATGTGCTGACTCTTGAGGCTTCCTGACCTGAAGAGTTCAGGGATAGGAGGAGGAAGCACAAGGAAAATTTTTACCCACCGGAAGTCTCTGGAAACCCTGAAAATCAGCCAGTCAGAGGAAGTGAGGGTAACTTAGCAAGTTTGCTTCAGGTGTGGCCCCTGGACTCACTTTGTCAGCATCCCCTGGAAACGTTTAAAACACAGACTCCTGGGCTCTACTGCAGAGATACAGAATTAGAATCTTTGGAGCTGGACTCTAGCAGTCTGTTTTCATCATTGCTCATGGTGATTTTTAAACATACTGAAGTTTGCAAAGCGCAGTCCTAGAGGATCCTGAAGTTTGAGTTTAAGTGGCATTGCGGTGGAGGCCTTGTTTCAGATCTGGCCTCTACTCTTCCCTTTGTCCTTTGTGTAGGAGGGTAGCGTGTTGCCTGGTTGTCCACACCTGGGTCAAAGGGCAATCCCCAGTTCAGGGCAGTGCATGAAGGGAGGGAGAGAGAAAGATGCTTGTCACTGTGGGCCATGCAGAGGGCTGGTACAGATGGTTAGAGGAAAGAAGGAGATTTGAGTTCCTGAAGCAGTAAAATCCAGTGAGTGTCCTAGAGTAGACAGCCCAAGTATGTGTATCTGTTTGTCTGAACTTGACCTTGAGACTTGAATTTCAAGAGGAAAGAGGCCAGGCAAGGTGGGGAAGGGTGGAAACTCATGTCCACTGTCTTTGCACTACCTCCCGAGTAGCTCTGAGCAGATTGTAAGAGTTTTGTTCAATCTGTGTGCATCACCTCCTGCTGATAGAATTGCTTAGGACCCTTAAGTGCTTCCCGTGTGCCAGAGCCATGAAAGGTAAATAAAGAAAAAGAAGACTCAATTATTTTGATGACTTAGAGATCTGACCATGGAGGCCGTGTGAAAGGTGGTAACCAGCAATTTATACCATGTGTTGCTGGATCCCAGAGTAATTAATTCAGTCTGGGGGGTGGGGCGGGGCAGAAGAGGCTTAATTTTGAAAAGGAATTCTTGCCCTGGGCTCCATGAGCATAACTCAGGAGTTCCATGAATTTGAATGGGAAAAAAATTATACTAGTCTAAGTCACAAGTAGCATTTCATTGTGAACATAGGTGCTAAGCCACAATATTATTAGCAGTACTTGTGACTTTGTCATCCATATACATCATAGATATTTTTATGTCATATTCTGGTTTGTGCAAATATTTCAGAGTATTGTTTATGCTCATTACTCTTTTGAAATTGTAGTTAAATTTATTGTTTATATTGAATGTATTAATAAAGTGGCACTATACTTGCACAGTGAGCCATGCAGAGTTTTAATAGTTTTGAAGGTTGTATTTCCATATAATTCTTTGCATTTCATTTTATGCATTTAAAACTTTATTCTCAGTAGGGATCTTTAGGTATCATCAGATTAGTGAAGGGGGGCCATGGCACAAAAAAAGTTAAAAACGCTGACTAAAGATGGCTCTAATCTATATCCTGATTTCTATAATCCCTAAGTATGGGGATTTATTGTATTTTATTTTTTGCAAGTCAAACAGTATTGCGTTAATAAAGCTTTTCCTCTCCAGGTGTTTCTTCACAGGTCACAGGTCCCATATATTTGTGGGGTCTCTCTGCCCTTCTGAGGGGCCCTGTGCCTTACTGAGAATTTAGCTGCAGGACCCTCCTCACAGACTCTTCTGTGACTGTCCTTACCCATCTGCAACACTCTTGGCTTTGTGGACTATGAGCCCCTTCAGAGTAGGGGACTAAACCTAACAAGTACTCAGTAAATGTCCTGTAAACTACTGAATGAATAGTATCCAGGGGATGTGAACCACAGCCTTGGGGCCCAGAAGAAAGGACTAAGTAAAGTTCCCTCCCGAACCTACAGGTCCCCTGACCATGGGAAGCAGTCGCGCTCTGGACAGTAAAGGTGGAGACAGGAACTTGTCAGAGCTTGGAGAGTTTCCGGAATGAAAAAGGCCTGGATCTTCTGCGTCTCCAGCTTAGGAAAACCAGAGAATAAATACAGTTGCTGCTGCTCGCAGAGAACCTAGCAGAAGAGACCATGGAGACTTTGACCTCAAGGCATGAGAAAAGAGGTGACAGCTAATAGAGGGGGTGGGTGGGGGGAGAATCCAAACTGAGTGTGGAGGAGAAAAAGTTGGATGTTGAGGAATTTCCTCAAGTGAGAAGAAACCAGTCTGTAAAGCTGGGCACCTTCCTACCAGGTAGATGATCTAGAGCTTCAGGCAGCACCAACTCCTCCTCATGGCCTCTTTCTCCTCCTACAGCTCTTCATTCTCAAGCCTCAGCCATTTCCCAAGATAGGGAGGAGAAGATCATGTCTCAGGTGGGTTGTTTTCTTTTCTCTCCCGAAATACCACCTTAGGCATCAGAGAGAAAACATACGTCCCTTCTCGGTAAAAGGAAAAAGAGCGAAAAATGTATTGGGTGAATACATTTCTCGTTGCATTTATCCACAAAATAGTGATGTGAGACAGATAGTATGATTCTGTTTTAGAGATGAAGAAATGAATGGGGGATCCAGGATTTGAACTCAGGTAGGTCAATTGGATTCGATAATCTACCTTTCCGCTATGCCTTCCTGCCACCGCAATAGCTTCACGCAGAGGCCCAAGCCTAGATTAGCAGAGAGATGACTCTCCAAATACTGAATCATCGCTGCCTGGGTTGTTCTCCTCTGTGGAACGTTATTCATTTATAGATGTAATGTTCTCCATGTAGTAGACCCTACCAAAAGTATACCATGCACAAAGTTAAAAAAAGAAAAACATATTAGAAAAGTTTCATCTATGACAAAATTTTAATATCCTTATTTTCAGAAGAGGGTTATGCATAAAGACCTGAGCATTCTTGTTCAGGAAGGGAGCAGAGAAAAACTAATGCCCACTAATCATATGAAAAGACTATAAGCCTCTATTAATCAAAATGATACACATTGAAATAAGATTTATGATTATTCTAGCAGACAGCCAAAGATTTGAAAGGTCAACATGCACTGTTAGCTGGGATATGGAGAAATGGGTACATCCACACAGCTGCAGGAGTATTTCTGCCTTTCTAGAAGTTCTCCTTATTCTGGTCGAGCATTTCCCACTCTAAGAATTTTTTCTAAGTCAGAATAAATGTGCAAAGAATGATAATTGCAGCATCATTCATAACAGCCAAATGTGTATATACACATATATGTACACATATCTACAAATATATATACATATATATGTACACACACATATAGTGATATGGATTCCATGTTCATCTATTGAATTAGTGAATTGTAGTTTCATTCGTTCTTTTGTCTAGATTCTAAGCTGCTATCAAGCGATATAAAGTAAATGAAAATATAGGGATATGGAAATAGGCTATCCTTTAGTATATACATATTTCTTAATTTTCTTTTAAACTGAAAAAAATCATAGCCATTGCAGAATTTTAAGTATGTTTTTTCAACACATGAAACATTATTTTCTAAACCTTTCTTTTTATGAAAAGAGATTGTGAAATAATTTTGAAGATTTGATTCACTTCTTTTACTGTGTACCTTAATTTTAAATATTATTGATTACTTCCTGCTGTGAAAGTTGAAGCAATTAGCACGTTTTTACTTCCTACCATCTTCTGATTGTTATTATATTGTTATTGTCATTGTTATCTTCTGATTCGTCACCATAAGTTCCCCCAGTTGAGACTCACTTCTGTGTATTTAAGTCATTGCTCACCGCCTCTCCTTTTACCACAACTTTCTTACTTGAATTTATTTGTTGGTTGCCTCAATTTCATCTACAAAGACTTTGGATGCAGTCTTTTTGTTCCCCCACGCCAAAGACTTGGCTATAGTATCCTCTGCATTTTTCCAAGTTTAAGAATGTTGTGGGCCAGGTGCAGTGGCTCGTAATCTTAGCACTTTGGGAAGCTGAGGCATGCGGATCACTTGAGCTCAGGAGTTCGAGACCAGCCTGGGCAACATGGTAAAATCTTGTCTCTACAAAAATACTAAAAAATTAGCTGGGTGTGGTGGTGCATTCCTATAGTCCCAGCTACTTGGGGGTTGAAGTGGGAGGATTGCTTGAGCCCAGGGAAATCAAGGCTGCAGTGAACCAAGATCATGCCACTCTACTCCAGCCTGGGTGAAAAAGCGAGACCCTGTCTCAAAAAAAAAAAAAAGAATGTTGGTTTTATGTTCAAATTGCAAGTTGCCAGGGCTTAAAATTCTTCATTCACACTTTCTGGACTCAGTACAGGTTGTGTCATTTTCTTCTTGTATTAAGTCTTGTGTAGGACTTTGTATTGTGGCTTCTCCATTCACCTTCTGGTGAGCTAAATTCATTCTTGTCATTTTTTTCTAGAAGCATCTGTTGTGTTTATGCTTGGGTGTGTGGCATTTTCATGGATCACACTTTATTTTCCTTGCTCTGTTCTCTCGGGCATTAATTCTGTTTGTGCCTGATGTCAATTATTACTATTATTTAATCCAGTTGGTCTTCCTGGAATGCCTACTGGATAAATGGTGTAACTTCTGGATCTGTCCTTCCTATTCTTTCACTTTATTTTCTCTTTCTCTTTCTCTCCTTCCTTCTTCCTTTTCTTTTTCTTTTCTTTCTTCTTTCTTTTTGCCATTTTCCACTGTGTTCCAGAATCCTGTCCTGTTTTACAGTTCTTTCTTCTTGGATGTTCATTCATCTGTTTAGGCTAAGCTCTAAGTTGTTTTTTTCTTCCAATCCTAGCTGCGATTTTTTTTACACTTAAAAAATTTCTGATTAATTCTTTTTCTAGCAAGCTCCCCCCTACACAAAAATTGAGTGGGTGTAGCTTTTTGAGTCCTGTGTGTTAAGATGGTCTGTGCAGTTTACAACTGTGAGACTCTGTGGGACTCCCATGGAGATGTTTTTGGGTTGTCTGCCATACTCACTCATAGTATTAAACCTCTGTAGCTCAGCCATGTTAATAATACTAGTTTATATATATTTCATTATAACTTTTAAAATAAAGATTTAGTAGAAGACAGACCATACCAAGGTCTATAATGAAATAAATTAGGTTCCCCCAACTGTCCTCGCTAATATGCCCAACATTAACAAAGAGGTGTGAATCCATCAATATCTTTGTCATGTGAAAATATATGTTACCTTCTTTTTAAAAAGGAAATGGGGCTGGGCATGGTGGCTCACACCTCTAATCCCAGCACTTTGGGAGGCCAAGGCGGGCAGATCACCTGAGGCCAGAAGTTCAAGACCACCCTGGCCAACATGGTGAAACCCTGTCTCTACCAAAAGTAAAAAAATTAGCCGGGCATGGTGGCGCACACCTGTAATCTCAGGTACTCGGGAGGCTAAGGCAGAAGAATCGCTTGAACCTGGGAGGCGGAGGTTGCAGTGAGCTGAGATCATGCCACTGCACTCCAGCCTGGGCGACAGAGTGAGACTCCATCTCAAAAAAAAGGAAATGGAAACATGTATGCTTTCCATGTAGTGTGTATTTTACTACCATAAGATATTCAGTTCTGATTACTACCAGTTTTAGCACTACAAACAGTACAAACACATGTGATTTTTGCATCCTGTTCTTTAATCTTTAAATTCTATGATGTAAATGTCTGAATATTGCTGGCCCAAAGGGGTATACTTAGTGTGGAAAAAGCTACTGAAACTCTAAGTGCTGTTTGTATTCTGACACTCAGCAACAATAATCACAGGCAGAAGACTTCTGTGACCAAATGTGTGTGGGTTTCTCCTCAAGTAAGCAATCAGTTTTGTGGCAGTTTTGCTGGGTGCCCTTCGGTTCAATTCTGACACTGTCTGCCCGGAGGTAGTGTCAGATCCCACAGGTTGAGGGTTCTGTCCCACAAGAGACTGCTCCTCCCTCCCACCAGTTGCAAGTTTAGGCTTCCAGAACTTGTGACCAACCAGCTGCAAGTTGGGGTTCCCACAACCCACTCTTTGGGTTTGATTAATTTGCTAGAGCAGCTCACAGAACTCAGGGAAACACTTATGTTTACTGGTTTATTATAAAGGATATCACAAAAGGATACAGATGAAGAGATGCATGGGGCAAAGGTATGGGGTAAGGGGCATGGAGCTTCCATGCCCTCTCTGGGCATGTCACCTTCCCAGAATTTCTCTGAACCTGGTCCTCTTAGGTTTTTATGAAAGTTTCATTAGGTAGGCACCAGTGATCAACTTCACCCTCAGCTCCTCTCCCCTCACTGGAGGTTGGGGGAGGGGGAAGTACTATAAGTCTAATCCTCTAATCCTTCCTTGTTCTTTCCAGTAAGCAGCCCCATCCTGAAGCTACCTGCCAGCTGCCAGCTACTAGTCAACCCATTAGCATAGAAAAAGACATCACGGTGGAGTTTCTAAGGGCTTTTGGAGTTATATGCCACAGAGACCAAATATCTATTTCACAGCGTCACACACTTCGTTGTAAACTGTTAATATATTATTGCCACAATATTTGAGAAGAAATCATAGCAATTTTTGCTGTTCTGCACACATTCAATCCCAAGAATGATTAGTACTAAATATTTTTGCTCATCTGATGGAGGATATGTGGCAAAGATGCCCCATTTTATTTTGCAGTTTCCTGCATTGTAAACATGATAAGCACTTTTTCATATGTATATTGGCTATATTTGTATTTTCTCATCAGTAAATTGCTTAGGAAATACTTTTGCCTATTTTCTCATTAATTCATTTTTACCATGTTTTTAGAAGCCCTTCTAAACACTTATCAAAAGTGTTATAATTATTTTCTCTCAATCTTTACTTTTTTAAAAATTTTAGGTTCAGGGTACATAGGCAGGTTTGTTATATAGGTGAATTGCATGGCATGGGGGTTTGTTGTACAGATTATTTTGTCACTCAGGCAATAAGCCTAATGCCTATTATTTATTTTTCCTGATCCTCTCCCTCCTCCCACTATCCACTCTCAAGTAGGCCTCTGTGTCTGTTGTTCCCTCTGTGTGTCTAAGCGTTCTCATCATTTACCTCCTACTTATAAGTGAGAACGTGCAGTATTTGATTTTCTGTTCCTGCATTACTTTGCTTAGGATAATGGCCTCCAGCTCCTTCCATGTTGCTGCAGAGGATATGATCTCATTCTATTTTATGGCTGTATAGTATTCCATGGTGTATATGTTCCACATTTTATTTATCTAGTCTACTGTTGATGGGCATTTAGTTTGATTTCATGTCTTTTCTATTGTCAGTAGTGCTGCAGTGAACATGTGTGTGCATGTGTCTTTATGGTAGAATAATTTATATTCCTTTGGGTATATACCCAATAATGGGATTGCTGGGTTGAATGGTAGTTCTGTTTTAAGTTCTTTTAGGAATCACCACACTGCTTTGTATGATGTCTAAACTAATTTATATTTCCACCAGCAGTGTATAAATGTTCTTTTTTCTCCACAACCTTGCCAGCGTTTGTTGCTTTTTGACTTCTTAATAATAGCCATTCTGACTGGGGTGAGGTGGTATCTCGTGGTTTTGATTTTCATTTCTGTAGTCATGTTGACCATTTTTAAATATGTTTGTTGGCTGCATGTATGTCTTCTTAATTTTTACTTTCTTAATGGTAACTGTAAAGAAGTTTAAGGTTCTTATATAGTTAAATGATTTATTAGTTCCCTTTTGAAAATTTAGTTTCATGTAGTTTCAAAAGACCTTATCCATTCTCAGATTAATCAAAAAGTCATCTAAATGGCTCTTTAATATTTATATTAAAAATGTTTTTCTCATCAGCAAGGTCTGAAAAAATGTTTTATCCCTAGTATAACTGTAATTTATTTTTGTAAATGACATAAGGTTGACATTTAAGTTCATTTCTTCAAGATGGATAGCCAGTTATGAAAATGTTATTTTTACATCAATCATTCTTTTTCGAGTCAACCAAAATACCACCCTCATTTGTGTGTGTGTAAATATATATATATTTATGTTTGTACATGTAAATATATAAAATATATATATATACACACACATATATGTATGTATACATATCAAATACAAAGACAGAAGGAAATACAGCAATTGATTGATATTTCACATGGACCTGACTGCTCCTGCATTCTGTGCTCTGGTTCACCGAGTTACTTGTACATCTGCATTGAATACCAACTTTTTTTTAAGACACAGTCTCGCTGTGTCACCCAGGCTGGAGTGCAGTGGTGCAGCCACAGCTCACTGCAGCATTGACCCCCCAGGCTCAAGTGATTCTTCCACCTCAAGTAGCTGGGACTACAGGTGCGCCATCACACCTAGCTTATTTTATTTTTTGTAGAGATGTAGGTCTCCCTATGTTGCCAAGGCTGGTCTCAAACTCCTGGAATCAAGTGATCCTCCCATCTTGGCCTCACAAAGTGCTGGGATGACCGGCAGGAGCCACTGTGCCTGGCTTAAACACCTACTTTTGAAATTTAGAAATTTGATTAAAAAAATGGTGTTGGAATTAAAGTTTGGCTAGAACTTAGTAATGGTGCCCTTTTTTTATGGTGGTTTTTGGGTTGGTGTTGGTTTTTGTAGTTGTTGTTGTTTGAGACACGGTTCTCTCTGTCACCCAGGCTGGAGTGCAGTGGTACGTTCTCAGCTCACTGCAGCCTTGAACCCCCAGGCTTCCACCTCAGCCTCCCGAACAGCTGGGACTACAGGTGCACACTACCACATGCCACTACTTTTTCTATTTTTTGTAGATATGGGGTCTTGCCATGTTGCCCAGGCTGATGTAAAACTCCTAGGCTGAAGTAATCCTCCCATGTCCGAGTCCGGGCCAACATGTCTCCCTGTAAATATTGCAGTGGCCTCCAATGTGGTCTCCTTGTATCTATACTTGATCCATTGCTATGTTTTTCCATGCTGTGTCGGGTTCATAATTTTAAGACAGCTCACCTAATCTTATCACTACCCACTGTAAACTACCCTTCAGTGTTTATTTGTTTCCTGCTTTTGGGAAAGACCAAAATCATCAATGTAGCCTAAGAGGCCCTGAGTGATCTGGCCACCGCCTACTTCACAGCGGCATTGCCTGAGGCTAAGATACATGTGCCGTGCTTCTTACCACTTAAGGGTTTTCACCAACTGTTCCCACTGTGTGGAATTTTCTCTCCTCTGTTTTCCCTCAGTTAATTTCTACTTATGCCTCAGAATTTAGATCCAGTTTTACTTTCTCAAACAAAGCATTTGCCTCTGTAAACATTGCTTCTGATAAGAATGGCATACAGTACCTGGACTGTCTGCAAACAATATGGTTTCTACTGAAAACCTGCTTTTCTGGAAGTCTGAAACTTTGGTATGTGCTAGTCAGGAGGTACCTATGTGTCCAGGCCCCAATGAAAACCCTGGGCACCGAGTCTCCGCTGATCTTCTCTGATAGACAGCATTTCACAGGCCTTGTTGCAATTTATTTTTGGAGGAATTAAGCATATCTGTGTGACTTCAGTAGGAAAGGACTCTTGGAAGCTTGCACCTGGTTTCTTTCCAAGTTCACCCCATGCGTCTTTTCCCCTTGATGATTGTGTTTTATTTTCTTTCACCGTAGTAAGTCTTAGCCATGAGTGTCACTGTATATCAGCTCCTGTGAGTCCTCATGGCCAATCATACGACCTGGATCTGGTTTTAGGAACTGCCAATACTAGCTCCATGAAACTCTAGCTTTTTGGCTCATCTCTCTAATTCCTGGTGCCTAACATTATTTTATAGGTACTGAATATTTCTTGAAAAAGTAATATGGTATGCATTCTGTATTAGTCTGTTCTCATGCTACTAATAAAGACATACTCGAGACTGGGTAATTTATAAAGGAAAGAGGCTTGAGTCACAGTTCCGCATGGTTGGGGAGGCCTCACACTCATGGTGGAAGAGCAAGGGATGTCTTACATGGTGGCAGGCAAGAGAGGCTGTGGAGGGGAATTCCTGTTTATAAAGCCATCAGATCTTGTGAGACTTATTCACCATCATGAGAACAGCATGGGAAAGACCCACCCCCCATGATTCAATTTCCTCCCATCAGGTCCCTCCCATAACACGTGGGAATTATGGGAGCTACAATTTAAGATGAGATTTGGGTGGGGACAGAGACAAACCATGTAATATGCACTAAAACTTTCTATAGCTACCATTCCTTCGTATCAAAAATATATGCATGACTTAAATAAAAAAGTCAAGTGAAAGCATTCATCTCATTCTTAACTTGCAATACCTTGTCGCAGGTACTCCAGGGACATGCTGAAGGCAAAGTATAATTCTGAGAGCCCTCATATGCAGTTCTCAAGAAAGCTTGCCACTGTCCAAGTGAAGACAGCAATGATATTACAGTAATATTTTGATGATCACTGTATTGCAGAATACATGACTGCCATTTATTCTCACTGAACTGGAACAATTAGCTTTAAAAACACAGGCCACCATTCGTAGCTGAAGGGGACACAGCATAGTTTGAAATTCCTTGGTTCAAAATGCTACTTTTGAGGTCTCACCTGGTTGAGGAGATGGTTGCATGACATAAATTAGCTGATTTCTGTCAGTTGTTGACATGGAAGTCCCTTAAAAAGAGTGTGGAAGGGAAGAGGGGCTGTGGTAGCAAAGAGCAGGATTTGCCTACCTGGTGATGGAAGGGTAGTGAATGATTGGGAAAGAACCATCATTCTGGCAGAGAGAATGTTTTCGGGGTACATGCAGGCATGGGCACAGTAAACTAGGCACTGTTGGAACTGTAAATTGTAACAGACTTCTTGGAGAAAAATTTGGCAATCTACAAGTCAGAGTCAGATTATAAAATGTGCAGACAGGTGATTCACCTGATCCAGTTCAGAGAAATTTCCTGAAGAAGTGCTCACAGTGGGCTAGGTGTGTTAGGCCATTCTGGCATTGCTACAAAGAAATACCCAGGCAGATCACGAGTTCAGGAGATCGAGACCATCCTGGCTAACATGGTGAAACCCTGTCTGTATTAAAAATACAAAAAAATTAGCTGGGCATGGTGGCACATGCCTGTAGTCCCAGCTACTCAGGAGGCTGAGACAGGAGAATCACTTGAACCCGGGAAGCAAAGGTTGCAGTGAGTCAAGATTGCACCACTGCACTCCAGCCTGGGCAACAGAGCAAGACTCTGTCTCAAAAACAAGCAAACAAACAAAAAGACCAAAACAAAAACCCGAGACTGGGTGATTTATAAAGAAAAGAGGTTTAATTGGCTCACAGTTCTGCAGGCTAAACAGGAAGCATTGCGCTGGCATTTGCTGGGCTTCTAAGGAGGCCTCAGAAAGCTTACAGTCATAATGGAAGGTGAAAGGAGAGCAGGAACTTTATATGCCTAAAGCAAGAAGTGTGGCGGGAGAGTTGGGGGGCGGGGGTAGAGGTACCATACAATTTTAAATGACCAGATCTCACAAGAACTCACTATCATGAAGATAGCGCCAAGTCATGAGGGATCTGACCGCATGATCCAAACACCTCCCACCCCCACTTCCTAGTACTGGGGATTACAGTTCAGCATGAGATTTGGTCAGGGACAAATACCCAAACTATATCAGTGGGCAAATATCCAAATATCAGTGGCTCACCCCTGTTAATCCCAACACTTTGTGAGGCTAAGATGGTAGAATCACTTGAAGCCATGAATTTGAGACCAGCCGGAGCAACATAGCAAGGTCCCATCTCTACAAAAAAATAAAAATTAGCTGGATGTGGTGGTGCGTGCCTGTAGTCCTAGCTACTTGGGAGGTTGAGTGAGGCATGGGGATTGCTTGAACCCTGGAGATTGAGGCTGCAGTGAGCTGTGATTGCACCAGTGCATGCCATCCTGAGCTACAAAGTAAGAGACCCTGTGTCCAAAAAAAAGTGCCCCAAGTGAGCACAGGATATGATGTGTTTCTTGCTTGATGCTGCATATCTGGGGTAGTTCAGTTGGTTAGAATTGAAATTACTGGCACCAAACATTAATAAACTGGAGTTGACACACCGGGCTGAACAACTTCCTGCTATCTTGTCTTCTTTTTTTAGAGATATGCAGTTTATCTTTATTGTTTAGATTTTTATTTATTTATTTAATTTTATTATTATTATACTTTAAGTTTTAGGGTACATGTGCACAATGTGCAGGTTAGTTACATATGTATACATGTGCCGTGTTGGTGTGCTGCACCCATTACCTCGTCATTTAGCATTAGGTATATCTCCTAATGCTATCCCTCCCCACTCCCCCCACCCCACAACAGTCCCCGGTGTGTGATGTTCCCCTTCCTGTGTCCATGTGTTCTCATTGTTCAATTCCCACCTATGAGTGAGAACATGCGGAGTTTGGTTTTTTTGTCCTTGCGATAGTTTGCTGAGAATGATGGTTTCCAGCTTCATCCATGTCCCTACAAAGGACATGAACTCATCATTTTTTATGGCTGCATAGTATTCCATGGTGTATATGTGCCACATTTTCTTAATCCAGATTTTTAAATTTTTTTATTTCTATAAACCTGCTCTGTGGACACCAGTTTGTCTTCATCTAGTAGATGTTTGTGTTAATGGTTTTTCATTTTAGGAGCCATTGAGCTTCAAGGACGTGGCTGTGGTCTTCACTGAGGAGGAGCTAGAGCTGCTGGACTCTACCCAGAGGCAGCTGTACCAAGATGTGATGCAGGAGAATTTCAGGAACCTACTCTCAGTGGGTGAGAGGAATCCTCTGGGTAATTGGAACTGAACTTCTTGGAGTGTTCTTGTTCCTGGAGAGAAGATATTTTTGGCTTTTTTACACAGGTTAAATCCTATTTTTATAGAACTCTTAGTTTCAGCTGCTGTAAAAAATTGCCAGACTGAGTGGCATATAAACAACAGAAGTTTATTTCTGGAAGGCACAGTCTGAGATCAGGGTGCCAGCATAGTTGGGTTCTGGTGAGGACCCTCTGTCAGGGTGCAGATAGCTGACTTCCTTTTGTGTCCTCACGTAGCAGAGAAGAGCTCTCTGGGCATCTGTTTTCTAAGGACACTAATTTCTTTCCTGGGGGTTCCACCTCCATGACTTAATTACCTCCGGAAGACCCACCACCTCCTAATGGTATCACGTTGGGATTTAGGATTTCAACATAGGAATTTTTGAAGACTGGGGTAACAGATGGAGAAACTCCAAGAAATGCATCTCCAGGTGAGAACCATGAGGCCTAGAGGTCTTGGAGACAAGAGCCTTGCTGGGCAGTGAGAAGTGAGCTTGCCCACAGGAGGTCCCATTCCTCACCCCTTGTCTTGCCTGTGGGTACTGTTGGCAGCATTGTAGATGATTATTCTGCAACTTCATTTCTTCCGTTCAGTTCCTACCTTCTCATGGTTTCTCTATGCCTTTCACAGAATATCATACCCAGAATGAGCGAGGGACCTCTGGACTTCCGTCCCTCTAATAGAAACAGCCAGGCAGTAGAAGGCAAGCCAGTGGCAGAGACTGTCCCAGAATATTGAGAGTCCTCAGATGAATTTCTCACTTTCTTCTAGTATTGTACTAGTCCCTGGTTATAAACAGGTTCTTGTTACCCAAGCCCTGAAAGATAAAAATAGGCAATAAAGAATATCAGAAAACATGGACAAATTTTTAAAATCATCCAGAACTGTGGTAAATATGACAGTTTGATCCTTTGCAGCCTGGGATCCAAAGGTTCTCAAGGCATAAGTAATAGTCATAAGTCAAATATTTGTGTGTCTTCCTGCCTTAACAGTATTTTCTGGATTCCTATTGCATCTGCTCACACAAGATGACACAGGTGGTGCACTTTGGAAAATTTGGCACCCTCCTGAAGTATGGCTCACAAATACCCAGAAGTACAGTCACCCCTGAGACACAGTGCAGGGAGAAGGCCGTGTGGGCTTCCTGCATTTAAATGCCAGCTCCACCACTGCCTCACAGTATGGTGGAATAGTGTGCTAGGTTACCTACCCTCTCTCTGACTTGGTTTCATCATTGGAAAATGAAGGTAATATAATGGTTTCTACTTCAGTATTATTCTGAGGTTTAAGTCAGTTAATATGTGTACATCATTGGCAGATAGGAAGTGTTACAATAGTGTCAGATATTATTAGTTATAACAGCATTATTAAGCGAAGAAGTGAACTTTCTCTATAAAAATCTGTTCCGAAATTCTTTTTTTGCCTGGCAATTCTATGATGAGACATAGTTTGGTACTAATAGGATCATACTAGCATTTAGCTTCAAAACTTATTAATAGGAGCCTCCTCTTGTCATAAACATAAGTGCTCTAATAGTTATGATACATAAAGCCTAATTTTTCTCTAGGCTATTATTAGTTCAAGTCTGAAAGTCTGATGTCCCTGAGCCAGTCTTTTACTAGTTCTCATCTCTGAATTGTCTTTAACCTCATAGGAGACAAGAATGGAAAGGATACGGAGTATATTCAAGATGAAGAATTAAGGTTCTTTTCACACAAAGAGCTCTCCTCATGCAAAATCTGGGAAGAGGTGGCAGGTGAATTACCTGGGAGCCAAGACTGTAGAGTAAATCTGCAAGGAAAAGACTTCCAGTTCTCAGAAGATGCTGCTCCCCATCAAGGGTGGGAAGGAGCATCTACGCCGTGTTTTCCAATTGAGAATTTCCTGGACAGTCTACAAGGGGATGGGCTTATCGGTCTAGAAAATCAACAGTTTCCAGCCTGGAGAGCTATAAGACCAATCCCCATTCAAGGATCTTGGGCAAAAGCGTTTGTGAACCAGTTAGGGGATGTTCAAGAAAGATGTAAAAATCTCGACACAGAAGACACAGTATATAAATGTAACTGGGATGATGACAGCTTTTGCTGGATATCTTGTCATGTTGATCACAGATTCCCTGAAATAGACAAGCCGTGTGGTTGCAATAAATGCAGAAAAGACTGCATTAAAAACTCTGTACTTCATCGCATTAACCCTGGAGAGAATGGCTTGAAAAGTAACGAATACAGAAATGGCTTCAGGGACGATGCAGACCTTCCCCCGCATCCAAGAGTACCTTTGAAAGAGAAACTCTGTCAATATGATGAGTTTAGTGAGGGCTTGAGGCACAGTGCCCATCTTAACAGACATCAAAGAGTTCCCACAGGAGAGAAATCTGTTAAGAGTCTTGAGCGTGGTCGGGGCGTCAGACAGAACACGCACATACGTAACCACCCCAGAGCCCCTGTGGGAGACATGCCCTATAGATGTGATGTCTGTGGAAAGGGGTTCAGGTATAAATCGGTTCTTCTTATTCATCAAGGGGTGCACACAGGAAGGAGACCCTATAAATGTGAGGAGTGTGGGAAGGCATTTGGTCGAAGTTCAAACCTGCTTGTCCATCAGAGGGTCCACACTGGAGAGAAACCATATAAATGCAGCGAGTGTGGGAAGGGCTTCAGTTACAGCTCAGTGCTTCAAGTCCATCAGAGGCTGCACACAGGGGAGAAGCCCTACACCTGCAGCGAGTGTGGCAAAGGCTTCTGTGCCAAGTCTGCACTGCACAAACACCAGCACATTCACCCTGGAGAAAAGCCCTACAGCTGTGGCGAGTGTGGAAAGGGATTCAGCTGCAGCTCCCACCTCAGCAGTCATCAGAAGACACACACCGGCGAGAGGCCCTACCAGTGTGACAAGTGTGGCAAAGGTTTCAGTCACAACTCGTACCTTCAAGCTCACCAGAGAGTTCACATGGGGCAGCATCTGTACAAATGTAACGTGTGTGGTAAGAGTTTCAGTTACAGCTCAGGGCTTCTCATGCATCAGAGACTGCACACAGGAGAGAAACCCTACAAATGCGAGTGCGGGAAGAGCTTTGGCCGGAGCTCCGACCTCCACATCCATCAGAGGGTCCACACAGGAGAGAAACCCTATAAATGCAGTGAGTGTGGGAAGGGCTTCCGGCGGAATTCAGACCTTCACAGCCACCAGAGGGTCCACACGGGAGAGAGGCCCTACGTGTGTGACGTGTGTGGGAAGGGTTTCATCTACAGCTCCGACCTCCTTATCCATCAGAGGGTCCACACTGGAGAGAAACCCTATAAATGTGCTGAGTGTGGCAAAGGCTTCAGTTACAGCTCAGGGCTTCTCATTCACCAGAGAGTCCACACAGGCGAGAAACCTTACAGATGCCAAGAGTGCGGAAAGGGCTTTAGGTGCACATCAAGCCTTCACAAACATCAGCGAGTCCACACGGGAAAAAAGCCCTATACGTGTGATCAGTGTGGCAAGGGATTCAGTTATGGCTCTAATCTTCGCACCCACCAGAGGTTGCACACAGGAGAGAAACCCTACACTTGTTGTGAATGTGGGAAGGGTTTCAGATATGGCTCAGGTCTCCTTAGTCATAAGAGAGTGCACACTGGCGAGAAGCCATACAGATGCCACGTGTGTGGGAAGGGCTATAGTCAGAGCTCACATCTTCAAGGTCATCAGAGGGTCCACACTGGTGAGAAACCCTATAAATGTGAGGAGTGTGGGAAGGGCTTTGGCCGCAACTCCTGTCTTCATGTTCATCAGAGAGTCCACACTGGAGAGAAGCCCTATACGTGTGGTGTGTGTGGGAAAGGCTTCAGTTATACCTCAGGTCTGCGGAACCACCAAAGAGTGCATTTAGGCGAGAACCCTTATAAGTAGATGTACATAGAGGATTCCATCTGGGACTCAGAGCTTTCTATCCATCTGAGAGCCAACACAGGAGAAAAACCATAGGAAAGTGACATGTAGGAGGGCTATAGGAGAAACTGATGATTTTACATTTTCTAGTCTGCATAGGAAGGGAACACCTGGATGTGTGATAAATAGGTTAGCACTTCAGTTACAAACTTCAGTCTTTAAGAGTCTGTTGTGCAGCGGAGTAGGCTTTAAAGAAACAGTGCAGCAGTGGTTTCAGTAATAATCCTCACTTCCATCAGAATCTGCCTGGGAGGGAGCTTTTACAATGTACAAGTGGTGAGAATGTTTCCAAGGTGCTAATTATGGACATAGATTCTTTGTGTGGGTTGATAGCTACCAATGGGACAGTGTAGAAACAAGTTTCCACCTTTCTAAAACCAGTTTGGTACATATCTTTTTAAAGATCGCTTTATAAAAACAAAAAGATAACATTAACATTTATTGAAACAAGTCACTCTGAGAAGACCAGGAACAAAGTTCTCTTGGCAGATCTGGGTGATGTGTGTGTCTCACATTTTTATCATGTTTTTATGACTGTTTTATCTTGCAGGTAAGCTTTACAGCTTTCAGAGGAGTTGTAGTACACTACAGAAATATGTCTTCTTTCCAGGTTCAAAAAGCAAAATCTGATTGGCATTGCATTGAATTATTAATTAAATAAATTTATTAATTGGCATTGCATTGAATTTATAGGTTAATTTTGAAAGAATGTGGCGTCTTTGAAATGCTGATTTTTTTTCACTTTAAAAAAATGACTTTTTTTTTACCACTGATAGTATTTCATATGGTCCCTCAGTAATATTTCTTAGAGATGGTTAAAAATAGGTTCTGAGTCATCTTAAGCATATTTCTAGGAATTTGTTTTATTGCTGTCATGAATATAATGGTTTTGCTCCAGTTCATTTCATAGTTTAACATATCAAATATTAGGTATCTTAAAAATCACAAATGCTATTTCACCCTGCAGGTTAGCAGTATTAAAATAGAATCATCAAATCCCCCATCAGTGGGGGCGGGGGGGGGGGTTGTAGAAACAGTCTGATATGGTTTGGCTCTTGTCCCCACCCAAATCTCATCTCAATTTTAATCCCCACGTGTCAGAGGAGGGCCTTGGTGGGAGATGATTGGATCACGAGGGCAGATTTCTCCCTTGCTGTTCTCATGATAGTGAGTTCTCATGAGAGCTGATGGTTTTAAGGTGTAGCCCTTCCTCGCTGTCTCTCTCCTGTCCCCTTGTGAAGAAGGTCCTTATTTCTCTTTTGCGTTCTGCCATGACTAAGTTTTCGGAGGCCTCCCCAGCCATGTGGAACTGTGTGTGAGTTAAACCTCTTTCCTTTGCAAATTACCTAGTCTCAGGTAGTTCTTTATAGCAGTGCAAAAATGGACGTAATAAGTCTTATGTACTTATTGGTGAGAGAGAAAATCCGTGCATTGTTTTCAAAAGAATTCATTAACGTATCAATTCAATTTCTATAACCTTTGAAGTGGCAGTAAATATGTAGTAATTGATACTTGGGAGATAGTTGCCCACTTGGGCAAAAACGCATGCAGAAGGTGGAGTTTTTAAATTTAAAACATTTTTAAAATAGCAAATGTTAATATTCCAGTTTCCATTGGTAGGAAATTTTTTAGATAAGTTCAGGCATATGTATGCAATGGAAAGCCACTAGAAATCTTCAGGCACACAGATAATGACAATGCAGGTTGCTCATGAAGTATTTAGTGAACCAGGAGAGTTTTAGAACAACAATTATAGCATGACCCCATTTTGTTAGTATGTTTTTCTGTGTGTATGTTTAGAGCAACAGAGAAAAAAAGATGTGGGAGAGGACATATAACTACTTATCTCTAGTGGTGGGATTCTGAATGTATAATACATATGTTGTACTTTTATGTATTTTACTTTGTAACAAAGTATCTTTCAGTTTTATAATAACAGTAGAGCTATTTTTTATAAATTAGCCTGATGGAACAATCCCTTATGATTAAAGATTCATGTTGTAACCTCTATAACTTTTTTGGCTTTTTCTCCTGTTCACCCAACTCCCTGTACCAAAGATAAGGCATACAAATGAGTGATGTAAATATTCTCAGAGGCTACATCATTTTTGCTGGCTGGTAGGAGATGAGGCAGTCTAGATAATTAGGAGCCACGGTGTTTCCATTTTTCAGTCCTGCCTTCTTGAACTAGTGAGCCCACAAGCCTGGTTTTGTAGAGGGCAGCACACCATCATGTGTTCCTCCAGGATAAGCTCTCTGTCTTGGTGACTCAGGAGACCTGGGTCTGCTCTGGTCTGAGCCTTCTGCTGCCTGGAGCTGCCAAAGAGAGAAGACATGTCAAGAGGTGGGGAACAGGCACTTTATATATAGATAACCAAAGTATTTACCGTGGGAAATAAGGTTTCAGAAGGGGGCAAGGGGTAGGGATGAAAAGTAATTTATGGAACTGCAGCAGAGTCACTTGGGATGTAGGGTTTTATGGCCAACAGAACAAATGCAGACACCCCTCAGACCTCAAAGTTTGTGGCTGAAAAGTTTAACTCATTCTGTATTCCCAGAGGTTGTCAGCAGACTCCTCAAATTCTGGGCAGTATCTCCCCCAGTGTTGTGGAGGCAGCTGTCAAATGTTGGCAGGGGCTGCAGTCATCTGAATGCTGGACTGGGGCCTACAAGGTCTGCTCCCAAGATCACTTCAGGCAGGAGCCTTCAGTTCCTTGCTGGCTGTTAATAGAGGTCTCAGTTTCTCACCTTGTGGGCCTCCCAGGGCTAAAGGCCTTCATCTTGTAGCAACTGACATCCCCCCGAGTAAGTAATCAGAAAGGAGAGAGCAAGCCAGAAGCCAGGGTGCCTTTTATGACCCAGTCTCTTAAGTCACCATCACTTCTGCTATATTCATGAGTACTAAGTCTAGGCTACACTTAAGGGGAGGGGTCACATCTTAAAACCACACCACCTATGTAATCATGGGAGACTAATGTGGATAGGATGGACATGCCAACAGTGAGTCTGCCTTGTGCACTTGTGTTGTCTCTTTTCTACTTTGGGGTCTGCAGTCCTTGAGGTCTCACGGGGTTGCCTAAAGTTTACTCAGGTGCCACCCAGCTGCTAGGATTTCAGTGGCAGTAAGGTATACAGACAGTTAAGGAGAGAAAGCTGCAACTGTTGTGCAATGGGTTACTGTAGGGGTAGGAATTCAGTGCCTTCTATGAGATAAAATGAGGTGTTACTCTCTGGTGTCATTTTTTTTAATGCTATATGGTAGAAAGGTTAATACAAGTTTAAGGGGATTTGCAGAGTTGTAAAAGCAGCCCGTCTGTGGGGACAACATTGGAAATAAAATCTGGTAGTACATAGAGACAGATATTAAGCAAGTTGTCTCTAACTGGAGTGGGTTGGTAGGGGAGATGGGTCTGGTCAGAATATAAGGTTCATGCTGATAGTAACATTGTGTCCTACCAAGAAGTTGATGTGGCCGTTTGGTAAGGTGGGTTCAGATACAAAGGATACCAATATCCCAGAAGCATTTGTGGATCTAAACAAGTTGCAACTATACTTCAGGACAGTCGTCAGCCTGAATGCACATATCTCAAGTATAATAAGGGCTTTGTGAAGTAACACTATGCCTTTAAGATGACTTGAGCAATCTCTTGCATCCAGATGTGTTGCTAAGAATACCGAAAACACCTAAGCCTGTTGCACTGAACCCCAGAGTCACAGTGTAACATGGGATTGTGCAATTTGGCCCTCAGGAGTGACTGTATATCACATTCAGCCTCTCGAATGGCTACTACTGACATTTGGCCAGTCAATAGATACTATGTCAGACCCTATTTTAACCACTAAGAGTGCAACCATTAAGAGTCATCTCTCTGCATAATCTGGGCATGGGCCCTTGCATGAAGCTATCATAGGCAGGCAGCAAGCAGAGCAGAAAGGCAGATCATGAAGTCGTACTGACCTGGGTTTAAGTCTGAGATCCACCATTCCTTTCTTCATCTCTAAAACAGAATCACACACTCTGCCTCACATAGAAATGTAATGTATTCACACAATACATTTTCACTCTTTTTCCTTTTACCAGCGGGGGAGGTATGTTTGCTTTCTGATGCCTGAGGTGGTATTTCACAAGAGAAAACAACCAACCTGAAACATGGTCTTGTCCTTCCTATCTCGGGAAAGGGCTGAGGCTTGAGAATGAAGAGTTGTAGGAGGAGAAAGAGGCCATGAGGAGGAGTTGGTGCTGTCTGGAGCTCTAGACCATCTACCTGATAGGAAGGTGCCCAGCCTTCCTATCAACACCTTAACATCACAATTAAAAGAACTAGAGAAGCAACAGCAAACAAATTCAAAAGCTAGCAGAAGGCAAGAAATAACTAAGATCAGAGCAGAACTGAAGGAGATAGAGACATGAAATATTCTTCAAAAAAATCAATGAATCCAGGACCTGGTTTTTTGAAAAGATTAACAAAATTACATGGACAACTAGCTACACTAATGAAGAAGAAAAGAGAGAAGAATCAAATAGACACAACGAAAAATTATAAACAGGATATCACCACTGATCCCACAGAAATACAAATTACCATCAGAGAATACTATAAATACCTCTACACAAATAAATAGAAAATCTAGAAGAAATGGAAAAATTCCTGGACACATAAATCCTCCCAAGACTAAATCAGGAAGAAGTCGAATCCCTGAGTAGACCAATAACAATTTCTGAAATTAAGGCAGTAATTAATAGTCTCCCACCAAAATAGCCCAGGACCAGATGGATTTACAGCCAAATTCTACCGAATTCTACAAAGAGGAGCTGGTACCATTCCTTCTGAAACTATTATAAACAATAGAAAAAGAGGGATTCCTCCATAACCCATGTTATGAGGCCAGCATCACCCTCAAACCAAAACCTGGCAGAGATACAACAAAAAAAGAAAATTTCAGGCCAATATCCCTGATGAACATCAATGCGGAAATCCTCCATAAAATACTGGCAAACCAAATTCAGCAGCACATCAAAAAGCTTATCAACCACAATCAAGTCAGCTTCATCCCTGGGATGCAAGGCTGGTTCAACATACGCAAATCAATAATCATAATCCATAACATAAACAGAACCAATGACAAAAACCACATGATTATCTCAATAAAGAAAGGCCTTAGATAAAATTGAATATCCCTTCATGCTAAAAAAAATCTCAATAAACTAGGTATTGATGGAACATATCTGAAAATAGTGAGATATTTATGACAAACCCATAGGCAATATCATATGAAATGGGCAAAATCTGGAAGCATTCCCTTTGAAAACCAGCACAAGACAAGGATGTTCTCTCTCACCACTCCTATTCAACATAGTATTGGAAGTTCTGGCTGGGGCAATCAGGCAAGAGAAAGAAATAAAGCATATTCAAATAGGAAGAGAGGAAGTCTAATTGTTTCTGTTTGCATATGACATAATTGTATATGTAGGAAACCCCATCATCTCAGCCCAAAAACTCCTTAAGCTGATAAGCAACTTCAGCAAAGTCTCAGGATACAAAATCAACATGCAAAATTCACAAGCATTCCTATCCACCAACAATAGACAAACAGCCAAATCATGAGTGAACTCCCATTCACAATTGCTAGAAAGAGAATAAAATACCTAGGAATACAACTTACAAGGGATGTGAAGGACTTCTTCAAGGAGAACTACAAACAACTGCCCAAGGAAATAAGAGAGGACACAAACAAATGGAAAAACACTCCATGCTCATGGATAGGAAGAATCAATATCAAGAGAATGGCCACCATACTGCCCACAGTAATTTATAGATTCAATGCTATTCCCATCAAGGTACCACTGACTTTCTTTGCAGAATTAGAAAAAACTACTTTAAATTTCATATAGAATCAAAAAAGAGCCTGTATAGCCAAGACAATCCTAAGCAAAAAGAACAAAGCTAGAGGAGGCATCAGGCTACCTGACTTCAAACTATACTACAAGGCTACAGTAACCAAAACAGCATGGTACTGGTACCAAAACAGATATATAGACCAATGGTACAGAGCAGAGACCTCAGAAATAACACCACACATCTACAACCATCTGATCTTGATAAACCTGACAAAAAAAGCAATGGGGAAAGGATTCCCTATTTAATGGTGCTGGGAAAACTGGCTAGACATGTGCAGAAAATAGAAACTGAACCCCTTCATTACACCTTATACAAAAATTAACTCAAGATTGATTAAAGACTTAAATGTAAAACCCAAAACCATAAAAACGCTAGAAATAAACCTAGGCCATACCATTCAGGACATAGGCATGGGCAAAGACTTCATGACTAAAACACCAATAGCAATTGCAACAAAAGCCAAAATTAACAAATGGGATCTAATCAAATTAAAGAGCTTCTGCACAGCAGAAGAAACTATCATCAGAGTGATCTGGCAACCTACAGAATGGGAGAAAATTTTTGCAAGCTACCCATCTGACAAGGGTCTAATATCCAAAATCGACAAGGAACTTAAACAAACTTACAGGCAAAAAACAACCCCATCAAAAAGTGGGCAAAGGATATGAACAAACACTTCTCAAAAGAAGACATTTATGCGGCCAACAAACATATGAAAGAAAGCCCATCATCATGGGTCATTAGAGAAATGTAAATCAAAACCACGATGAGATACATTCTGATGCCAGTTAGAATGGCGATCATTAAAAAGTCAGGAAACAACAGATGCTGGAGAGAATGTGGAAAAATAGTAATGCTTTTACACTGTTGGTGGGAGTGTCAATTAGTTGAACCATTGTGGAAGACAGTGTGGCAATTCCTCAAGGATCTAGAACCAGAAATACCATTTGACCCAGCAATCCCATTACTGGGTACATACCCAAAGGATTATAAATCATTCTACTATAAAGATGAATGCACGTGTATGTTTATTGCAGCACTATTCATAATAGCAAAGACTTGGAACCAACCCAGATGCCCATCAATCATAGACTGGATAAAGAAAATATGGCACATATACACCATGGAATACTATGCAGCCATAAAAAAGAATGAGTTCATGTCCTTTGCAGGGACATGGATGAAGCTGGAAACCATCAATCTCAGGAAACTAACACAGGAACAGAAAACCAAACACTGCATATTCTCACTCATAAGTGGGAGTTGAACAATGAGAACATATGGGCACTGGGAAGGGAACATCACACACCGGGGCCTGTTGGTGGGTGGAGGGCAAGGGGAGGGATAGCATTAGGAGAAATACCTAATGTAGATGATGGGTTGATGTGTGCAGCAAATCACCATGGCACATGTAGATGATGGGTTGATGCATACAGCAAATCACCATGGCCTATGTATACCTATGCACTGGGGGAACCCACCCATGATGATTCAACAAGAGTCCTTTTCTATTTTCCCTAAGTGTTGGCCGGTCTGAGAAATAAAGGGAAAGAGTACAAAGAGAGAAATTTTTAAAGCTGGGTGTCTGGGGGAGACATCACATGTTGGCAGGTTCCGTGATGCACCTCCAAGCCGCAAAACCAGCAAGTTTTTATTAGTGATTTTCAAAAGTGGAGGTAGTGTACGAATAGGGTGTGGGTCGCAGAGATCACATACTTCACAAGGTAATAAAATATCACAACACAAATGGAGGCAGGGTGAGATCACAGGACTGGGGCAAAATTAAAATTGCTAATGAAGTTTTGGGCATGCATTGTCATTGATAACATTTATCAGGAGACATGGTTTGAGAGCAGACAACCGGTCTGACCAAAATTTATTAGGCGGGAATTTCCTCATCCTAATTGGCCTGGGAGTGCAACGGGAGACCAGGGCTTATTTCATCCCTTATCTGCAACCATAAAAGACAGACGTCCCCAGAGCTGCAATTTCAGAGGCCTACCCCTAGGAACGCATTCCCTTTCTCAGGGCTGTTCCTTGCTGAGAAAAAGAATTCAGCAATATTTCTCCTATTTGCTTTTGAAAGAAGAGAAATATGGCTGTGTTCTGCCTGGCTCTCAGGCAGCCAGATCTAATGGTTATCTCCCTTATTCCCTGAACATCACTGTTATCCTGTTCTTTTTTCAAGGTGCCCAGATTTCATATTTTTTAAACAATTTGTGCAGATAATGCAATCATCACAGGGTCCAGAGGCGACATTCATCCTCAGTTTACGAAGATGACAGGATTAAGAGATTAAAGACAGGCATAGGAAAAAACAGGAGTATTGATTGGGGAAATGATAAACGTCCATGAAATATTCACAATTTATGTTCTTCTGCCATGGCTTCAGCCTGTCCCAACGTTCGGAGTCCCTGACTTCCCGCAACATCTCTCCCATTTTTTTTTTTTTTTATATAAATGTGCCAAGGTGATGAAGGCTTGTTCGTTCTCTCAATTTTGACTCAGGATTCTTTGACTGGTTCCACACACTAAAGACAAGCTGATTAAACAGAGAAACATATTTCCAAAATTCACTGCAGAGGAGCCCCCAATAGACTTAATCCAAGTCATGGGGTTTAATCCATAAAGATTTTCTGCCACCTGATCTAACACCTCAGCTCCAGGCACAATGGATAAGTGAGCTTGAGAAGCTTCAAAAATTTGTTTCTTTAATTTATCTTAAATTAAATGATAAATTATCTTCCCTACCCAGAAGGTGTCCTTTGACCATTTACCATGAATGATCAGTCTCTTTATAGGAACATGGGGTGATACAGAAATCTGAAGTGTTCCAATCACACTGCATTTGCATTCGATGTTTGAGACTCACTACCCAATCTCCAAGCCAAGTAACAGACTGTCTTAAATAATTAATTTGATTAGCCAATTTTTGATCAATGCCTTGTTGAGAATTCCACATTTGGGTGGAATTGGCTTGCCAATCATTAACAAAATGAGCCTTTTGAATAGACTGATGTAACACCATTCTGGCAGTGGTGGCCATTGCAGTGACACTGCAGCCACTGCTCTGCTCTGGGAAGATCTGGGCACAGGCCCGCCAGGGTGGGTTTAAATAGCCTCAGGTGCAGCCTGGCAGCAGAAAGGGCGGAGCTTCACTCCTCCTTTCATGTGTCTCCCCCAACTTTTCCAGGCTCCATCTCCTAGGAAACTGCTCTCCTGATTTGATGTCATGTGACGCATTTGGGACAATCTAAGAAATTAGAAATTTTGTTGGCCAAATATATTATTAATTAAATGCATTGAAAACTATCTAGTGCTGTGGTTCTCACGTTGTGGTTTTGAGACCAGCAGCATCCTTGCAACCCTCAAGCCCCGGAGATCCACAAATCTAGGTTCTCTCAAGCCTTCCCCCTGACCCTGATGTATGGCAGTTTAAGAATTACCCATGTAAGCAAAAAGACTTTTAAGAAAAAGTGGAGATATGCATTGTATAAACATTCTTCTGCTCTGGAACCATGTAGAGACTTTGGGGCCAGGTGGGTGGAGCATTCATAGGATGAGGGTGGTGAGGTTAGGAATATCAAGGTGTGGCTCCAGATAATTAGACCATCTAATTAAGTTTTCAGTTATGCTAATCTGTTTTAAAATTCCGTTTATGTAAATTCTATTACTCAGACCAAGAATGGCAATGCCTCAACCCCAATTTCCAGGGAGGGTTGAGAGCCTGAGGTTGAGTTGATCACCAATAGCCGATGGTTTAACCCATCATGCCTATGTAATGAAGCCTCCATAAAAACAAAAAAGGACTGGGTTTATAGGGCTTCTGGATAAAACTTCCTGGAAGGTAGTGCACCCCTCCCCCCATGCCAGGCCCCATGAATCTTTTTTTCTGAATTTTTTGCAACATCCTCTATAATAAAATGGTAAATGTAAGTGTTTCCCTGTGTGGTGTGAGCTGTTCTAGCAAATTAATTCAACTGAAACAGGGAGTGGTGGAAACCTGATTTATACCCAGTTGGTCAGAAGCACAGGTAAAACAACATAGGACTTGCCATTGTTATTACAGTGGGAGGCGAGTCTTGCAGAACTGAGCCCTGTGGAATCTAATGCTATGGCCAGGTAGATAGTGTCATCATTGAATTAGAAGACACCCAGCTGGCGTCCACAGCAGAATGGATGGTGTGCTTGACTGACCGAGAGAAATCCCCAGACATGTTGTCACAGGAATCTTCTGTGTTGATTGTTGTGATGTGAGAGCAGAGGAAAAACAGTTTTTGTTTTTTTCGCTGAGCCTAAAATGTAAAAGGGTCTATTTTCTCACACTATTTAGGATCACATGATTTATAATAAAAATGTTTAATCTTTGTCAACTTGATATATAAAAAGGATGTTGGTTTTCATTTTATTGCTAACAGTCAAGGTGGTCATAGTTGATGTGTTTTTGTCATTTTTCTTTTCACTGCCTTGTCATGTCTTTCACCCATTTTTTAGTTATTTAATTTTTAATTAAAAAAAAATTTTAGGCCGGGCGCAATGGCTCACACCTGTAATCCCAGCACTTTGGGAGGCTGAGGCGGGTGAATCACGAGATCAAGAGATCGAGACCATCCTGGCCAACATTGTGAAGCCCCGTCTCTACTGATAGTAGAAAAATTAGCCGGGTGTGGTGGTGGGCGCCTGTAGTCCCAGCTACTCAGGAGGCTGAGGCGGAAGCCACTGCACTCCAGCCTGGGTGAAAGAGCAAGACTCCATGTGAAAAGAAAAACAAACAAAAAAACCTGGCTCTTATTAATCCTTTTATTTTTTTCCATCAGGTGAACAATTATGGCATTACGTTATGTGAATTTTTCCAGGTAGGAGATATTGGCCATCCTCTTTTTTTTTTTCTTTTTTTTTTTTTTTGAGAAAGGATCTCAGCCTGTCACCCAGGCTTTAGTGCTATGGTCGGATCAGAGCCTCAAGAGATCCTCAGCCTCTTGAGTAGCTGCAACTACAGGTGTGCACCACTGCACCTGATAATTTTCTTTTATTTTTTTTGTGGAGTCGAGGTCTCACTATGTTGCCCAGGCTTGTCTCAAAATCCTGGGCTCAAGTGATTCTCCTGCCTTGGCCTACCAAAGTGATGGGATCACGGGTGTGAGCCACATCTCCCTGACTCTTCATCCTCTTATAAGCTTATTCCTTTGTATTTCCCTTGCTATTTACTCCTTGTTTCTTTCTGTTTAGGTATTCATCTTATCTATGAACTCTTTTTGTGTATTTTTTCTAGGTTTTGATCTTTTTTCCTGTTATATATATTAACAAGAAAATTACTTTCAAACTGTTGATTGACATTTATTTTCATGGTGATATGTTTTAGAAAGTAATATTTCTTAATATGATGATTTATATTGCTAAATGTAGTAATGATTAATTTCCATGCATTACTGTTGTACTGTAAAAATTTCAATATATTGCTGGATTTTGTTTGCTGCTTTTCATACAATTTTGCAGTCCTATTCGTTGAAACATTTTCCTTTAGTTTTCTGGCTTTATTTGTTGTTGTTGTAGTTGTTGTTGTTCTATTATGGTATAATTTGGTTATCAAAATTATACTAGGATTTGTGGTAGTAATATAATAAGAAGCTCCTAGCGCGTTCTGCTCTCTGGAAAAGTTTATTGTAATAATCACCTCATTGAAGGTTGGTGTTATTTCCCTCTTAGAGCATTCAGAATAGATTTCCTATTTGGGGATTAACCTAAGGTTTCTTCTGAGGTTGTAGTTTTATTTAGCATTTATACTGCTTGTTAAATATATTTGCGTTCTCTATATATTCCCAGAAAATTATATTTTTCATTTCATTCACCTCTGTTTTTTCTGTATTATCTGCTTTCCACTTTCTCTGGTTTTGTTTTGCTGCTGTATATATGAGACATAGATAGTTCAGTGTTAAGAGCATGGGGCTGGGGGTGATGAGATGGGAGACATAGGGGAGGATGCCAGTGAGGTCTGTAAGTGTCTCTCGGCTTCGTGGGTGCGGCAGGCTGACTGGGTCAGAAATCTGGTTTGTCTGGGGAGGAGCTGGGAGACACAGAAGAGTCCCCGAGAGCTGGGGGTGAGCTGCTGGGTGACGGCAGTAAGAACATGTGGTATATTATTGATGAACGTGGTGATTCTAAAGAATGCCCAGAGGAGGACACGGGAGAGCCCAATGGCTTCATTGATTGCCCATCATGGTGAGGAAAGGGAAATGGGAGCTTGTGGGATTCTGGTGATGACAGAGGTGAGTGTGGTGAAGCCCTAGGGGATGGTGAATGGTAGCCCCGGATCCCTGGTGAGAAGCTTCCTCTTAAGTCTGAGTTTCTGAGAGGGGAGAGGGAGAAGCTGGGTGAGGCTAGCATGGATCTTGGGGAGTCTGGGCTGGGGGACGGTTCATAAGAAGAGCCAGACAAGACCCTACTGTTCTTAAGTGCACACATGATTAGGAAACCTGTAGCTCCCAGGGACGCCTACCAATTTTCTAACTTGCAGAAAGAAGGAGTGGGTGTGTGTTTGTGTGTGTGTGTGTGTGTGTGTTTGTGTGTGGTGTGAGGTATGGGTTCCTTAAGAAAATGGAAATAAACCAACCAATGAGACAGACAGACAGAGATTCACTTACCCAAGTGTTCTGTCCTGTCCTCTGAATCCGCTTCCAAGTCGCAAGACGCTGTAAGCTCCAAGTCCACGCAGAGCCCGCAAAACGCTCCGGCCGCTGCTCCGCTCTGTGAAGATCTGAGTACAGGCCCGCCAGGGTGAGTTTAAATAGCCTCGGGCGGGCGCAGCCTGGCAGCGGAAAGGGCGGAGCTTCACTCCTCCTTTCCATCAGTCACCCCCAACTTTCCCAGGTTACACCGAGTAGGAAACTGTTCTCCTGATTTGATTTCATGCGCCACATTTGGGACAATCTAAGAACTTACGAGTTTTTTTGGCCAAATATATTATGAATTAAATGCACTGAAACACTGAAAACCATCTAGTGGTTCTGTGGTTCTCACATTGTGGTTTTGACACCAGCAGCATCCTTGCAACCCTCAAACCCCGGAGATCCACAGATCTGTGTTGTAACAAGCCCTCCCCCTGACCCTGATGCATGGCAGTTTAAGAATTACCCGTGTAAGCGAAAAGACTTTGAAGAAAAAGGGGAGATATGCGTTGTAGGAACATTCTTTTGCTCTGGAACCACGTGGAGACTTAGGAGCCAGTTGGGTGGAGCATTCGTTGGATGAGGGTGCTCGGGTTAGGAATATCAAGATGTGGCTCCAGATAATTCAATCATCTAATTCAGTTTTCAGTTTTGCTAATCTGTCTTAAAATTCCGTTTGTGTAAATTCTTCTACTCAGACTGAGAATGGCAATGCCTCAACCCCAATTTCCAGGGAGGGTTGAGAGCCTCAGGTTGAGCTGATCACCAATCGCCTATGGTTTAACCCATCATGCCTATAGAATGAGGTCTCCGTAAAAACCCAAAAGGACTGGGTTTAGAGAGCTTGTGGATAACACTTCCTGGAAGGCAGTGCGCCCCTCCCCACATGCCAGGCCCATAATCTGTTTTCTAAATTTTTTGCAATATCCGCTATCATAAAATGGTAAATGGAAGTATTTCCCTGCGTGCTGTGAGCTCTTCCAGCAAATTAATGCAATTACAACAGGGAGTGGTGGAAACCTGATTTATAGCCAGTTGCTAAGAAGCACAGGTAAAACAACATAGGGCTTCCCATTGTTATTAGAGAGGGAGGCCAGTCTTGCGGGACTGAGCCCTTTGGAATCTAATGCTATGTCCCGGTAGATAGCGTCATCATTGAATTAGAAGGCACATATATGTTGAGAATAATTTTTCTAGTCATTTGCTGTATGTCTTATTTACAATACGTAATCAAATTCTTTATCCTGACCTTATGGCACCTGGGTTGAGAACCATGATTTCAACCAAAAATTGCTCTATCGCTTTCTCAGTTTGAAACTTTATTTTGCCACTAGCGTTTTGTTATTGTTTTTTCCTTTTGATTTGTTTCGTTTTGTTTCTAAGTTCTGGGGTATATGTGCAGGATGTGCAGATTTGTTACAAAGGTAAACGTGTGCCATGGTGGTTTGCTGCACCTGTCGACCCATCACCTAGGGATTAAGCCCAGCATGCATTAGCTGTTTTTCTTAACGCTCTGCTTCCCGAAAGGCCCCAGTGTGTGTTGTTCCCCTTCCTGTGTCCATGTGTTCTCATTTTTCAGCTCCCATTATAGGTGAAAATGTGGTTTTGGTTTTCTGTTCATGGATTAGTTTGCTGAGGATAATGACTTCACATCACCAGTGTTTTTTATTTTTTTAAAGAATAGTATTTTATTGACTATGGCTTATTCGCAGAAAAATAAGCTTTAATCTACAACGAATGCCAGACTCTACAGCAGAAAGCAATCTTCTCAGTTTTCTACACACAAAGGTTCCTACTAAGTGGAAAAAAGCCACAAAATTTCATTCACAAATGTACTACACTGTCTCAAAACATTTCACATAATTATTCACCGTACTAATACAATTAGATCAGTTATTCAGTCAGGTTAAAGTATCCCTCTAATAACTGATTTTTAAAATGCTATCAGTATCCACTCCCTATCAGTCTGCCATTGTTAATCGTGCAGAGCATTATTGAATACAATGGAATTGATGAAGCCCATATCCACGGACAAACCGTGACTTATGATGGTTTGATTTATGATTTTTCAACTTTATGATGGGTTTATTGGGGTATTAGATGCGTTTTTGGGTCACATTGGGTTTATCAGTATGTGACCCTACACTCCAGAAATAGCTGTATAAAGAAAAACAGGTGTACCTCATTAAAATATACTTAGTGACTTGGGAGAAACCAGTAGATGTTTACAACTGATGGAGAACCATGAAAGAGAGATACCGGTAAATAATAACAATAACACAATTTTCCTGCAACTGTCGAGGATTTCCCAAAAACACACAGAAAGTAGGATGCACCGAAGGCATGTGAAAGAGAGAGGGCAGAAGGAGTAAGAGAGAAATAGGAGGAAGGGAGGAAGGAAGGAAGGAAGGAAGGAAGGAAGGAAGGAAGGAAAGAAGGAAGGAGAAAACACCTGGTGTTACTAAAACCAAAAAAAAAAAAAATGGTTTCCCACTGTGGGTAATGCTACAATGTGGATGAACCTTGAAAATATTGTGCTAAGTGTAAAGTCGGTCATAAAAGTTCACATATGTTATAATTCTGTTGATAGGAAATGTCCACAATATGGAAATCTAAGGAGATAGGGTTGAGCGCTCTATGTAGTTGTTACCTAGGGTTGAGGGTCAGGGAGAGAGTTTGAGACAGAATGAGGAGTGACTGACGTTTAGAGGGTTTTTCTCTGGTCGGGGGTGATAAAATGTTCTCAAATGGATTGCGAATTAAAATTGAACGTGCACAACCACAAGTATACTAAAAGCCACTCAATTCATGACTTTTAATGGGGGAATCTTATGTGGCGCACTCTCGTCGAGACCACGGCAGACATAGTGAAAGAGAAAAAGGTGAGTAAATATCTGAAACGGAGGCAGAAACAGAGAGAATGAAAAGCCCTGTGAATGGAAGCGAGAGAGAAAAGGGAAAATGGTCCTATTTACAAATGACAGATCTGAAACTGGGGCTCACATCAACAGTGTCACTGCCAGGGAGGAGGGTCATGCTGGCCATGTCACCGGTAGTGTCGCCCGCAGGGATGCCGACATGCTGGAGGTTGGTGTCAGCATGGGCTCTGGCAGCCACGTGGGCCAGCAGGAGGGTCCCGCTGCACAGCTGTGGGGTGAGGATAGCCTGGGCGGTGATATCGGCCATTAGAGGGGCCTCTTCTGCTGGCAAGAGTGTGACAGTAGCAAGTAGATGGACAGGCCTGTGTGTGAGGACGGAATGCAGGAGGGGCTTTTCTGCGGCTGGGTGTGGGGCGCTCACCAGGAATGTGGAGAAATGGCCAGGTAACTGCGTCATGTTGGCTAGTAGATTGGCCAGGGCTTCCAACTGAAGGACAATAACGGGGAGTAGCTGTCAGGCCCTGGGAGTGTCTGAGTGTAAGTGGAGATGGGTTTGGGGTCACTGAGGGATACGTGGGAGCCACCCCTGTATAGATACAGGTCACAGGGAAATAGTCTCGTGAGGCCTGTGAGTGTCTAGGGTTCTCCTGGGTGCCTGGGGCTGACCGCGGCAGAAATCTGGGGAAGGCCAGAGAGAAGCTGGGAGACACAGGAGAGTCCCTGAAGGCTGGGGGTGAAGAGGTGAAAGAAATGGGGGAGGGTGGCAGTAAGGTCCGTGAGTTTGTAGGTGATTCCTGGGTGTGGGAAGCTGACTCCAGCTGAAATCTGGAGATGGTTGGAGAGTAACTGAGAGAGACAGAACAGTCCCTGAGGGCTGGGGGTGAAAACATGAGCGAGACTGGGGAGTAACTGAGTGAAATTGGTGAGTTTGCTGGTGTGTCCTGGGTGCCTGGAACTGACTCCAGCGGGAATCTAGAGAAGTTTTGAGAGTAGCTGAAAGAGACACAACAGTCCCTGTGGGCTGAGGGCAAAGAGCTGAGAGAGACCAGGGAGGATCTCAGTGAGGTCTGTGAGTCTGTAGGTGATTCCTGAGTGTAGGAGGCTGACTCCCGCTGAAATCTGGGCGTGGCGGGAGAGTAGGTGGGACAGACAGGAGAGTCCCAGGAGGCTGGCGGTGAAGACTTGAGAGAGACTGGGGAGTAACTCAGTGAAACTGGTGAGTTTGTAGGTGATTCCTGGGTGCCTGCAACTGACTCCCGCTGAAATCTGGGCGTGGTTGGAGAGTAGCTGGGACACACAGGAGAGTCCCTGAGGGCTGGGGGTGAAGACATGAGAGAGACCGGGGAGTAACTCAGTGAAACTGGTGAGTTTGGTGGTGATTCCGGGGTGCCTGGAACTGACTCCAGCTGCAATCTGGGCGTGGTTGGAGAGTAGCCGGGACAGACAGGAGAGTCCCTGAGGGCTGGTGAAGACATGAGAGAGACTGGAGAGTAAGTGAGTGAAATTGGTGAGTTTGGTGGTGATTTCTGGGTGCCTGGAAGTGACTCCTGCTGAAATGTGGGCGTGGTATGAGAGTAGCTGGGACACAGAGGAGAGTCCCTGAGGGCTGGTGAAGACATGAGAGAGACTGGGGAGTAATTGAGTGAAATTGGTGAGTTTGGTGGTGATTCCAGGGTGCCTGGAACTGACTCCAGCTGCAATCTGGGCGTGGTTGGAGAGTAGCTGGGACGGACAGGAGAGTCCCTGAGGCTTGGGGATAAAGACCTGCTAGAGACTGGGGAGTAACTCAGTGAAAGTGGTGAGCTTGGTAGTGATCCCTGGGTTCCTGAAAATGACCCCCGCTGAAATGTGGGCGTGGTTGGAGAGTAGCTGGGACAGACAGGAGGGTCCGTAAGGGCTGGGGGTGAAGACATGAGAGAGACTGGCGAGGATCTCACTGAGGTCTGTGAGTTTGTAGGTGTTTCTGGGGAGTGGGAGACCGACTCCCGCTGAAATCTGGGCGTAGTTGGAGAGTAGCTGGGACAGACAGGAGAGTCATTGATGGCTGGGGGTGAGCTGCTGGATGATGGCAGTAAGAACATATGGTATATTATTGATGAATGAGGTGACTGTGAAGAATCTCCAGAGGAGGACACGGGAGAGCACAATGACATCAGTGATTGTCCGGGAGAGCACAATGACATCAGTGATTGTCCTGCTTGGTCAGGAAAGGGAAATGTAAAGTTGTGAAATTCTGTTGATGATGGATGTGAGAGTGGTGAAGCCCTGCGGGATGATGTAGAGTACTTCCACATCCCTGGCGAGGAGCTGCCCCTTGGGTCTGAGTTTCTGGGAGGGGAGAGGGAGAAGCTGGGTGAGGCAGGCATGAATCTTGAGGAGTCAGGGCTGGGGGACCGCTCATAATCTCCCGAGACGTGTGAGTCTCTGGGGGACTCCTGGGTGCATGAGGCTGACTCCCGCAGAAACCTGGGGATGGCTGGAGAGTAACTGGTAGGCACAGGAGAGTCCCTGAGGCCTGGGGGTGAAGAGATGAAAGACACAGGGGAGGAGCACCGTGAGGCTCGTGAGTTTGTAGGTGATTCCTGGGTGTGGGGGGCTGACTCCAGCTGAAATCCGGGGTTGTTCGGAGAGTGGCTGGGAGGCACAGGAGATTCCCAGAGAGCCGGGGGTGAGCTGCTGGGTGATGGCAGTAAGAACATGTGTTATATTATTGATGAACGTGGTGATTCTAAAGAATCCCCAGAGGAGGACGCGGGAGAACCCAATGGCTTCATTGATTGCCCATCACGGTTGAGGAAAGGGAAATGGGAGCTTGTGGGATTCTGGTGATGACAGAGGTGAGTGTGGTGAAGCCCTAGGGGAGGGTGAACGGTAGCTCCGGATCCCTGGTGAGGAGCTTCCTCTTAAGTCTGAGTTTCTGAGAGGGGAGAGGGAGAAGCTGGGTGAGGCTAGCATGGATCTTGGGGAGTCCGGGCTGGGGGACGGTTCATAAGAAGAGCCAGACAAGACCCTACTGTTCTTAGGTGCAGACATGATTAGGAAACCTGTAGCTCCCAGAGAAGCCTACCAGTTTTCTAACCCGCAGAAAGAAGGAGTGTGTGTGTGTGTGTGTGTGTGTGTGTGTGTGTGTGTGTGTGTGATGTGAGGTATGTGCTCCTTAAGAAAATGGAAATAAACCAACCAATGAGACAGACAGACAGACAGACAGACAGAGATTCACTTACCCAAGTGTTCTGTCCTGTCCTCTGAATCTGCTTCCAAGTCGCAAGACGCTGTAAGCTCCAAGTCCACGCAGAGCCCGCAAAACGCTCCGGCCGCTGCTCCGCTCTGTGAAGATCTGAGTACAGGCCCGCCAGGGTGGGTTTAAATAGCCTCGGGCGGGCGCAGCCTGGCAGCGGAAAGGGCGGAGCTTCACTCCTCCTTTCCATCAGTCACCCCCAACTTTCCCAGGTTACACCGCGTAGGAAACTGTTCTCCTGATTTGATTTCATGCGCCACATTTGGGACAATCTAAGAACTTACAAGTTTTCTTGGTGAAATATATTATGAATTAAATGCACTGAAACACTGAAAACCATCTAGTGGTTCTGTGGTTCTCACATTGTGGTTTTGACACCAGCAGCATCCTTGCAACCCTCAAACCCCGGAGATCCACAGATCTGTGTTGTAACAAGCCCTCCCCCTGACTCTGATGCATGGCAGTTTAAGAATTACCCGTGTAAGCGAAACGACTTTTGAGAAAAAGGGGAGATATCCGTTGTATAAACATTCTTCTGCTCTGGAACCATCTAGATACTTCGGGGCCAGTTGGGTGGAGCATTCATTGGATGAGGGTGATTGGATTAGGAATATCAAGGTGTGGCTCCAGATAATTCAATCATCTAATTCAGTTTTCAGTTATGCTAATCTGTTGTAAAATTCTGTTTATGTAAATTCTATTATTCAGACTGAGAATGGCAGTGCCTGAACCCCATTTTCCAGGAGGGTTGAGTGCCTGAAGGTTGAGTTGATCACCAATAGCGTATGGCTTAACCTATCATGCCTATAGAGTGAAGCCTTCATAGAAACTCAAAAGGACTGGGTTTAGAGAGCTTCTGGGTAAAACTTCCTGGAAAGTAGTGCGCCCCTTCCCCCTGCCAGGACCCATGAATCTTTTTTTCTGGATTTTTTGCAATATCCGCTATGGTAAAGTTGTAAATGTCAGTGTTTCCCTGCGTGCTGTGAGCTGTTCGAGGAAAGTAATGCAACTAAAATAGGGAGCGGTGGAAACCTGATTTATAGCTAGTTGATGAAAGCATAGGTAAAACAACGTATGGCTTGCCATTGTTATTAGAGTGGGAGGCCAGTCTTGCGGAACTGAGCCCTGTGGAATCTAATGCTATGTCCAGTTAGATAGTGTCATAAATGAATTAGAAGACACCCAGCTGCTCTCCACAGCAGAATGGATTGTGTGCTTGACTGACCGAGAGAAATCCCTAGACATATCGTCACAGAAATCTTCTGTGTTGATTGTTGTGATGTGAGAGCGGAGGAAAAACTGTTTTTGTTTTTTTCTGTCAGCCTAAAATGTAAACGTGTCCATTTTTTCACACTATTGAGGATCAAGGGATTTATGTTTAATCTTTGTGAACTTGATATGTAAAAATGATGTTGGTTTTCATTTTTGTGATAACAAGGTGGTCATAGTTGATGCCTTTTCGTCATTTTTCATTTCAGTGCCTTGTTATGTCTTTCATCCACTTTTTAATTATTTAATTTTTAATTAAAAAAATTTTTACACCGCGCGCAGTGGCTCACGCCTGTAATCCCAGCACTTTGGGAGGCCAAGGCGGTTGGATCACGAGGTTGGGAGATTGAGACCATCCTGGCTAACATGGTGAAAACCCGTCTCTACTAAAAATACAAAAAAATTAGCCGGGCGTGGAGGTGGGCACCTGTAGTCCCAGCTACTGGGGAGGCTGAGGCAGGAGAATGGCGTGAACCCGGGAGGCAGAGCTTGCAGTGAGCCAAGATCGCGCCATTGCACTCCAGCCTGGGCAAAAGAGCAAGAGGCTCCGTCTCAAAAAAAAAAAAAAAAAAAAAAATTCTGTCCAGACATGATGGCTTGTGCCTGTAATTCCAACATTTTTTCTGTCCAAGCTGGGAGGATTGTTTGAACACACATGTTTCAGACCAGCCTAGGCAACACAGTGAGACTCTATCTCTATAAGAAAATTTTTAAAAATCAGTTAGGCATGATGGTGCACACCTGTAGTTCCACTTACTTGGGACACTGAGGTGGGAGGATTACTCATGCCTAGGAAGTTGAGGCTGCAGTAAGCAACAGAGCAAGACCATGCATCAATACAAACAAACAAAAACCAAAACAAACAACAAACAAAACATTTTTTAATTTGGAAAGATAATATCAACACTGATGAACTCTATAAACTTTTAATAGAGAAATTTTATCACTTATATTTATAAAACATCTGATTTTGTCTTTATTTGCAATGGCTTTTAATTTTTTGATTTATTTTTATTTTAATAGGATTTTGAGAAACAGGTTGCATTTGGTTACACGAATAAATTCTTTAGCGGTGATGTGTGAGATTTTGGTGCACCCATCACCTGAGCAGTATACACTGTACCCAATTTGTAGTCTTTCTTCCTTCACCCCTCTCCCATCCTTCCCTCCCCTCCATCCCTGAAGTCCATTGTATCATTCTTATGCCTTTGCATCCTCATAGCTTAACTCCCACTTATGAGTGAGAACAAACAATATTTGGTTTTCTATTCCTGAGTTATTTCACTAAGAATAATGGTCTCCAATTCCATCCAAGTTGCTATGAATGGCATTAATTTGTTCCTCTTTATTGTGGAATAGCATTCATATATACATATATATATATATGCAATAGAGCAAGACCATGCATCAAAACAAACAAACAAAAACCAAAACAAACAACAAAAGAAAACTTTTTTTTTAATTTTGAGAGATGATATCAATGCTGATGAACTCTAATAAACTTTCAATAGAGGGATTTCATCACTTATATTTATAAAACATCTTATTATGTTGCTATAAACGTGTGTGCAACTATCTTTTTCATATAATGACTTCTTTTCCTCTGGGTAGATACCCAGTAGTGGAATTGTTGAATCAAATGGTAGTTCTACTTTTAGTTCTTTAAGGAATTGCCACACTGTTTTCCATAGTGGTTGCACTAGTTTACATTCCCACCAGCAGTGTAAAAGTGTTCCCTTTTCACCACAGCCCCACCAACATCTATTATTTTTTAAATCTTTTATTATGGCCATTCTTGCAGCTGTAAGGTGGTATTGCATTGTGTTTCTGATTTGCACTTCCCTGATCATTCGTGATGTTGAGCATTTTTTCATATGTTTGTTGGCTATTTGTATATCTTCTTTTAAGGATTGTCTATTCATGTCCTTAGCCCATTTTTTGATGGGATTCTTTGTATTTTTCTTGCTAATTTGTTTGAGTTCCTTGAAGATTCTGAATATTCATCCTTTTTCAGATGTATGGATTGTGAAGATTTTCTCCCCTTTGTGGGTTGTCTGTTTATTCTGCTCAGTGTTTCTTTTGCTGTGCAGAAAATTTTTAGTTAAATTAAGTCCCACCTATTTATCATTTTTTCTGTTGAATTTGCTTTTGGGTTCTTGGTCATCAAGTCTTTGCCTAAGCTAATGTTTTGAAGGGTTTTTCTGATGTTATTTTCTGGAATTTTTATGGTTTCAAGTTTTAAGTTTTTGATCCATCTTGAGTTGACTTTTGCATAAGGTGAGAGATGAGGATCCAGTCACATTCTTCTACATGTGGCTTGCCAATTATCCCAGCACCATTTGTTGAATACGGTTTTTGTTGTTGTTGTTGTTGTTTTGTTTTTTTTGTTTTTTTTTTTTGAGACAGAGTCTCGCTGGGTCACCCAGGCTGGAGGGCAGTGGTGCGATCTCGGCTCACTGCAGGCTCCGCCTCCCAGGTTCACACCATTCTCCTGCCTCAGCCTCCTGAGTAGCCGGGACTACAGGCCCCCGCCACAGCGCCAGGCTAATTTTTTGTATTTTTAGTGGAGACGGGGTTTCTCCGCCTTAACCAGGATGGTCTCGATCTCCTGATCTTGTGATCCACCCGCCTCGGCCTCCCAAAGTGCTGGGATTACAGGCGTGAGCCACCGCGCCCAGCCTGAATAGGAGGTCTTTTCCTCACTTTATGTTTTTGTTTGTTTTTTCAAATATCAGTTGGCTGTAAGTATTTGGATTTATTTCTGGGTTCTCTATTCTGTTCCATTGGTCTTTGTACCTATTTTTATACCAGTACCATGCTGTTTGGGTGGCTACAACCTTATAGTATAGTTTGAAGTCAGGTAATGTGATGCCTCCAGACTTGTTCTTTTTACTTAGTCTTGCTTTGGCTCTGCGGGCTCTTCTTTGGTTCCATATGAATTTTAGAATTGTCTTTTCTAGTTCTGGAAAGAATGATGGTGGTATTTTGATGGAACTTGCATTGAATTTGTAAACAGCTTTTGGCAGTATGGTCATTTTTACAATATTGATTTACCCATTCATAAACATGGGATGTGTTTCCATTTGTTTGTGTCATCTATGGTTTCTTTCAACAGTGTTTTGTAGTTTTCCTTGTAGAGAGGTCTTTCACCTCCTTGGTTAGAAATATTCCTATGTATTTTTTGTTGCAGCTGTTGTAAAAGGGGTTGAGTTCTTGATTTCATTCTTAGCTTGGTTGCTTTTGGTGTACAACAGAGCTATGATTTGTGTACATTAATTTTGTATCCTGAAACTTTGCTGAATTCATTTATGAGTTCTAGAAGCTTTTTGAAGGAGTCTTTAGGGTTTTCTAGGTATATGATCATATCATCAGCAAACAGCAGCAGTTTGACTTTCTCTTTACTGATTTGATTGTTTCTTTCCCTCCTTTTATTTGATTGAGGTTATTGTTGTTCATTTTCTTTCCTTTAGAGCAGTGATTTTCAAGGGGTTACTGTTGGGTATTTGAATGGATGACTTCTTTGTTGAGAGAATTAATTTACAAGTGCAATATGTTTAGCATTCCTTACCTCTGCATACTAAACACATACCCCAGTCACTGGAGCAAGCAAAGATCACTCACACAATTCAAAAAAGTCTTAGGGAGGCTATTTCATTCCTGTTTGAGGGTCACTGTTCTATTTTTTCAGACATAAGATCTCATGCTGTCACCCAAGCTGGAGTACAGTAGCACCATCATAGCTCACTACACCCTGAACCTTCCAGGCTCAAGCCATCCTCCCACCTCAGCTGCTTGAGCAACTAGGATTACAGGCCAGATTCACTGTTCTACAGTTGGGAAGTATGAGCAGCTCCTAGATCAATTATACAAGAGCTTTCTCTTTTGTTCTTAACACACCCATTTAAGTGTGGATTTTCAGACTAAAGCCAAGCTCTTAGATTAGGTAAAAGTAACATTTAAAAATAACTATAATAATAAAGAGTATATAAATAATAAGGTAAAGAAATATACTAATTTTAAGACAAAATGAAAGAATAAATACTAGATGAAATCTAATGAAAAGAAAGCAGGTACAGTCTTCACTGAAAAGTAAACTCAAGGTGAAAATACAAAATACTTAAAATTGTTAACGAAATTTTTGGCCCATCAAGAAGATATGAACATTATGAAACTTACACAGGGTCAGCATCACTAAATTTTAAAATCCAAAATGTTTCACAATCTAAAACTTTTGGAATGTGAACATGACACCACAAGTGGAAAATTCCACACCTGAAGTATTTGCTTTCTTTCTGTTCTTTTCATTGATTTTTCTTTGGTCATCTGACGAAGGCAATCTTTGCTTCTGATGGTTCAATGCACACAAACATTGTATACAAACCTTGTGAACAAAATTATTCAAAATAATTCTATAAAATTAATTTCAGGCTACATGTATAAGGTTTATATGGAACACAAATGAATTTTGCATTTAGACTTGGGTCTCATCCTCAAGATATCTCATTACGTATATGCAAATATTGCAAAATCTGAAAAAAATAAAATATCTGAAACACTTCTGGTCCCAAGTATTTCAGATAAGGAATACAACACTTCCATACCTAACAACACAACTTTTAAAAAGTAAAGCCATTTGTATACCTAGTAACTTGACTTTTGAAAAATGAAGCAGGCTGGGCATGGTGGCTCACGCCTGTAATCCCAGCACTTTGGGAGGCCGAGGTGGGCAGATCACAAGGTCAGGAGATGGAGACCATCCTGGCTAACACGGTGAAACCCTGTCTCTACTAAAAATACAAAAAAATTAGCTGGGCCTGGTGGCGGGCACCTGTAGTCCCAGCTACTCGGGAGGCTGAAGCAGGAGAATGGTGTGAACCTGGGAGGCAGAGCTTGCAGTGAGTTGAGATGGCGCCACTGCACTCCAGCCTGGGCAACAGAGCGAGACTCAGTCTCAAAAAAAAAATAAAGGAAATAAATAAATAAATAAATAAATAAATAAATAAAGCAAATGCTATAGAGAGGAAAATGACAAATTTACCATTATAGGCTTTTTTTTCTTTCACTTTTTTCTTTTTTCTTTTTTTTTGGTGACAGAGTCTTGCTCTGTCGCCCAGGCTGGAGTGCAGTGGCATGATCTCGGCTCATTGCAACCTCCACCTCCTGGGTTCAAGTGATTCTCTTGCCTCAGCCTCCCAAGTAGCTGGGACTACACGTGCTTGCCACCATGCCTGGCTAAGTTTTGTATTTTTAGTAGCGATGGGGTTTCACCACCTTGGCCAGGCTGGTCTTGAACTCCTCACCGCGTGATCTGCCCACCTCGGCCTCCCAAAGTACTGAGATTACAGGCTTGAGCCACCACGCCCAGACTGGGAACCTTTTTGACATGCACTTTTCAATCGTTGACAGATGCATAATGAAAAAATCTAAGTAAGCACAAATAAGCATGTAGGAAATTTAAATAGCACAGTTAGCAAGTCTGGGGAAAATATAAATGTATGCATATCCATCTGATAGAGAAGACACATTGTTTTCCAACAGACACAGATGTCACAAAAATTAACCTTGTATTAGGTCAAAAATAAAAATGTTCCTGAACTCGTTTTTTAAAATTCAAGTATGTCAAATTAAATCAAGTAATCCTTCAACTTAGAGCAATATATAAGAACATCAAACATGTAAACATCAAAAGACAGAGATAAGCCAAAACAATTGCACTGTCCCTTTATGTGCCCTAAGCTGCGATGTCAAGCTATAGTTGGATATTATTCAACCATTTCCTGCCCATTGCGTAGAGGTGGGGGTCTTCACTTCTCTATCTAGTCTAGGACTGGAACCGCCTCACCACCCCTACAGCTTGAGGGTGCGTGGAAAAGGGAATGCCAGCCAGATATTCCAAACAGAGACTCTGCCAGCAGGACCAGGTGACCTTTCCTAGGAGACAGATTGTTCTCACACGTTATCAGGGCTTTCCTCCAGGCTAAAACTGTGGGCCTCTAATGGAATTCCTATTCAATTTTCTTACCCCATTTAGGGTACCCAAATTTTTCTTTAATAGAAATCTTAAATCTTAAATGCAATAACATGAAGTAAAATAAAGCCTAAGTCTCAACAAGGGCAAATTTTCAAAAAGAATCTGAAAACTTCCCGCGTTTTCTTGTTATGTTGTAATGTGTCTCTTTTAGGACACTCTCAGTACTCCTGCAATTCCCCTGTTAAGGATTCAGACAATAGTTGTTAATTCCTTCTGCTTCTTCTGAGACTAGGAAATAAATTACAGGGCTATGTTATATCGCAAGTGTAGATTATCCAGAGTTTTCATCAACAGAAATAAAACATGGTGGGGGGCGGGGAGGGAATTATTTAAGTGAGTGTTAATTGAAAAGTTTCGTGGTTTTAACGTTAAAAGACATGCCTATAAAATAAGAACTTATAAAAGTCTTCACTAAAACGGTAAAGTGCCCATTTCCAAGTAGTAAAATATTGAAACTTCTTTTCATCGTTGATAGTGATTTATTTAACATTTCATTATTTTATCGTTATTATGATTGTCGTTATTTTAGACGAATGCACGGAAGTCAAAGGACTTCCAAATGCACGGAAGTCAAAGGCCACCTTCACCAGGGTAGCCTTGCGAATGGCCACTGCTGCGCGCGGGGCTTTCTGGGGATTGTAGGCCATAGGCCTCCTTGCGCATGCGCCATGGTACTGGACGCACGCTGCGGGCGACATTGTTTGGGACGCTGGGGTGAGTCCCGTCTGTACCGCGCCCCTCTTGGAGGCGTAGCCAGGAGTAGGAGTGTAGGATGTGCAGCTGTGACCCGTCCCTGTGGACTGAAGTAGGAGGAGTGGAAGAGGGGACTGGTAACCAATGATAAGGCCTCGTAGGTGGGGTAGACTAGGGAAGTTCAGCGGCCCGACCTACCCGGGATAGGATGGGAAGAGCGTGGGCTCGAGCGTGGGCTCGGTTTGGGGAGCAGCCCTGGGTTTGACAAAACAGTGCATCTTCACGTTTCGTGACAGCGACTTGCGCTGTGCCTCCTCGGGTCGAAGCTTAGGGTCAGTCTTGGGATGTGCATCTCTGGATGAGGGCAGAGGGGCGCTGGCTCAGGGTTTTGGAGTAATGGCTGGACTGTGCGTCCCTGAATGGGATGAGGGATTTGCTTAAGCAGCTAGTCTCTGGATATAGAGGATGGCTTCGGCTGTTCTCGCTCAGTTTGGTGGGGGCGATTCTGGCTCAGCACCCCTAGGTTCTTGGATGGGGAGTTGTCTTGGGTCTGAACTCTGGATTTTGGCAGCTCTGACTCCATTGGGGCATTTATGACTTCAAGGCAGAGGTTCTGGCTTTTGGCAATAAAGAAACAACTCAGACTGTAATACTGTAATAACTCCAGAGTTTAATGTCACCGAATACATTTTGAAAAGAACTGTCCCAGGCCTGGCGCGGTGCCTCACGCCTGTAATCCCAGCACTTTGGGAGGCCAAAGTGGGCGGATCACGAGGTCAGGAGATCGAGACCATCCTGGCTAACACGGTGAAACCCCGTCTCTACTACAAAAAACAATTACAAAAAATTAGCCGGGCACGGTGGCAGGCGCCTGTAGTCCCAGCTACTCGGGAGGCTGAGGCAGGAGAATGGCGTGAACCCGGGAGGCGGAGCTTGCAGTGAGCTGAGATCACGCCACTGCACTCCAGCCTGGGCGACAGAGCCAGACTCTGTCTCAAAGAAAAAAGAAAAGAAAAGAACTGCCCCAAATTATTAACTCCATTCTCACCTCACATGCTGTGAGCCAGGGAGTAGGGACTTTGAGTATTATAAAGCACATTAGCAAATATAAGTTGTTAAATTACACTCAACAAATTTGAAGTTTGAACACTCTCTGTATATTTGATAAAGTTAGAGATTTAGTGTTAATTATTTTAGGTGTAATAGCAGCATTTATTACATTTCTGATCGTGTTTCTGGGCAATTGCAGTTCCAGATTCAGCTGCACTTTTCCTCTAGGTCTTCATTCCCTGAAGAAGTTGATATGGGCATCTGGTCTCATTCCTGATGCATTCCTCAGATCAGAGTAGTTGTCAGGGTGAGGGATGAGAAAGGCATTTGTGTGCGAGAGCTGTGTGGACTTTGGCAGATAGGGAAAAAACAAGAGTCTTGAGGTGCCATGTGTCCCATGCCTTTGGCTCCCCACCTTTTCCACCCTGCTGTCTGCCCTGAAAGGCCGCCATTGCCTTCTGGCCTTGCTTGTCTTTGGCCAATGGGAAGTCTCAACAGGAAAGTTTGGAGAGAGGAAGAAGTGTGAGTTGGAGTATCTTGTCCCCCAGTTCTCTCTCTGCAGGATTGTCACAGATTAGCTGCCCTTCTAAACAACAGGTCATAGTTTGGGTGGCCCTGGCCACACAGTCCTCTTAGTTCCAGGCTCCAGGGACTGCTCCCTCCCCTTACCTCTTAAGGCCCAGGTATTATAATGGCACCTCCCTGTCACTCCCCAGGATAGAGCCTTATCCATTGTGATTTCCTTACCCCGAGCCAACACCATTGTAAGCCGTCTGTTTATTAAACTCTCCTCAAATTTCAATGTGCCGTCTGGTTCGTGCCACGGCCCTGACTTGATACAGGCAGGTAGTGTCTGAAGCCAGAAATTCAGGAAACCAAACCCCCAACCATATATGTGTGAGTGCATGTGTGTGGATGTGTGCTTCAAAATAAACCTGTCCCATTATTGGCTCTTCAGTGAGAACAGGTACTGGAAGTAGAGGGTGAGTTTATGTCTTTGCACGTGCATCTAATGTATAATATCCAAGCCAATTCTATTTGTGCATTTGTTAATATTGAGAAACATTGATTGAGTGCTTGTTAAATGATAAGATCCTTACCAAGTACAGTGGATAAAAGACTACAGCTTGGTTATTTTTTTTTTTTTTTAGGATTTGTAGTTTTTTGACAGGGGAAAGGAGGAGTGTTTTCTTGGTAGGTTTTAACTATTGTAAAACGATGTAATTCATGCTGTACTAATGAGTTGAACCCTCCTTATTTTGGCCTTTGTTGGAGCCCAAAATAAGAAGTGATTAATGATGTCTCTTAAAGGTAGGAAAGGAGAGAAAAAGAGTCCAAGGATTTACCAAAAAGACATTTCACATTCTATTAACCTGATTCTATAACCCTGTGAGCTGCAATTCAAAGGGTAGCCCACAGACCAGTGCCAATAAATGATATTGGTCTGTGACCAGATAATTTGAGAACTTGAGTGTAGATGTTGAAAATTTTGTCTTATTGATTAACATAATAATAACAATTGGGCTTTAATTTGCATACCTTCTAAATTTCCTTTTTCTGGTAATTTCTTGTTACTGTATCTTACCAGAATATCAGTCTGTGACAGACTGAAAGTAACAGTAATAATAATTTAAAAACTAGTCCTTTATCACAGATAGTGTGAGAAGCACTATCTGAGAAGGCAGAAACATGGCTTTGGGCTTTTGTTTTTTAATCTTCGGTGTTTCCACAGTGCTTAAAGTGGCAATTTTATACAATAAGTTTCTCCACAAAGGCCAGAGGCAATTGTGTTTACAGGGTTTATCAGATGGAATCCCAATAAAAAATAAACAGAACACTCAAATTGGGTAATTTGAGAAGAGCTTAATAAAGGGACAATCTATAAAGTTGTAGGCAGGCTGTGGTAATCAACAAAGGATACTGCAATATTTCAGAGCTAGTGATAGCAGGGTAACTTACTGACTTTAGGACTGAAGGGCTAAGGGAGGAGGCAGTTGCTAAAACCTGAAGAAAGATTTATGGGATGACAGCTGCCTGATGGAGGCCATGACCTTTGGTCAATGGATATGGAATATAGCCATTCCACAGCAACCTCTAGGGAAAAACCTGGGGGAATAAATATTCTGACTTCACTCTTGTCCCTTCCCTGGATCTCTTGCTGGCTTTCCCCATTGGCTGAACCCAACTGGAAGCTAACTGGCAAGGGAATCCACTGATATAAGCAGAACAGGAAGGGGCTTTAGTGTATATGAAGTGGCAAGCTTAGAAGGCCTCTGTCTACCTACTTTGGTCTACCTGCAGTCTGAGAACATGTGTAGTTCAGTATACCATGAGCATTTCCAGAACAGAGAATGTGTCTTATATGTCATAGGTGTGTCATCAATATTTGCAAAAGCAGGGGATAGAATGGGTGCTGGAGAGATAGTTTAGGAAGCCAAGAGTCAAGGTGTAGATGTTTAAAAATTTGTATTATTGATTAACATAATAATAAAAATTGGGATTTAATTTGTATATTTTGGCTAACGGCATGTTCTTTAGACCACAGGCTTGGCCATACAAGATCAAGTCTTGCATGCGAAAGTGGAAATAGCAGAAGGTCCCTGTCATCCTGAGATTGCTCTCTCTTTTTTTTTTCCTCTGTTTTTTTTTTTTTTCTCTTTTGAGACAAAGTCTGTCTCTGTTGCCCAGGCTGGAGTGCAGTGGTGCAATCACAGCTCACTGCAGCCTCTGCCTCCCAAGTGATTGTCCTGCCTCAGCCTCCTGAGTAGCTGGGATTACAGGCATCCGCCACCACACCCAGCTAATTTTGTATTTTTAGTAGAGACAGGGTTTCACCATGTTGTCCAGGCTGGTCTCGAACTCCTGGCCTCAAGTGATCCACCCGTCTCGGGTTCCCAAAGTGCTGGGATTACAGGTGTGAGCCACTGTGCCCAGCCCTGAGATTGCTCCCTTATTCAGCAATTCTGTAGCCTCTTTTCCAGCATAATTGAGATGTAGATTATGTCAGTTCATTCACAAGTCTCAGAAAAGGAAAAGAATGTGCAGGTTTTGACCCAAAAGCTTCAGGAGAGAGATAGGAGTTACACAGTGGTCTGAGATTGAGGGACTGGGGACAAATCTAGGGAAGTCTTGAGGAGGTGGGAGTTCAGTCTGTTCAGAGCGAGAAGAGATGATATCCAGTGAGAGGAGAAATTGTGAGAAACTTGTACAGATAAGGAAGGAACCAATGTTCATTCACAACTTGTTGAACCCATGATCTCATGGATTATTTCTTCTTTGCAGTTCTGCTTTTCCAGAATCCTGCCCTTTCCAAAAGGAAGACGGTATGATTAAGTTCCAGGTAAGTTAAGGGTTTCTTTCTCTTTAAATATGCTGTTCATTCTGAGGAACCAGACACTTCTGTTTTCTGAAAGGAGGTCAGCATTTTTTGAGTGACTACTATGTATTAGGTACTTTATCTGCTCATAATGACTTTGTGAGGCAGGTGGTTTGACTCCCTTTATAGAAGTGAAGAAACAAACTCACAGATTTCAAGATGTCTACTTTGGTGCTACTCTAAGTGTAGTTCATGTATCAGTACCAGTCCATGAACTGCTTATCACTGCCCGATGAGGGAAAAAGAATCAAGAGTAAGTTCAGAAACTTACAGAAATTTGGTGTTGCCGCAGCATCCGAGTGCATGGGCAGCATATACGTGACCATACTCTAAATGTGACTGGCCTCATTCAATAAGTAGCAAGATTTGAATGGGTATGTATTGGTCAGAGTTCAGTCAGCAAGGCAGAACCAGTAAGAGATATATATTAAGAGATTTATCATAAGGAATTGACTTATATGATTATGGGGGCTAACTAGGCAAGTCCAGAATCCACAGGGCAGCCCCTCAGGAAGGGTGGGCTGGAACTCTTGGACACAGACTGAAGCTACTGTCTGTGGGTGGAATTTCTCCCCCTCCCAGGGAAGCCTCAGCTCTGCTCATAAGACCTTTCAGTTTATTGAATCAGACATACTCAGATTAGTTAGAATAATCTCCCTTAAAGTCAACTGATTATGGACTTTAATCACATCTACAAATTATCTTCATAGCAATACCTAGATTAGTGTTTGATTCAATAACTGAGGACTGTAGCTTAGCCAAGTTGACACATTAGAAAGACCATCACAGTGTGGAGGAAGGATTTTCTTTTAATCATGAAAAAAATTAATTATGAAAATACACAAAAAGAGCAAATGGTATTATGATCCTCCATTTGCAGTACCCATCATGCAGTTTCAACAATTAACTTTTTGCCAAAGAGAATTGCTTAATCTCTTTTTCAGTTTTTTTCTTTCCCAAAGTATTTGAAAGAGGCATGGTATTTCACATGGTATTGGTTTTTCTCTGAGCATATCACTTTTGTATAGTACCTTATTATATATGCAACTAAAATGAATGAGTTCACACTTTTATCCTGCTGCCTGGAAACCATCTTGCCCAAGTCCAAGATTCATTAGGTACATTTTCTATCTTCTAAATTACAGCAACAGTTCACCAAATGTTCACCACTGCATCACCCAGGTCACCATTTTTCCAGCCTCCTGTAACAGTGTCCTCAATGGTTATGGCCTGGACCTAAAGCCAATGCCATGGATATTTGGTAGCACTCTGCTCGTTTTGGTTAGCTTGGTTGTGTCCTCATAGTGAAGACAGAGGGACAAGAGAGCAAGTGGACATGTGAGATCTGTCAAGGCCCAGGTTTAGAACTGGCACATTATCACTTCTGCTTCATTTTGGTAGCCAGAATAAGTTACACTGCCAAGTCAAAACTAAAGGGGTAAGGAAACACACTCTGGTCCTTTAGTGGGATTGGAGAGCATGGAAGAGGATATTTCTAAACAGCAGTCTAACTTACCACACTCTCTGTGTATTTCAGTATATATTTCCTTAAAAATGGACTAATGAAATAATCAATAATTATTTGGTATTATCTAATACCCAGACAATAATCAAATTTCCCTGATTATCTCAAAAAATTTTTTAACAGTTGGTTTGTTCAAATGGGATCTTAACAAGGTCTATACTATCATACAGTTAGTTGTTGTATCTCATAATGTCTTTTAATCTAGAGAAATCTGCCCCTCTACTTTATTCTCTCCTGCTATTGACTTGTTGCAGAAACCAAGTTTGGTGTCCTGTGTTCTTTCCTACATTTGGAATGCATTTGTTTGCTTCCTTTTGGTGTCTTTCAGTGTGTTACTCTATCCACAGTATTTCTTGTAAGTGGAAGCACCAGATGCTTGAATAGATTCATACTTCATAGATGGTTATACAAGAATACTTCATAGAGGAAAAGATTTAAAGATTTTTGCATGTGTTTATTCATTTATAAATTTGGTTTCTTAATATTTTGGGGCTGTCCTTGTATCTGCATCCTATGACAATCGCTGCCTAGGATTCCCACAAGGGATCCATCCAGCTACAAGGGTGGTGGAGAAATGAGTGTTTTGTTTTCCCAGGCTCTATAGCTGAGGCAGAGAAGGGAGAATGAGGAGTAGGCTGTGTGAACCTCTATTCCTAACTCCTTCTTCCTACATTGGAACACCCCAAGTAAGCTTCAGTGTATCTGTATTTCCTGAATGATTATCTCCAATTCAATTTTGTTGCCTCCCACAGAAGAAGGCATACAGTAGTGTTACTGAGAGAGTGGTGCTATTAGGACAACCGTGCTGACTCCCCTAGATTTTGTTTTTAATCATTGTCAGATTTTGGTAATTGGACAATTGTTAGTAACATGTTCTTGTGAAGTCCTTTGTAACTGCTTACAACTTTTGTTTGAAACCTCTGCTTTATTTAGAGATGCAGAGTCTATTGAGAGAACATATCTGTAAATACTTAACTCTGAGCAGTGCGATATATGCAGCCATAGAAATATTTTATGTAAAAATTGGTTTCTTGATGAGGAGATGGTTTTTTTAATTTTTTAAAATTTTCTTTTCTTCTTTCCAACTTTTATTTTAGATTCAAGGGATACATGTGCAGGTTTGTTACGTGGGTAAATTATGTGTTGCGGGGGTTTGGTGTAAAATTTTGTCACCCAGGTAATCAGCATAATACCCAATAGGTTATTTCAGTACTTCTTTTTTTTTTATTATACTTTAAGTTTTAGGGTACATGTGCACAACCTGCAGGTTAGTTACATATGTATACATGTGCCATGTTGGTGTGCTGCACCCATTAACTCATCATTTAACATTAGGTATATCTCATAATGCTATCCCTCCCCACTCCCCCCACCCCACAACAGTCCCTGGTGTGTGATGTTCCCCTTCCTGTGTCCATGTATTCTCATTGTTCAATTCCCACCTATGAGTGAGAACATGTGGTGTTTGGTTTTTTATCCTTGCGATAGTTTGCTGAGAATGATGGTTTCCAGTTTCATCTATGTCCCTACAAAGGACATGAACTCATCATTTTTTTATGGCTGCATAGTATTCCATGGTGTATATATGCCACATTTTCTTAATCCAGTCTATCGTTGTTGGACATTTGGCTTGGTTCCAAGTCTTTGCTATTGTGAATAGTGCCGCAATAAACATACGTGTGCATGTGTATTTATAGCAGCATGATTTATAATCCTTTGGGTATATACCCAGTAATGGGATGGCTGGGTCAAATGGTATTTCTAGTTCTAGATCCCTGAGGAATCGCCACACTGACTTCCACAATGGTTGAACTAGTTTACAGTCCCACCAGCAGTGTAAAAGTGTCCCTGTTTCTCCACATCCTCTCCAGCACCTGTTGTTTCCTGACTTTTTAATGATCGCCATTCTAACTGGTGTGAGATGGTATCTCATTGTGGTTTTGATTTGCATTTCTCTGATGGCCAGTGATGATGCAACAAAAGCCAAAATTGACAAATGGGATCTAATTAAACTAAAGAGCTTCTGCACAGCAAAAGAAACTACCATCAGAGTGAACAGGCAACCTACAGAATGGGAGAAAATGTTTGCAATCTACTCATCTGACAAAGGGCTAATATCCAGAATCTATAATGAACTCAAACAAATTTACAAGAAAAAAACAACCCCATCAAAAAGTGGGTGAAGGATATGAACAGACACTTCTCGAAAGAAGACATTTGTGCTGCCAAAAGACACATGAGGAGATGGTTATTAATACCAGATGATTACCCGCATCCTTTTATTTTGAGAAATTTCAATTTATCAGGAAAACGAAAGAATAGCATAATGTGTAATCTTCACCTAGATTCACCAATTGTTAACAATCACCCACAAACATATGTATAATATACATATATACACACACATGTCTATATTTTATTTGATTGACCCAGTTGGGGATAAATTGCAGGCATTACTATAATTCATCCCTAAATATTTCAGTTTGTATCTCCTAAGAATAAGAGCATTTTCCTACATTTCCACATTACTGCTAACATACTCAAGAAATTTCACATTGATACCACTATTTTTTAATACCTAGTTGATATCCAAGTGTTCTTAATTATCCTAATAATCTCCCATTTCTCTTTTGTGTTTTTTGAATCTAGGAGCCAATGCTTTTAGTTACCCTGTCTTCTTAGTTCCTTTTAACATAATACAAATAGATTAATCTGCCATGAAAAAGTGAAAATACTAAATCTTGGTGTGTGATGAGAAATGAACTCATGAAATGCTACTAGACTTGTGTATCAGCACAACACCTTAGTATAGATTTATCTGTGCCTATTTCCTGGGCCATATTTTATAATTTGATTAATACTGTCCTTTGGGAATCCCTGATCCAATAGGATTAGTGTCCTTATGAGAGCCTCAACAGAGCTTGCTCTCATTCTCCCTCTGCCATGTAAGGACACAGTGAGAGCAGAGCTGTCTGCAAGCCAAGAGAAGAAACCTGAATGAAACCTATCTTGGTGGTACTTGATCTTAGACTTTCCAACCTCCAGGACAGGAAGAAATAAGTTTATTTTGTTTAATCTAATCAGACTGTGGTGTTTTATTAAGGCAGCCCAAACAGACTAAGACCAGTCATTTGTGTGGATGATTGACGTGGCATGTGGTTGATGTTTTAGGAAAGGGTGACATTCAAGGATGTGGCTGTTGTCTTCACCAAGGAAGAGCTGGCACTATTGGATAAAGCCCAGATAAACCTGTACCAAGATGTGATGCTGGAAAACTTCAGGAACCTCATGTTAGTGAGTGAGTAACTGAGCATGAGACCACTGGACCTGTTTCCTCAAATCATCATTTCAAACCAGATAGAATATTCCAGTTAGACCACAAAGAGAAACTTTGGCCACTGGAAAGAAAACTCCTAAGAGATGCATGTGCAGGTTAGAAACCTACAGTTAATGAGCTTTTACAGATCTGGCCCCTTGTGATGGGTTTGTGAGGGAGCTCTCCCCAAATCTCATACCCCTGGCCTGTGGGCATTCAGTGCAGGAAGTAAGCCCTCCCTCCCCTACTCACACATTTAGGCTCTCATTCCTCATATTTCTCAGAATGAGACTGATAAAATTCACACATTACCAAGGGCCTTGATCTATTGGTTGCTTCTGGAGAAAAAAACCAATGTTTATCCAATGTTTTGGATAAACCGGTGTTAAAGGAACCAAGGGAGAACTTTGGTTTGGTTGGCAGTTACAATAGCCAACACTTACTGGTATGTAGTAAGTGTAATCTAAGTGTTGGCTTATATGATTACTTTTTGATAAATATCTAAACTCCTTTTCATTTCTCAGAGGTTCATATACAGTTATATGTTACCTAAGTTTAGTTTATGAGATACAGATTTGGTTTGGCTATGTTCCTACCCAAGTCTCGTCTTGAATTGTAGCTCCTATAATTCCCATATGTTGTGGGAGGGGCCTGGTAGGAGGTAACTGAATCATGGGGCAGGGGTCTTTCTCATGCTGTTCTCATGAGAGTGAATAAATCTCATGAGATCTGATGGTTTTATAAATGGGTGTTCTCCTGCACAGGCTTTCTCCTTGCCTGCCACCATGTAGGATGTCCCTTTGCTCTTCCTTCACCTTCTGCCATGATTGTGAGGCCTCCCCAGCCACATGGAACTATGAGTCAATTAAACCTCTTTCCTTTATAAATTACCCAGTCTTGGGTATGTCTTCATTAGCAACGTGAGAATGGACTAATACAGATAGTTACTGTTATTATCCCCCTTTTATGGATGTATTACTCTGTTTTCACACTGCTGATAAAGACATATCCAAGACTGGGCAATTTACAAAAGATAGACGTGTACTGGACTTACAGTTCCACGTGCCTGGGGAGGCCTCACAATCATGGTGGAAGGTGAAAGCCATGTCTCACATGGTGGCAGACAAGAGAAGAGAGCTTGTGCAGGGAAATCTTTTTTTTTTTTTTTTGAGATGGAGTCTGGCTCTGTAGCCAGGCTGGAGTGCAGTGGTGCTATCTTGGCTCACTGCAACCTCCACCTCCCAAGTTCAAGCAATTCTCCTGCCTCAGCCTCCCAAGTTGCTGGGACTACAGACATGCACCACCACACCCAGCTAATCTTTGTATTATTAGTAGAGATGGGATTTCACCATGTCGGCCAAGATGGCCTCAATCTCTTGACCTCGTGATCCACCCGCCTCAGCCTCCCAAAGTGCTGGGATTACAGGTGCAAGCCACCGTGCCCAGCTGGAAACTCCCCTTTTTAAAACCATCAGATCTCATGAGACTCATTCACTATCATGAGAAAACACAGGAAAGACCCGCCCCCATAATTCAGTCACCCCCTACCAGGTTCCTCTCATGACACATGGGAATTTTGGGAGTTACAATTCAAGATGAGATTTGGGTGGGGACACAGCCAGACCATATTATCCCACCACTGGCCCCTCCCAAATCATATGTCCTTACATTTCAAAGCCAATGATGCCTCCCAACAGTCCCACAAAGTCTTAACTCATTTCAGCATTAACTCAAAAGTCCACAGTCCATTGTCTCATCGGAGACAAGCCAAGTCTCTTCCATCTATGAGCCTGTAAAATCAAAAACAAGTTATTTACTTCCTAGATACAGTGCAGGTACAGGCATTGTGTAAATACAGCTGTTCCAAATGGGAGAAATTGGCCGAAACAAAGGGGCTACAGGCCCCATGCAAGTCTGAAATCCAACAGGGCAGTCAAATCTTAAAAGTCAAAAGTGATCTCCTTTGACTCTATGTCTTGCATCCTGATCACACTCATGTAAGAGGTGGGTTTCCATGGTCTTGGGCAGCTCCACCCCTGTGGCTCTGCAGAGTATAGCCTCCCTTCTGGCTGCTTTCATGGGCTGGTGTTGAGTGTTTGTGGCTTTTCTGGGCACCCAGTGAAGCTGTCAGTGAATCTAGCATTCTGGGGTCTGAAGGACAGTGGCCCTCTTCTCACAGCTCCAATAGGCAGTGCCCTAGTAGGGACTCTGTGTGGGGGCTCTGACATGTGGGAATTATGGGACACGACACGTGGGAATTATGGGAGTTACAATTCAAGAAGAGATTTGTGTAGGGACACAGCCAAACCATATCAATGGATGAAACAACTGAGTCACAGAATTAATAACTTGCCCACGATCACACAGCTTATAAGAAGAACTCGGATTTGAGCCATCCTAATTTGGCCCTAGGTCCTGTGTTTTTAATAAATAACCTCTTGAAACCAAAGTGTAAACTGTAGACACAGGACCTTTTGCATAAATCTGCATATCCCTGCAGTTGTTTCTCAAACTGCAGGATAAAACCCTCTTGGTGAGTCCTGAAATCAAATTACTGTGTCATAACTAGCAATGCCAGATGACGTGTTAGTGGGTGCAGCACACCAGCATGGCACATATTTACATATGTAACTAACCTGCACATTGTGCACGTGTACCCTAAATCTTAAAGTATAATAATAATAAAGAAAGAAAGAAAAAAAATAGATTAATAGAACAGAAAACAGAAGAATTTATCGAAGTGTATTGCACATCGTATGTAAGTATCAGCTGATAAAACTTCTGTTTTAGTGAGCAGTCTCTGTTGATGTTCGTGCCTATTCCTACTGAGTCATAATGCTGATTTTACTGTGGGTTACAATCAAAACAATTGGGAAACCACTGCTTAAAGCCCATTCGGGGCAGCTCATGGTCTCCCTTTCCCTGATACTATCTTATAAACTAAAGTCACTTTCAATAAAACAATGCAGAAAGGACCTTGAACCAGAAGCAGTATCCAGTGGGACTTGACCATGATATTCATGCCATTTTGGAACCCATCTTAGGATCCCAAGAATATGATCATCCTCTTCTGCCTCAGCCCCCTGTTTGTTATATACCACAGTCTTGCTTCCCTGGGTGCCAGGCCATTGACAGTGCCACAGTATCTGTTCCCCATTTTCATAGTCATGGCTGTCTGAGATTCTGCAACAACTTAAAAGGGCAGAACTTAAGGAAATGGATTGTAGGATCTGAGTGGTCTCTATCTTTTCATGAAGACAAAGAACCTTGGGGAAAATAAAAAGGATGTCTCTTAAAGCTTGTCTCAGAGGTTTACATACGCATCCCCGCACAACGCCAGGATCATATTTCACAATGTTTACCCCATTTCAATCCCCATTGCCTTTTTATCCCCATCCCCTTAAGGCTCATCATGTACAGTTGTGCAGGTTGTACACAAACATACGTGATAGTCCTCCATATGACAGTGATGTGAAGGAAGGGAAGCCATCAGGAGATAGGACTTGTTGCTTGTTTCTGAAACCTCTTGTGACCCTTTGTGTCCCTTACTCTGCCCAACATATAAAAAACACTCCATCAATATGTATTATTTATATACACACACACTACATAAAATGGGAGCCTTTCCCATACCTTTTGTAGCAAGATTATTAAAGGCTTTTTATCGACTACTCTTATAGCAGGGAGGTGAATTTCTTCCTTCATAAAATTTTCCTAAGATTTCCTTTTATTCCTTTTTGCGGTGTGGGGGTGGAAAGGTCTTGCTCTGTCACCCAGGCTGGAATGCAGTGGCACAATCTTGGCTCACTGCAACCTGTGCCTCCCAGGATTAAGCAATCCTCCAACCTCAGATTTCCAAGTAGCTGGGATCATAGGCAAAACTGAGCCAATTTTTAATTTTTTTGTAGAGATGGGAATCTCATTATATTGCCCAGCCTGGTGTTGATCTCCTGGGCTTGAGTGATCCTCCCACCTCAGCCTCTCAAAGTGTTGCTGTTACAGGCATGAGCCACTGCACCTGGCCAAGATTTCTTTTAATTTCCCTACAACACTTGATTTCTAATTGGCAGCTCACAGGTTAGAATTACCGTGGCTCTAATTGTTTCATACGTCAATAGAACCCAGGGACAACTTCCCACCCCATCATATTACATTTTCTCAAAACCTCTGGATGGATGATTGACTTGTTCTCTTAGCCAAATTCTCTTTCTTCTCCTAGGAGACGGGATTAAAAACAACATTTTGAATCTTCAGGCAAAGGGGTTAAGTTACCTTTCGCAAGAAGTGCTTCATTGCTGGCAGATTTGGAAACAAAGGATCCGGGATTTAACTGTGAGTCAGGATTATATCGTGAACCTTCAAGAAGAGTGTTCCCCACATTTAGAAGATGTTTCCCTCAGTGAAGAGTGGGCAGGCATTTCTCTTCAGATTTCTGAAAATGAAAACTATGTAGTAAATGCCATTATCAAAAATCAAGATATCACAGCATGGCAAAGCCTGACACAGGTTCTTACCCCAGAATCGTGGAGGAAAGCCAACATAATGACCGAGCCCCAGAACTCTCAGGGAAGATATAAGGGAATTTACATGGAAGAGAAATTGTACAGACGTGCTCAGCATGATGACAGCCTCAGTTGGACCTCATGTGATCATCATGAGTCCCAAGAATGTAAAGGAGAGGACCCTGGTAGACATCCCAGCTGTGGGAAAAACTTGGGTATGAAATCAACGGTTGAAAAACGTAATGCGGCCCATGTATTACCACAGCCTTTCCCATGTAATAACTGTGGGGTGGCCTTTGCAGATGATACAGATCCTCATGTCCATCACAGCACTCACCTAGGAGAAAAATCTTATAAATGTGACCAGTATGGAAAGAACTTTAGTCAGAGCCAAGATCTTATCGTTCATTGTAAAACTCACTCTGGCAAGACTCCCTATGAATTCCACGAATGGCCTATGGGCTGCAAACAGAGCTCAGACCTTCCCAGATATCAGAAAGTCTCCTCAGGAGACAAACCCTACAAATGTAAAGAATGTGGCAAGGGCTTCAGGCGCAGCTCTTCCCTTCACAACCATCATCGAGTCCACACAGGGGAGATGCCCTACAAATGCGATGAATGTGGGAAAGGGTTTGGATTTAGGTCACTTCTTTGTATTCATCAGGGAGTACACACAGGGAAAAAGCCCTATAAATGTGAAGAGTGTGGGAAGGGCTTTGATCAGAGCTCCAACCTTCTTGTCCATCAGAGAGTCCACACTGGAGAGAAGCCCTACAAATGCAGTGAGTGTGGCAAGTGCTTTAGTTCAAGCTCCGTTCTTCAAGTCCACTGGAGGTTTCACACAGGGGAGAAACCATATAGGTGTGGTGAGTGTGGAAAGGGCTTCAGCCAATGTACACACCTTCACATTCACCAGAGAGTCCACACAGGGGAGAAACCATACAAATGCAATGTGTGTGGAAAGGATTTTGCGTATAGCTCTGTTCTTCACACTCATCAGAGAGTTCACACTGGAGAAAAACCATATAAATGTGAAGTGTGTGGAAAGTGCTTCAGTTACAGTTCATATTTTCACTTACATCAAAGAGATCACATCAGAGAGAAACCATATAAATGTGATGAGTGTGGTAAAGGCTTCAGCCGGAATTCAGATCTTAATGTTCACCTCAGAGTCCACACAGGAGAGAGGCCCTATAAGTGTAAGGCATGTGGTAAGGGCTTCAGTCGTAATTCATACCTCCTTGCCCATCAGAGAGTGCATATAGATGAGACACAGTACACACACTGTGAGCGTGGAAAGGACCTTCTGACTCATCAAAGACTACATGAGCAGAGAGAAACATTATAAATGTAGTAAGTCAGGGTTCAATTAGTAAAACAGAAGCCACACTGTATTCCAGATGATAGAGGCTTACTCAGCCTGTGGGAGGGCTAGGGGAGCAAAAGACAGGGACACTGCCATCGATAATGTCAGCCTGCAGCACTGAAGTGTGCCAGGCAAGGACTGTGGATTTCAAGAACTTCTGTGAAGCTCCCATCAACTGCTGTATGCTACAATGGCAAAGAGGTTACTTTTGACAAATGGGTGGTTTGTGGTAGTGGTTGTAGTTAGTGGTCAAATTTCCATTAAAGGGTGTGTCCAGGAAGGAAATTCTAATTGGGATGATCATGGTAAGGTCTTCAGTTCAGCCAACGTCTTTAGATTTTTTTTTAGTCCCCAGTAGAAAAATACTCTCTGTATGAAGAACATTCAAAAGTGTGCTCAAAAATGAAACCCATGCTCTTACTATGAAAGAACGTTAGTACCCAGGTTTTCCATGAGATTCTCTACACAGGCAAGAAGCTCCATAGAAGTGGCATTTGAAGGGTGTGGCAGAGGCAGTGCTGTGTTTATCACACTGGTTCCATTTCCTTGCAAATAAGAAGTCTATTTCCCAGTAACCCTTGCAGTTAAGAGTGTGCCCATGTGATTGAGTTCTAGCCAATGGAGTGTGAGCAAAAGTGATATAAGCCACTTTCAGGTCTAGCCTTTACAAACATCCTCAGGCTTCTCTATCCCTGCCAAGGTGACCTTGGAGGCTGCTTATTCCAGACTGGGTTGATAGAAGGTCACTACTTCATCTGTGTTGGATTTCTTTTTAGAGTAAGAAATAAAAGTTCATTGTGTCTCACCACTGAGATTTTTGGTGGTTTATTTATTACTGCAGCATTGCCTAGGCTATCCTGACTAGCATGGAGGGATTTTATAGCAATATGTTTCATTGTCATTGGAGTCCACATACAGAAGTAACATAATTCAGAGTTCAAAACTTTTAAATCTTTAAGGCTTGATGTGGCAGTGCAACCATCTAAAATGGTATGGATGGGACTTCTTCAGTGATAACCTTCATTCATTGGTGAGTACACCAAAGAGAAATGTTCCAGATGATATAGCTGTGGTAAAACTTTACTGAAAAGTATAACCCACCGACGTAAGAAATCTCATATAATAGAGAAACTCTATAATGTGGGATGCTGAATAGGTTTGTCAGCTCACACCTTAAATGCGATTAAAAATTAACTAGAATAGGTGTTCTGTGGTTAGTCTTAATAAAATTAATTGAATAAAATCAACATTTACTAAAGTGACCAACAACATGTAAAAAACCAACAGTGTTCATTGCAGACTGATGCAGTCTTCTTCTCAGCAGACCTGTATAATAATGGGTTTTTAAAGGATGCTCTTTCTGTCAGTTTCCCCCCAAATTTGTCATTTAATTGGGGATAATAGATGAATTCGAGAGGAGATCTCTTTGCTTTTTTTTTTTTTTTTTTTTTTTGGAAACAGGGTCTTGCTGTGTCACCCAGGTGGCTGGAGTGCAGTGGCCTGATCATTGCTCGCTGAAGCCTTGAACTCCTGGCTTCAGTGATCCTCCTGCCTCAGCCTCCTGAGTAGCTGGGACTACAGACATACACCACCGTGTTCAGCTGATGTTTTCTTTAAAAATTGTACTTGTAGAGATGGGGTCTTACTTTGTTGCCCAGGTTAGTCTCAAACTTCTGGTTTCAAGCGATCCTCCTACCTCAGCTTCCCAAAGTGCAGGGATTACAGGTTTGGGCCACTGCACTCATCCCACAAGGTGTTTTTTTTTTCCTTCAAAAACAGTGTCCTTTTTTGTTTTAATTGACTTATAGGTTTCTTCATTTGGATCATGGTTTATTCCTAGTTTTTCTTGCATTACAGTTTCCTGCTAGTTATAGTTTGTAAACAGAACAGCCATTCAAGTGCAAATAAAACCATCCCTGAAGTGTCATTTTCTTACTGATCAGGTGGATAATAGTGAAATATTTTAAAAATTCTATGTCAGTAGAAATGAGGAAATGAGTGTTCTTACATAAGTTGGTGGGGGAAAGAAAAACAGGTACAAAGTTGCTGGAGAGGATCTTGTCTATATGTATCATATGTACAATGTGCATTGTCTTTGAGCCAATGATCCTGCTTCTCAGAATGTATTTTTAGGATGTAATTACATGAGTGGGGAAAATATGGTTTCAGAAAGAAATATGTTCTAAGAATTTTGCAATGAGAAGACTGTAAACAACCTGAAGGTTCATGTATAAGAGATTGAGTAAATTAGGGCATCCCATATAATGGAATAACATGGCTCCATCAACAATGATCTAGACCTATAAAAATGTCCACATGTTATTGTCCATGTCCACCACATACTCCAGTACTCCTACTTGCAAACATTAAGTTAGAGAAAAAATCCGGGATACACATTATCCTAGGAAGCTTTTGGGGTTTAGAATGGGTGCAACATTCCTTCATGACAGAATCAGCCCTCAGTGTTGGTGGAGGTGTCCCAGGCAATCCTCTAGTTTGGCCGGGAGCAGCGCTTGCATATCACATTAAGCTTTTTAAATATATGATGCTAACAGGAATGTCTCCCTACTTCACAAAATTGTTTGCTTTTCCTCTTGTAGCAAAGTAGCATGGAAAAAGCAGAAATTAGTCTAGCTCCCAATCAGTGGGAGCCAATCTCATTTACAAATGAAGATGCAGAGATCCTAAATAAATATGAGCATGTCAAATCCAATGATTTGATAAAAGCGTAACAGACTCGCTCATGTATAATTTATCCTAAATATGCTTATCAGCTTCTGCCTCATAACACACACAAGAACTGAGTAGCTCTAAATACATATTTATTTAGCTCATGATGTGTGAGCTGGCAAGTTCAACTGGGCTTAGCTGGGCAGTTCTGGTGTGGGACATGCTAGATTATCTTAACTGGGCTTTGTACATGCATCTGCAGTCAGCTGATGGTTCATCTGGGCCTGGCTGTTTTATGATGGTCATAGATGAGACAACGAAGTTCTCTCTGTCATCATGGTCTCTCACCCTCCAGAAGACCAATCGAGGGTTGGTCCCATAGTGCCAGGGTTTCAAGGGCAAAAGCTGTGATCTCTTAAGGCCTCATCAGGGAACAGGCTCAATGATACTTTCACCACATTTTAATGATTAAAGCAAGTCACAACACTGGCCCAGATTCATGGGGTGAGATTAAGACAAAATAAAAAATGTTGAGACATAATCATTGGAAGGAAAAGGAAGATACTATTTTTATGCTAGAGAATAATGTTATTTACTTATAAAATTCAAATCCACCTGTAAAATTTGACCAATTGAAGGCTGTTTTAAAATTATCGGGTCAACAAATTGGTTTCACACGAAATTGGCATGTGAAAATTCATAGCATTACTATGTAAGAGTCTTTTATAAAATGTAGCCAAAATGTTTCATTCACAATAACAATTGTGTGCAATGACCAGAATTGTCCAAAGGTAATTCTGGGAGTTCCCTTTGGGATGCCTAGGTGAGGAGCTATCTGGGGCCTCAGACTCCCACATTCTTCAGTGGGAAGGGCTTTACATGAACTCAACTTCCCAGCGGCTTTCTCTTCCTGATGGGAGGTGTTAGAACCTGGCTTTCTCATGCAACTTCTGTGAAGCTCTGACAACTAAAGCCAGATTGTCTGCTTTAGTTAAGTAGTCCAGATTACCTGCATAGTCAATTTGTTCCCTCACCAACATGGATGCCTTCACAATTGCTCTTTAAGAAGGATAAAAACATAGCGGTGAGGTGTGGTCTATTTCCTGCTTCACCCAGGCCCTGGTGCTTCTTCAAGTGGTATGAGAAATTGTGGTCCTGTGCCTTCTCTTCCAGACCCTTAGCTTACATGTTTTCCCTATAAAACTTAGTCCTAATCCCAGCACTTTGGGAGGCCAAGGTGGCTGAATCACAAGATCAGGAGTTTGAGACCAGCCTGGCCAACATAGTGAAACCCCGTCTCTACTAAAAATACACAAAATTAGCTGGGCATAGTGGCAGGCACCTGTAATCCCAGCTACTCAGGAGGCTGAGGCAGGAGAATCGCTTGAGCACAGGAGGTGGAGGTTGCAATGAGCCAAGATCGCACCACTGCACTCCAGCCCAGGCGACAGGGCAAGACTCTGTCTCAAAAAAAAAAAAAAAAAAAAAAAAGTCCCTTATGTGTGATGATAAAATTTGATGAAGAGCAACACTGGTGGACTTACATTACCAGAGATCAACATTTATTATAAATTTTCTATAATTAATACAGTGTGGTATTCGCTCAGGAGAGAAAAAATAGATCAATGGAAAAGAATTGGGAGCCCAAAAACAGATCCACATGTATACAGTGAGTTAGTTTATTAGCCTTGAAATATGTTGGAGAAATAATAGTCATTTTAATAACTGATGCTGGGTTATCAGTTATACTGATAACTACTACTTAACACTACTTAACACTAGCTCTTCATACAACTACAGGCAATAAATACAAATAGCATGCAGCTGGCAGACTGGGCCCAGTGGCTATGCCTCCACTAGACTGCCCATAGAAGCATAATAACAGCTACCGAAGATGTCTGATCTGTCTTGTCTTTTTTTTCAGGTATAATTTACATAAAGTGCAGACTTTAACTACATTTAAGTTTTAACAAATGTACATATCCTTGTAAATAATGCCCATTCAACATGTTAAACATTTTCTTTACCCCAAAATTTCCCTTGTGCCCCTTTCCCTTCATTTCTTTCCAAAAAAGGATATAATCACTGTTTTGCTTTCTATCACCATATGTTGGTTTTGCCTATTCTTGAACTTTATATAAATGAAATCATACTGTAATATACTCTTGCGTTTGGCTTTTTTTTCATTCAACATGGTTTTCTAAATTTGTAATTTATAATAAATAGAGTATTGCATATTTTATTATTGTTTATAAATTGTGTTCTGAAAACATTCTATATTAGTAAAATTTATAGTAAACTTATATAATGTACGTATGTTTCTTTCTGGAGAGCCATTTATTAAACATTTATTAGCATACCACTCACAAAGGAGATGTAACCCCAGAATTGGCCTTTTTCTTCTGTAGTCAACTGGCTTTGAAGTAGAATGTAACATTAGTTATTATTCCTCATTCCCCACTCATTCTCTGTATCTGCTTCTCTTATTTTTTTTCTTTTATTTTTCTGCAGACACTATGGTTACTTAAGTATCTACTTCTCTTTTTCTGCATGTCTTTGAGTAGAGACACTGGTCACCTTTGTTCCCCACTGTCTTTTCAAAGGTGCGTACGCGTTAGGGAACAAAAATATAGTGTCTTCCTCTGGAGCAGCAAATTTGTTTATGGACCACTCCAGTGAAGACAGTGTCTCCCTCTGGGGTGAAGGGCAGTGGTTTTGTTCCCACTGCCTATCATAGAAGATTCAGGTTTCCTAAGCTTAGAGTTCTATTCCTACAACGCAGCCCGCTAGGTATGCAAGCAGCACCTGGCCTTTCACGTCACTCTATGGGATTAGAGTGGTAAAAACCATTGCAAAGGATGACACTCTGGCTACTGCTGTGGTTGTGACTAATAAAGTCCTTTGTCTCAGAGCCAGGAGTCTCTTGTCTTGTGCCAGCATCTGTGAGACTGTCAGGCTAACTTGTGAGCTTGTAAATTGGTTCCTTTCAGATCCTTGGTTTTGATGGAAATAAATGTCTCTTAATCTTAGATGCAAACTAGAGCTACCTGGAATGCTTTCGGCTTTTTACAATTTTTTTCTGGTGAAATATACATAACATGAAATTTACCATCTTAACCATTTTTAAGTATATAGCTCAGTAGTGTTAAGTACATTTACATTGTTGTAAAACCAATCTCCAAAACTCATTTTATCTTGCAAAACTAAAACTCTATCCCATTCAACTCTATCCCATTCAACAGCAACCCTCAATTTTCCCCTCCTCCCAGCCACTGGCAGCCACTATACTTTGTGTCTCTATGCATTTGACTTCTCTGAGTCACGTAAATGGAATCATACACTATTTGTCCTTTTTTTTTTCTTTTTCTTTTTCTTTTTCTTTTTTTTTTTTTTTTGAGACAGAGTCTCTCTCTGTCACCCAGGCTGGAGTGCAGTGGTGAGATCTCGGCTCACTGCAAGCTCTGCCTCCAGGGTTTACGCCATCCTCCTGCTTCAGCCTCCCGAGTAGCTGGGACTACAGGCGCATGCCGCCACGCCCGGCTAATTTTTTGTATTTTTAGTAGAGACAGGGTTTCACCATGTTAGCCAGGATGGTCTCGATCTCCTGACCTTGTGATCCGCCCGCCTCGACCCCCCAGAGTGCCGGGATTACAGGCGTGAGCCACCATGACCAGCCCAGTATTTGTCTTTTTGTGACTGGCTTATTTAACTTACCATAATGTCCTTAAGGTTTATTTGTGTTGTCGAATGTGTCAGAATTTTCTTCCTTTGTACACTTGGGTTTCTTCCACTTTTTGGCTATTGTGAATAATGCTGTTATGAACATAGGAGTACAAATATCTCTTCAAGACCTTGCTTTCAATTCTTTTGGACACATACCCAGAAGTGGAATTGCTGGATCATATGGTAATTGTATTTTCAATTTTTTCAGGATCTGCCATTCTGTTTTCTATAGAAGCTGCCACCATTTAACATAATGTTTTTAAGTTCATTTATATTATTATGCTTATCAGTCTTCTTTTTATGTTCAGAGTAATCAGGAAATTACCACAGTTTGCTCATTCTTATGTTGGTGAACATTTGTTTCCAGGTTTTGGAAATTTTGGATAAAGCTACTAAGAATATTCTTGTATTAGCCTTTTTGCAGACATATGCTTTGATTTCTCTTGGGTAAATACCTAGGAGTGGAATTGCTGTCATAGGCTAAGTGTATGTTATCTTTATGAAGAATTGCCTGTCCTTGTCTATTAACATAAAGAATGAGGTACTTTATTGTTCACTTAAAATCTTTATGTGGTTGGGCTGTGTGTGGTGGCACATACCTGTCACATACCTGTAGTCCCAGTTACTGGGGAGGCAGAAGGATCACTTGAGGGCAGGAGTTTGAGGCTATTGGATGCTACAATCGTGACTGTGAATAGCCACTGCACTCTAGACTGGGCAACTTAGCTAAAAAAATTTATGTGGTTAAAATATCAATGTGTTTATGAAATTTTTGTATAATGATTTTTTAAAAGAAAACTTTCCCATACTCCCAGGCACTAATTATTTTCAAAACATGAAGACTATGTTTTAAATGGTGTCAGGCACAAATCTAATTTTAATTTTTTCCAATTGGATAGTCAAGGCTTTCAACATTTATTGATGAGTCCCTTTTTTATTTACTGATCTTAAAGGTCACATTTATACTACACTAGGTATATCCATTCCTGGAGTCTCCTATCTTTTATGTTTATTACTGAAATCTCTGACCATTTTTTTTTTTTTTTTGAGATAGAGTCTTGTTCTGTCACCAGGCTGGAATGCAGTGGCACGATCTTGGCTCACTGCAACATCCGCCTCCCAGGTTCAAGTGATTCTCCTGCCTCAGCCTCCTGAGTAGCTGGGATTACAGGCACCCGCCACCATGCCCAGCTAGTTTTTGTATTTTTAGCAGAGATCAGGTTTCATCATGTTGGCCAAGATGGTCTCCTGACCTCATGATCCACCCAGCTCGGCCTCCCAAAGTGCTGGGATTACAGGCGTGAGCCGCCACCATACCCAGCCCATTTTTGTTTATTCTCAAACCACTATCTCACAGCTTTAAGAATTATACTTTTGGTACAAGGCAAGTAACAGTGAATATGCTAAGTGTATGTTTAACTTTACCATTTCTAAAAATGACTATACCACTTCATACTTCCATTAGCAGTGAATGCAAGATCACTTGTTCTACATGCTAACCAACACTTGGGATTTTTAGTCATTGGGATTATTTGTAGTGTTATCTCATTGTGGTTTAATTAGCATTTCCCTGATAAGTAATGAGGTGGTTATCAGTCATTTTATCATGTGCTGATTGGTCATTTTATATCTTCTTTGGAAAAGAACTTTTGAAAGTTTTGCTTGTTTTTTGTTAGTTTGGTTCCTTACTGTTGAGTTGTAAGATTTCTCTTTTTTTTAATTATACTTTAAGTTTTAGGGTACATGTGCACAACGTGCAGGTTGGTTACATATGTATACATGTGCCATGTTGGTGTGCTGCACCCAGTAACTCATCATTTAACATTAGGTATATCTCCTAATGCTATCCCTCCCCCCTCCCCCCTCCCCCCGCCCCACAACAGGCCCCGGTGTGTGATGTTCCCCTTCCTGTGTCCATGTGTTCTCATTGTTCAATTCCCACCTATGAGTGAGAATATGCGGTGTTTGGTTTTTTGTCCTTGCGATGGTTTGCTGAGAATGATGGTTTCCAGCTTCATCCATGTCCCTACAAAGGACATGAACTCATCATTTTTTATGGCTACTGGGTATATACCCAATGGATTATAAATCATGCTGCTATAAAGACACATGCACACGTATGTTTATTGCAGCACTATTCACAATAGCAAAGACTTGGAACCAACCCAAATGTCCAACAATGATAAACTGGATTAAGAAAATGTGGCACATATACACCATGGAATACTATGCAGCCATAAAAAATGATGAGTTGTAAGATTTCTTAATATAGCCTAGATACCAATCCTTTCTCAGATAGATACATTATGAATATTTTTTCCTAGTCTTGGCTTGCCTCTTCATTTTGTTAATAATGTCTTTAAGAGAGTAAGTTAATTTGATGAAGTTCTGGTTTATCTTTTTAAATTAGATTTTGTGCTCTTTTTGGCCTACCTATGAAATCTTTTTTTTGCCTATCCCAAGGTTTTGAAAATTTTCTCCTATGTTTTCTTGTATAACATTTGTAGTTTTAGGTTTTCATTTAGGTCTGTTACCTATTTTGAGTTCTTTTTGTGTATGATGTGAGGTAAGTGTTGAGGTTCATAATTTTCAAATAGATGTCTAGTTGTTCTAGTGCTATTTTTTTAAACAACTTTCCCCCATTGAATTATCTTTGTGGCTGCACTGAAAATAAACTGATCATATATACTTGGCTCTATTTTCTGGAATCACCCTGTTCCATTGATTTATATAAATATTGTTAAGCCATTACTATGTCTTGACTACTGGAGCTTTAGAGTAAGTTTTAAAATCTGATACTGTTATTCCTCTAATGATGTTCTTCCTTTTCAAAACAATTTTGACTATTCTAGTTTTTTTAGTTAGTTGTTTTTTGCATTTCAACGTAAATCTTAATATTAGTTTCTGCAAAAAGCCTGCTGTAAATTTGATTGATATTGTGTTGACTTTATAGATCAATTTGGAATTCTGGTTCTGGGTAAGACAGAGTAAGCCAGTTGCTGGGAAATTCTGGCCTAATGGCTAAATATGGTGTATTGACTGTTTTTGTATGCCCCATGAAGTAATAATGGCTTTTACATTTTTTATTGAGACAGGGTCTCACTCCATCGCCCAGGCTGGAGTGCAGTGGCATTATCTTGGCTCACTGCAGCATCAGCCTCCTGGGATCAAAGAATCCTCTTACCTTAACTTCCTGAGTAGCTGGGACTATAAGCATGCACCACCATGTCCAGCTAATTTTTGCATTTTTGTGGAGATGGGGTTTTACCATGTTGCCCAGGCTGGTCTCAAACTCCTGAGCTCAAGCATTCTGCCCTCCTTGGCCTCCCAAAGTGCTGGGATTACAGGTGTGAGCCACCGCACCCAGCCTACATTTTTAAATAGTCAAAAAAATCAAAAGAAGAATATTTTATGACATATGATAAGTATGTAAAATTCAAATTTCAGCATTCATAAATTTTGGTTGAAACACAGTCATGCTTATTTGTTTACATATTGTCTATGGCTGTTTTCATGTTATATTGGTACAGTTGAGTACTTATGATAGAGACCATATATAATGTTCTCATCACTTCATACTGCTACTCAGTGTATCATAAACCTCAGTAACACAGTTATTACAAGTTAACAGATTTTTGAGTGCCATATGTATCACTCTACTTGATATTTCATTTATTTTGCATATCCATCATGTCAAAACAAGAAGAGAAAATCAAATTTTGAATGTTATGCTTTTAAGGTATAGTAAAGTGTAGATTATTTTGTTATAGAATCAGACGGCTGACTATTGTGTTTGTTTTGCAGTGACAGATAGCTGTACAAGAAGAAAAATAATAACATTAATACTGCCAGATTAGAAACTTTTCCCAATATTTCCAAATCACAGATAATTATGGCCAAAATGGAATATCTTATCAAAGCCGAATTACTTTTAAAAAACAGCGAATGAAAATGAGGCTATAACCAAAGTAAGTTTTAGAGTGGCTAATCTGTTAGTCAAGCAAGAAAAGTTATTTACTGATGATGAGTTAGTTGAATCATATTTTGCAGCAGCTGAAGAAATGTGTCCATATAAATTTGTCTAAGACTATAAGCCTTTTGACAAGGACAGTTTCTTAAAAACTTGAGAACCTTGGGAGCAGCACTGATAGTCACTTTAAAAACAAGATCATAAAAAATTCCCAATTATTGTTGCCAGTGATGGTGAAAATTTATCAGCTATAAGTGAACACAAAACAAAACAAAAATGAAACACAAAATTAGAAGAAAATTAAAATGCGAAAAACAGAGGATCAACAAATTTCTATTGTCACTTTGTATTTACCTCTGGGAGCCAAGAAACAATGCAACTGGGCTTAAGACCATCACTGAGGTGTAATTTTCTGGTGACAAACATTACCTGGATTCGTTACATGAATCTATTTGGCATCTCTGTGGGACCCCCAAAACTGTTAAAAAAATAATTTTCGAAAAATAAAATCATAACTCTTACACAGATATGAAAAGACCAGCTAGGGAGTGATAGACTATTTGCAAATCATGTATATGCAAAAGTCTTGTATAGAGAACATATAAAGAACTCTCAAAACTCAATAAGAAAACAATCCAATTTTTTAAGCTAAAAGATTTAAACAAACACTTCAATGAAAAAGATATACATATGACAAAGAAGCACATGCAAAGATAATCAACATCATTAGTCATTAGGGAAATATAAATCAAGACCACAATGAAATATCACTACACATCTATTAGAACAGCTAAAATAAAAAATAGCAACAATGTCAAATTCTGGCAAGGATGTAAAGAGACTCGAAGTCTCATAAATTTCTGTTGGGAATGTAAAGTAGTAGAGCCACTCCAGAAAACAGTTTGGCAGTTCCTTAAAAAATTAAACCTATCCTTACCTTACAACCCCATAACTTCACTCCTGGACATATTCTCCAGAGAAATGAAAACTTACATACACAAACAAATGCACACAAACCTGTACATGAATGTTCATAGTAGCTTTATTCATAATGGAAAAAAAGTGGAAACAACTAAAATGTTCCTTAATAGGTAAATGTTAAACAAACTGTGGTACATCCATACCGTGGAATACTACTCAGCAATAAAAAGGAATGGACTATTGATACACAACTTAGATGGGTCTTAAGATAATTATGCTAAGTGAAAAACGTGAATCTATTTTATGGTTCTAGTTGTATAACATTCTTGAAATTACCAAATTATAGAAATGGAAAGCAGATTAGTTGCTTCCAGATATCAGGAATGGTGGAAGGGAGGGGACTGGGTGTGACTATCAAGATGTAGCAAGAAGGAGGGCTTTGCAGTGATGGAATACTTATTTATCTTGATTGTGGTAGTAGCTATATCAATCTACAAGTGATAACATACAACTACACATATTCATGGTGTCAATATAATTCCCTGGTTTCAATGTTGTATTTTAATTAAGGACAGTATAATCACTGGGTGAAACTGGGTGAAGGGTACATGGGACCTCTTTCTACTATCTTTGCAATTTCATATAAATCTGTGATTATTTTAAAATAAAAAGTTTAAAAAATAATTGGATGCTTAGGATCTCTACAGAGGATTTTATTTATTTTTGCCAGATTTACAAGCAATACAGGGTCAGGGATTGAGTTGACTTGGATTTGGGTTTGAATAACTGCCAGGTTGGGCCTACTTCCCATTCAGCTTTATTCCTAGGATGCAGCCCTTTGGTGTTCCATACACAAAACCCCAGTGATTTTTTTTTTTTTTTTTTTTTGAGACAGAGTCTCCCTCTGTAGCCTAGGCTGGAGTGCAATGGTACCATCTCGGCTCACTGCAACCTCTGCTTCCCGGGTTGAAGTGATTCTCCTGCCTCAGCCTCCTGAGTAGCTGGGACTACAGGTGTGCGCCACCACACCCGGCTAATTTTTGTATTTTTAGTAGAGACAGGGTTTCACTGTGTTAGCCAGCATGGTCTCAATCTCCTGACCTCATGATCCGCCCACCTTGGCCTCCCAAAGTGCTGGGATTACAGGCGTGAGCCACTGCGCCCAAGTGATTTTTTAAACCATGGTTATCCACTCCACCTTTGGCAGGTCCTAGACTCCAACTATCAGCTTCTCAGGTTTTTACCATAAGGAATTGGCAAATTCCACCTCAAACTTTTTTTGAGATAAAAGTGGTCTCAAATACCTAGCTTACCTTAATGGATTTTTTGCAGAGACAAGGTCTTACAATATTGCCCAGGCTGGTCTCAAACTCCTTGACTCAAGCAGTCCTCCCACCTCAGCCTCCCAAAGTGCTGGAGATTACAGGTATGAGCCATTGTACTCAAGTCTAGAATCTGATTTGTTATGATGGTTTCCATATTTTAATCTGTCTCTTTTTGCATATTTGCTGTTATTTATTTTTGTCTTTCTCTTCAGAGGGAAACTTGCTGAGGATTTGAATTGACTTTAGTTGAAGAGAATATGGTTTCTGTTTCAAATATTTCCAGTCCCTTCTATGAAGTATTGCAAAAACCAATAACTTGCATTTAATCTAGACTTTACATCAAATTTCTACTTTACAGAACATTTAAAAGAGCAGAGGAGAAAATATAGGGAAGGCTTTAGACAAATCCAGAATTTAGACACCTAATTTGACATTTTTATTTCCCCAACAGTTCAAGGAAATAAAAAATGGTGGTGGTGGTGCTGTGTGTGGGAGGGTCGGGGTGGGGGCATAGTTTTAGAGTAAATGACTTTCTGGTGAGATAACAATCAAATACAATGGATCAAAATGTTCGGATAATGACTGGAATAAACCAGCTGTAAAAGCATTTTCCCCCCAAAAAACAGATTCAAATTGGCATGCATATTAGATAATACTAAGATTTGTTAATTTTATCTCATAAGGTAACGGTTTTGTGGTTATGTTAAAACATCATTATTTTTAAGTGATACAGATAGTATTGGGAAGGGATAAGGCCAGGGATCTGCTTTAAAATATTTCAGTAACAAAATTCAATAGTCATAGATATTGCCTGTGTGGCAAAATGTTGGGAAGTGTTGAATTTAGGGTAGGTGCATTTGGTGTTTCATGTTATCATTTCCTTTTTTCTTTTTTTTTTATTTATTACTATTATTTTTTTTGAGACGGAGTCTCCTCTGTCGCCCAGGCTGGAGTGCAGTGGCGTGATCTCAGCTCACTGCAAGCTCCGCCTTTTTGTGTTAATATCGAAAGTTTCATTAAAAATTTTTTTTCCTGCCCAGAAGGAAAGTGGTAAGTACATACTTCCTGTAGTTTGACTTGTTATAGTTATCTGGAGTCCGTCTCCCATCTCAACCTACCCACCTCTTCCTGAATAACCATAAATTCACATGGCTTAAACTGATTTGTAGAAAAGATACGTTCATGTTAAATATATGAGGTCAACGGGCAACAGAGGAATAGCCAATTCCAAGCCTGATTTGAACTCAAAAAATTTCAAGAAAGGAGCCATTTTCCATATCATATTTTCTAAATTTCCTGCCAGTACAGCTTCCTTCATTTTTCAGATACAACTTGCTCTTTCTGTGCTTGATTTCAAGACTGATTTGTCCTTGGAATTCCTTGTGGATTCTTGTCATCTTGAAATAAATTGTCCATGCCAGATAGCATAAGCAGAGGTCTAGATGACTACAGGCACATATAAAGAGGCAACGGAGTTAAACCACGTCTGGAGATTCCATATTCCTTAAGGTTCTGTCCAGTGGACAGCCCAACTCCCTTTTAGAATCTTGTTTTTTCTCATACTCATCACTTTTCCGCTAAAGCGTGTTTCTTTTCATACTAAAGCCTTTGCTTTTATCCCCAAATAGTCATACTTTCTTTATATTTCCACATACTCGTTTTTTCTTGAGGAAAAAAAAATTACAAAAATAAAAAGTCCAAGCACTAATCGCGCCACAGAAGTGACCTTCAGTTTGAACGCACTTAACTAACAGAATGAGCTGTAGGAAGGTGGAAGCACTAGCGTGCTGGGTATTCTGGGAACTGTAGTCGGAAGTATTTTCGCCCAGGCTGGTGGAGTCCTTGTCGTCGTTCCGCTTAAACATTCTGGGAAGTGTGGGTCAGACGTTTCATATAGTCGACAACACTTCCTCTTCGGGACTACAGGGTGTGGCCCTCTGGTGTGACTCCTGACTCTGGGAAGTGAGTCGCAGGAACTTCCGCTCCAGGGAAAGTTGCGGCCATCATGCTGCATGCAAGACTTGAGCCTTAGAGACCCTTCTGCGCCTCCTCAGCCTGGGTGAGGGACCAAAGATGGTCAAGGCCCTCTGTCTTGAGGAGGAAAAGTGGCAGCCGGTGGAGGATTAGGGTTGGAAATGTTTGCGTTTCCCTCGACTCAGTAGAGCTTTCCAGTGTTACGGGAGGTTCCCGAGTCCCAGGCTGGGGAATGAGGCAGGGTCTTGCATCATTGGGTTTGATGGTTTCTTGGGTCCTGTACTCCCGTAGCCCTTCTGTTGGACCCACCAATCAGCATTGCCGCTTCCTTGGGAAGTTTTTGAAGCGTTGGAAATATTCTGCAACTTGATTGTGTTGGTAGTTACATGTCTGTACATATTTGTTAAAACTCATTGAACTATACACTTAAAAATAGTAGCCTTTATAATGTATGTACATTGCACTTCAATAAATATGGCTTTTTAAAAGTGTCTGGAACTTTTTTTTTTTTTTTAAGTGGCAGGACCTCATTACAAGTAAGTTCAGAACTAAGTTAGGACTTACCTATAATCCTACTAGCACCACCCTCATGTAACATTTTCATTTTGGTTTATTTTATACTTATGTAGAGATGTGCTTTTTATTAAATAATGTGTAAATTTTAAATTAGTATTTCAGTTAGTAATATACCATAAGTTAATTTTGCTGTTTCCCACGTTCTTCATAACGTTCATCTTTAATGATTGTGTTGTATTCTATTGAGTGAATTTGCACTTGTTAAACCTGGGCATCTGGGATGTGTTTAAAAATTATTCTCATAGTTTTATGTATATATGAAATGTTTTACAATTTAAGAGATATATACTGACTTCCATGCCTCTGGTCGTCTTTTTTGTCTATCCTACTTGGGGTATTCATTTCCATGGTCATACTATAGGCCTTAAATTAGCAATAGCTGCAATCCCTCCATAGTCTCCATTTAAGGCATTACAGTCTGCTCTACATATTCTCTTGCCAGATCTTCCTATGGTTTACTGTCATATTGACTTCATCAATTTCTACAATTCATTGATCCTACTGCATTTTCAATATCCCTTGTTCATCTCATATCCTCAATACCAACCAAATCTTTTCTCTTCTTTCTAGTATAAACAGAAGACTGACACTTACATCTAATTGTTTCAAAATATTGTCCCATGACAACCATAGACTTAAGGAACATTAAGAAAGTATTTTGATTTTCCCCCATAATTTTATAGAAGAGACATGCAGGGTCAAAGGGATTATGAATGGATGCTCTGTGAGCCAGTCAATAGCATATGTCCCAAAGGCTACAGGTTAAGTATATTACCTGGCCCAGCAGCTTTAAAATCATCTTTTGGTCTCCTACTCTAGAGAGTGAACTTCAGTTCAGGCACCAGTGATGCTATTATGTGAGGAATATTGACTTGCCTCTGTTTTTGTTTTTAAATAACATAAGATTTGGTATCAGTTATCACTTAAAAGTTATTTGTGAGACACTTTCTCAGTGTATGTGACCTTGGCTGGGAAGCATTGCTTTAGAGGTACAGAGATCAGAGACCAGATAACTTTGATAAGTCGGTATGTGCAATGGTAGAAGTATTTTAAACATGCCATGAAAGGGGATATTTCAATTCATGGCATCTATTTTGGGGGGAAAATGCTCTCAAATACTATTGGCTCAGTCAATCAGATCACTTGTTTTGGGATAGGTTTGGTAATATGACTCTATGCACTGTGCATACTCTTAGATTCAAGGGTCTCCATTCAAGGAATTTATATTATGGTAACACTCATTTAAAGATCAAGAACAAATGGACATGGGTGTTCACTAAAGCATACTTTTGTGAACCCAAAAGTATGTGAGACAGGTCTCAATGAATTTAGAACATTTAGTTTGCCAAGGTTAAGTACACACCTGTGACACAGCCTTAGGAGGTCCTGACAACATGTGCCCAAAGTGGTCAGGGCACAGCTTGATTTTATACATTTTAGGGAGAAATCAGGCATCAAACAGTATGTGTAAGTTATACATTGCTTAAGTCCAGAAAGGCAGGACAATCTCGAATGGGAGTGGGAGCTTCTATATCATAGGTAGATAAGAGACAAACAGTGGCATTATTTTGAGGCTCTGATTAGCCTTTTACTGAATACAAAACTCACAAGTGAGAGGTGGGTAGACGAATAGTGACTTAGGTCTTAATGTTGCTTAGTGAATCTGCATTACTACATAAACAATAGGGAAGAGGAAGCAATCAGATATGCATTTGTTTCAGGTGAACAGAGGAATGACTTTGAGTTCTGTCTGTCCTTTATCCCACACCTGTGAAGATAAGCTATCAATTTACATTACCAGGGTGAAATTCAACAGAAATGCTTTTGGATAAAGATGTTCAGGCCCACAAACAGGCCCCTGTGGACAAATTGTGAAGGAGGTATGTAGCTTTTTCTGCTTTACAGCTATCTTATTAAGTAATCAAATGGGAGGTTTGCCTGACACAGTTCCCAGCTTGACTTTTCCCTCTGGCTTGGTGATTTGGGGGTCCCGAGATTTATTTTTCTTTCACACTTTGCAAGACTATGGATGCTTAATAGGATGAGATTAGCAATTGAAAGAGAAAAAATTTTGATTCCTAAAGTCTTCACCCTTTCCCTCAAACTCTTTTAACCTTGTTCTTCTTCTAATGGACATTTGTGCATGATTGAGGTGTAGTATCTTAGGTGCTGTAGGAAACAGTAATATTCAAGAATGTGCTGTGATCTGCACTAAGGAGAAGGTGATGCTACTGAACAAGGCCAAAATAAACCTACCTATGGAGAAGTATTCTTGCCGAAAACGATGAAACTTAATCTCATCTGCTTTCTAAATCTAAATTGTAGTTTACCAGAGCCACAGAAGATATTCAAGAAAATGTTAACTGACAGCATAATGAAACATTTTTAAAAATCCAGAATGTGGGACATCTTACTTGACAACTGACCTGATGTCTTGTATATGCCAAAAGCATGAATTTAAAGTGGATCAAAGGGGGGATACTCTTCCAGATTGAAAGAGACTCAAGAGACAAAACGATCACATGCAAAGGATGGACATTTTTGAGATGACTGGAAATTCTGAAGTTTTGTTTTTTAGGGCATAAAATAATATTAAGGAATTATTAACTTTCTTCAGTGTGACAGTTGTATTTTTGTTATATTAGAAAATGTAATTCTTTGAAGTATGCATGGGAGTGTTTAGGGGGAAATAATACAGTGTCATGATTTTGTTTTAAAATTACAATAACAAAAAGGGCAGAAAGACAATATTGATAGATAAAGGAAGTGTGGCACATGTTGAAAATTGCTGAATCTGGGTGATGAGGCAATGGAATACTTCACTCTTTATTTCTATCAATGTTTGAAATTTTTCATAACATAAAGGTATGAAAATGTTTAGTTCTTGTCCAGAAGAAAAGTGGTAAGCAGAACCTTCGTGTATTTTTATTTGTTGGGTTTTCTGGATTTGCGTCCAACTCTCAATCGACTCACTTGAACGAAATATGGTCTCACTGGTTTTCATATTCTTCAGTTATCATTGTATTTATGATAATAAGAATAGGGTGGAAGTGGGTGATGTGATGCTTGAACTTGAACAAAAAGATATTTCAAATTTTTATATATTTATCTCTTTTCATATTATAATAATTCCTTCACATGAACACACCTCCTTTCATTCGCCTCATGAGCCACGTTTTACAATGAGCAATTAAAGTCAAGGAACACCCAAAAGCTTTTGCTGCTTCTGCTTTATACTTTAATAAACTTTGCATGACCTTCTTGTGGTTCTTGTATCATGGAATGAATAGCATATATCAGATAACACTGCCAAGAGTTCTAGATGCATCCAAAACACATGGAATAAAGTAGAAAATCCAGTCAAAGTAGGTTTGAGATCTTGTATTCCTTACATTCGTGCCCAGTTTCTAAGTTCTGCATTTTTTGCTTACACATATCTTCCCCTTTATAATCTATGCCTCCTTTTCATTTCAAACTGTGTTCTCTACTAAAGGGATTTGGGTGGGAGACAGGGTGGGAGGGGCGTTCAAATGCATTTGTTTTGTCACATGTGAAAGAAAAAAAATGAGAATAAGGAAGAAGAAGGCTGAGCTTGACCAGTGAGATAGAATGATTCGGACTGAACCTAGTTATCCAAAATAAAAAGGGAAACGCTGGTGAGAAGCACTACCTGAAGAGGATTCTGGAAACTGGTCCAAAGCATTCACAGTGTCAAAAACACTTCTGTTCCTGGAAAGGTGGCTTTAATGATTGGGCTTCTGGGGGAAATATTAAGTATAAATTAGAATCTTGTTTTTGGAGACATTTTGGTTCAAAGAGGACAGTGCTGAGTTTGCATTCTACTCTAGAACTGTGTGACATACATTCCAAATTCAAAGGGTAGTAGCCAGCCTTCCGCCAGAGAAAGGCAACGACATTGCCAATTCTTTGCGAGGATTCTGGGAGCAGTAACCTTGGAGCTCTGTGTAGGCGGCCGGGCTTCCGCTACAGGAGGGCGTGGCTGTGACGATTATCTCATTGGGAATTCTGGGGTTATAATCCAGGAATTGTGGGTAACTACAGTCACTTCCGCTCCATGAAAGTGAGGTCATCATTCCTTTCAGGAAGTTGAGTGAGGCCTGAGACAGCAATGTTTCGTTTAGCCTGGCGGCGGCCCTCCTTGTCTTCGAGAAGAGCATCCGCGGCTAGCAGTGGAAGATGGGGTTGGGCCCCAGGTGAGTGAGCCTTTGTCGAGTTTGCAGCATTTGGTCTTGGCGGGTTGAGGATCTCTTGTATTTTGTGCGCTCTGTTCCTACTCCAGGACTGACCAGGCAGTTCTGCCACCTTCTAGGGGTGTGAAATTGGGAAGTAATTCAAACTGTATGTGCCTAGCATTCCTTTTATGTAACATAAGGGGAATAGTAGTACCAAACTGATGCAGTTGAGTGGAGAATTAAATGAGATAGTCACAAGTAAAAGGTGGTAAGTGTGGTTCATTTTATTAATTTTTTTTTTTTAATTTCCCGAGAAGCCCCAGTTACCTGAAAGCTTCTATGAGCCTGGGAAGAAATCAGAGTTCCACCTGCAGTGCTATTTTGCCCCTTCTTTCTGATCCCTACAGGAAGCAGGACGATTCCTGGATTCCCTTTTTAAAAAAGTGGGGGTGGGGGGAATGGGGCGGGAATCACTCCAGGCTATTGTATCGGGATGTCCTCTGTGATTCGTGCAGGAGGGAGACACAGTTCTGATTTCTCGCAGATGGTCACAGGAATGAGGAAAGAATGACTCTTTGGCTCCTAGCAGCAGAACCTTAACTGAGTGTGACTTAGCATCCTTCTTCTTGCCGTGTCATCTCTCTTCTCAGGGCAGAAGATATTTACTAATTAGCACATTCTGCTAGCACGTCTGTGGGAAGAGGTAGGAAGGAAGGAGGGAGGGTGGGAAGGAGGAAAGAAGATCCCCTCCTTATACTGGAAAAAAAAGGAGCAATATACTTTTCCTCAAAATGAGAAGTCAAGCCCAAAAGAATTCTGTACAGACCACCTTAAAATAACATCTTTCAAGCCTCTCCGCATGATTTAGTTGCTTCTTTTTTAAAAAAGAAAAAAATTTAAATTTATTTTTATTTTGTAGAGATGCAGTCTTACTGTGTTGCCCAGGATGGTCTCAAACTCCTGGCTACAAGCTATCCTCCTGCCTCTGTCTCCCAAAGTGCTGGGGTTACAAGCGAGAGCCACCAGGCCTGGCCTAATTGCTTCTTAACAACTTACTATTCTTTGTTCACTACAGTGTATACATAACTGACTGTTTCTTTGGAGCTTCATTTTGTAATGAAGGCTCTGGTCACGTGTAAAACTTGTATTAAATAAATTTGCATGCTTTTCTCCTGTTAATCTGTGTTATGTTAATTTAATTCTTGAGCCCAGCTGGGTCCTGGAGAGGATAGAGTGAAGTTTTGTGGCAGCTACATAAGTCAATGAAATTGGAAACAGAAAAACAATCTTTAAAAATCAACAAAATCATAACCTTATTCTTTGAGAAGATCAATATAGTTTATAAACCTTTCAACTGACTCACCAACGGGGAAAAAGAAGAAAACAAAAATCAGGAGGGAGGGAACATTATTACAGATTTTGCAGATATTAAAAGGATTATAAAGGAACATTACAAACAACTCTTTGTCCATAAATTCATCAATTTACATGACATGGAATATTACTTGAAAGGCACAAACTACCAAAGTTCACTCAAAAAGAAATATCTAGGATAACCTAGATAGTTGAGTGTATGTATGTGTGTGTGTGTATACAATTTTTACACACACACACATAAATATATATATATATAATTTTTTTTGAGAGAGGGTCTTGCTGTGTCACACAGGCTGGAGTGCAGAGGCATGATCACAGCTCACTGCAGCCTCGAACTCCCAGGTTCAGTTGATCCTCCCACCTCACCTCAGCCTCCTGAGTAGCTGGAACTAGAGGTTCACACCACAGTGAGCAGCTAATTTTTTGTATCTTTTGTAGAGGTGGTTTTTTACCAAGTTGCCTGGGCTGGTCTTGAACTCCTGGGCTCAAGTGCTCTACCCACCTTGGCCTCCCAAAGTGCTGGGATTACAGGCTTGAGACACTGCACCTGCCTGGCCTGATATATATTTCAAAACTGATTAATAGATAAAGCCTTCCAACAACAACAATAAAAAAACCAATATTGAGATTAATTCATTGGTGGATTCTACTAAACATTTAAAGAGTAAAGATGTGAATTTTAAATAAACCCAGAAACGAAAAGGGAAGGGAACACCCACCCACCCCCAGCTTGTCTCATGAGGCCAGCATTAATCTGATAATACCAAACAAGACAAAGAAATTATAAGGAAAGAAAACTACAGATGAATATCCTTCATGCACTAGGTGAAAAAATCCTGAATACAGTAGTCCCTTGGTGTCCGTGGGGAATTGGTTCAGGGACCCTTATGGAAATCAAAATCCGCGGATGTTCAAGTCTGTTATGTAAAATGGCCATAGTAGTCTCATCTAACCTTTTCATATCACCCTGTATAATTCAAATTATTTCCATCCCTATACAATAAAAATGCCATGTAAATAGTTGTTATACTGTATTGGGTTTTTTATTTGTGTTATTTTTATTGTTGTGTTGCTAATTTGTATTTTTTTTTCTGAATATTTTTGATCCCTGTTTCATTGAATCTGTGGATGCTTCTGTAGTATCCACTGGCTTGAAGATCTAGATGACAGAGATTGAGGTGACCACAGGACCTGGAAAGTGAGGGAAGAAATCCAGGGAAAAAGATGTCAAGCAAAGAATTGCCCCTTATTCTACATTAAACTCTGCCCAAATTTCAGACTGACTGACACCCAGAATATATAAAGACTTGTACAATACAATATTAAAGAGCCCAACATCTCAATTATAATGGGCAAAATTTGAACAGTTACTTTACAAAGGAAGACATACAAATTGTTAATATAGCCCATGGAGAAGTGTGACATTATTTGTCATCAGGAAAAAGCAAATGAAAACTGCAGAGAGATACAACTACAAGATCACCAGAATGGCAGATATTAAAAATACTGATAACAGGCCAGGCATGGTGGCTCACACCTGTAATTCCAGTACTTTGGGAGGCCGAGGTGGGCAGATCATCCAAGGTCAGAAGTTCGAGACCAGCCTGGCCAACATGGAGAAACCCTGTCTCTACTAAAAATACAAAAATTAGCCAGGCATGGTGGCAGGTGCCTGTAATCCCAGCTACTCAGGAGGCTGAGGCAGGAGGATCGCTTGAACCCAGGAGGCAGAGGTTGCAGTGAGCCAAGATCATGCCACCGCACTCCAGCCTGCATGACAAGAGTGAAACTCCATCTCAAAAAAAAATACTAATAACAGCAAATGCTTATTAGGATTCAAAACAATCAGAAATTGCATATATTTTGGGAGACAGTGTAAAATTAATCTTTTGGGAGATGATCTGGTGGTTTCTTAAGCAGTTAAACACATCAAGCAATTCTAATCATAGATATTTATTCCAGAGAAAAGAAAGCACATGCACGCAAAAAGACTTTTATAAGTATGCTGCAGGATCTTTATTCATAAAAATATTTAAACAATTAAAATGTAAGCAAGTTTCCAAAGACTTATATTCATACAATAGAACATCACTTCAGGATCAAATGACTAATATGTGCATCAACATGGATGGATCTGAAAAACACTATACTCAAAGAATTGTAATACAGAAGAGTTCTTACCGTATGGTTCCATATATTTCATATTCTAAAATTAGTAAAATTTATGGTGAAAAAGTAGAACAGTGGTTGCCACTGGGGGAAGGGGTTAGAGACTGACTGGAAAGTGTCATGAGGGAATTTGTGGGGTAATGTTAATGTTCTGATGGATAAGTAATAAGATAGCTAGATAGATGGCTAAGACATAAATGTTGCTAATTTTAGTATCTAAGCTGAGAATATATGGGTGACTACTGTATAATTCTTCCAACTCTTCTTTATGTTATAAAATTTCAGGGCTAGGCACAGTGGCTCATGCCTACAATGCCAGCACTTTAGGAGGCCAAGGTGGGAGGATCACTTGAGGCCAGGAGTTTGAGACCAGCCTGGGCAACATAGTGGGACCCCATCTTTGCAAAAAAAAAAAAAAATTAGCCATGTGTGATTGGGCACAACTATAGTCCCAGCTACTTTGGAGGCTGAGGTGGGAAGATGGCTTGAGCCCAGTTGGTCAAGGCTGCAGTGAACTGTGATCATACCACTGCACTCTAGCCTAGGTGACAAGGTAAGACCCTGTCTTCAAAAAAAATTTTTTTTAGTAAAATATTGAGAAAAACAGTTTTGAGTGAAAATTTTTAACAGAGTTTTATAACACAAGATATATATATATGCATCCGAAATTCCACACATTTTGCCAGAAAGACATACCAACAACAGGCACACATTAAACAGATCGACCTGGTTACTGATGCGGCAGGGGAGAAAATGAGAGTGGGTAGTGGGGGATATAATGGAACAAATAAATAATATCTGTTTCTTTTTTTCTTTTTCTTTTTAATATGTGTGCCCTCAAACATTCTCCTATTCAAATAAATGATATTTTCACATTCACATTTTATCCAGCATTTCTATGTAAATAAACTAGGAAGACGGTCTGTGGACGCTTTATCTGTGTTGTTGTCAAAGGCCTGTAATATGTCTTGAAGAATATTTTCCGGAAAGAATTTAGAAGTGATTCACAACTGAATCTTGTATGCCAAGAATAGTGCACATGAACAAAACATTCTCTGACCATAGAAGGATCAATCTTTTCACCTCAAAAATCCCATAGATTATTTTTATATTTTATTAGTACTTTTAATGTTGCAGACAATAATTAAAATGCAAAGCTTATTTTTTCATTCCTTTGAAATTGACTCAATTCTTTAGTCTTCAGCCTTGCCATTAAAAAATTTCTCAATGTCTGCAAGTGCATCTCTACGAGTCTCTTCCTCCTTTTTCTCTTACTCTTCCTCCTCCTACTTCTCCTCCTCCTACATACCCTCACCTTCCTCCCCCTTCTCCTCCATCTTCTTCTCCTCCTTCCAATATGAGATTTTGCCCATGTGGATAAATTGTTTATTCTTTCTTAATGATTTATTTATTACAATCTGCTTCCTTCTCTAATCCTCATTTTTTCTCATTAGCTTATAAGATACACCTGATCAGTATGTTCATATTCATTATAGAGTTTCTCATTATTTTTAGCCCTTCCCTCTAAGTTCTGAAAAAGTTCTATGCCATATATTCAGTTTCCTTTGAAACATATCATTGATTTTTTAAAATAGACTTTATTTTAAGAGCAGTTTTAGGGTTACAGAAAACTGCTCAGAAAAACTGAGAAAGTATTAATATTTCCCATATACTCTCCTTTCCCCTGCCCAGTTTCTCCTATTGTTTGCATCTTGCATGTGTGTGGCATATTTATTACAACTAATGAACCAATTTTGATACATTATTATTAAAGTCTGTGGTTTACATTAGGGCTTACTCTTTGTGTTGTACATTCCATGGGTTTTGACAAAGCATAATGTCCTATATCAACCATACTGTATCACACAGAATAGTGTCACTGCTTAAAAATACCCTGTGCTCTATCAATTAATCTCCCTGAACCTCTAACAACCACTGATCACTTTACTGACCTTTAGTTTTGCCTTTTCCAGATTATCATATAGTTGAATTACAGTACGTAGCTTTGACAGACTGGCTGCTTTCCATTAACAATATGAATTTAAGGTTATTCCATGTGTTTTCATAACTTCATATCTCATTTCTTTTTATGGCTGAATAATACTCTATTGTATTGATGCACCACAGTTTGTTGGTCATATATCATTGATTTTACAGATTGAAATATCACTCACATTCAGAAAAGTGTCTGAATCATAAATATACATGTGAAAGTATGAATATAAAATGAACAGCTGTATAATCACCACCCACAACAAAAATTGAAGCATGGTAGAATTGCAAACACCCCACTCTCACAGCATCATGATGCTTTCTTCCCCATAAAAAGAAACCACTACCCTAAGTTTTAAGATTCCCTTGCTTTTCTTCATATTTTTACTATTTAAGTGTCCAAAATCATCCTATTGATGAATTTTGCATGTCTAATGAACTTCGTACAAGTGGAATCACACTGCATCTACTGGGTTTGTCTAGTTATTTTGCTCAACATATTTATGGGAGTCATCATGGTATTGCATGTACAGCTAAAGTTTGTTCAATGTCCTTGCTTTTACCTTGTGTAAATAACAAAAATATTTATCCATACTATCATCGATAGACATCTGGAGTATTCTCAGCATGTCATTGTGATGAATGATCCTGCTATGAACATTCTTATATGTGTATTTTGGTACACATTTCTTATAGGTTTATACACTGAGTAGATTTAAGTGTCATAAGAAATGCTTTTCAAATCGGGCTCTACAATCCACCAGCCTTAGATTGTTGCATATAGTGGGAGGTATAGGTCAATTTCAGTTTTATTTCACAATACTCAATTTAACAGCAACATGTATTGAATATTTTCCCTGTTCCCATGTTGCTGCAGCGCCCCATTTGTTGCAGATCTGAAGTCAACATGAGCATGCATATAAAATTCAAAAGATCTACACATAAAATATTAAAATTAATTAGATTAGTTGGCAAGATTGCAGGATAAAGGAGCAAATGTGGTATTTAGTAGAAATGATTGGGGTGGACATCATTATTTTGTTCCCCATCATAGAGGAAATGTTTTCAATATTTCACTATTCCTTTTGATATTTGTTGCCATTTTTGTAGATCTTTACTATTGCTTAGTTGCCTAAATTTTCTTATGATAAATGGGTGATTAATCAAACTTTTTTTTTCTCTGATACCTAGGTTGCCCTTTTATATATCATTGGCAACATTTTGTTTAGCATTTTTGAAAGTATATTTATGACGAGATAGACCTGTCATTTTCTTTTTCTTTCTTTTTTCTTTTCTTTTTTTTTTTCTTGAGATGGAGTCTCCTCTGTCACCCAGGCTGGAGTGCAGTGGCACGATCTCAGCTCACTGCAATCTCCATCTCCCAGGTTCAAGCGATTCTCCCACCTCAGCCTCCCAAATAACTGGGAATACAGGCACGTGCCACCATGCCCGGCTTTTTTTTTGTATTTTTAGTAGAAACGGGGTTTCACTGTGTTAGCCAGAATGGTCTGGATCTCCTGATCTCATGATCTGCTTGCCTTAGCCCCACAAAGTGCTGGGATTACAGGCATGAGCCACCGTGCCTGGCCAGACCTGTCATTTTCCATTCTAATGAAGCCTCTCACAAATTTTGTCAGTGTTATTACAGTGGCCTCATAAAGTTAGTTGGAAAGTGTTTCCTATTTTGTTATTCTCAGGAATAATTTTGAGATGAACATGGTTTCTTCTTTAAATATTTGGTAGAATTCACTGATGACACCAAATTTCAATGCCACAGTCTTTTATCTATGGATTACTTAAAAGTGGTTTGATTAATTTCTAAACAAGTTTGTAATTTAGGGTCCACTGAGAAGATAGAAACCTTATCAATTATTTGAAAAGAAAAATTAGCATATTGTAGAGTTGGTAGCTAGATTTCTGAAAGAGCAGAAAAAGAACTGTAGGCCACATGCAGTGGCTCACGCCTGTAATGCCAGCACTTTGGGAGGCTGAGGCGGGTGGATCACGAGGTCAGGAGTTCAACACCAGCCTGGCCAATGTGGTGAAACCCCATCTCTACTGATAATACAAAAATTAGCTGGGCGTGGTGGCGCATGCCTGTAATCCCAGCTACTCGGGAGGCTGGGGCAGGAGAATTGCTTGAAGCCGAGAGGCAGAGGTTGCAGTGAACCGAGATGGCACCACTGCACTTCAGCCCGGGGAACAGAGCGAGACTCTCAAAAAAAAAAAAAAAAAAAAAAAAAAAAAAGAACTCTAATATATGATGGAAGCAGCAACTGCAGGAAATAGCAACTGCAGCAAGCAGCAACCACCTGAGGTCTGAGGAAACAAAGTGAAGAGACCAGAATTACTAAAACTTAGAAGCTTGAAGGAAGGTCATGCTCACCTGAAACTCAGACCTCTGAGGAGAGGTCAATGTTGGGCTGGTTCTGCTGTCTCTGAGCTCAAAAGCAGGGCCCTGCAGTGTTAGGACTTAGACATCTAAGGATCAGTCTTTGGGAAGTTGTTTAATAATGTTTACAAAGAGCCATGATGAAATAGGTTATTCAAGTGTTAGAAAAACTGAAAATTAGGCAGTTGCTACAAGAAAAAGTACTGCTGGTTGGCAGGCACAGGATATAGTATATCTCCCTGCCCCCACCACCCCTATACGCTTCTGCTAATAATTGCCCAACACAGAACCAGATTGGGGGTGTGGAGGTCGGGAAAGATTGGCTGCAGATTCCCCCATTCCAGCCCCATAAAGCAGAGTGAAGAATGGTGGGTTTGGAGATGAGACAATATTTATTAAATGCACACATGAATCATTTAGTTGTATTTTTATTGATTTCTAGCCAAATTTCATTGTATTCAAAAGCATATTTAGTATTTCAGTATTTTGAAATCCCGTATCATTTTGCTAATTTGTGCAAATCTTATGTGCACTTGAAAAGATGCGAATTTTAGTTTTTGCTAGAATCTTTTGTTCCCCCAGCTTCATATAGGTGTCAAAAGTGCTGCAGAGCTTCTAGGCTTTTCAGATCCTAAACTAGACCATCATCCCCAGGAGAAAAGTAGCCCCAAATGCATGACTCTCCCAAGTGTTTCTGAATTTTGGCCCACCATTTCTCCATTATCTTGTCTTTTGATGCCTTTTGACATTTAAAAAGTTTGCTCATCTTTCCTCTGCCAGATGTTTGTTCCAAATCACTCATTTTATTATTACTGGAAGTGGAAGTACACAAAGTATTATTCTGTCCCTTTTATTTTTAAAATTTCCTTTCATTTTATAAAAAAAAATCCCCTATTATCAGATTGATCCTCTTTAATATGTAAACCGTATGTATTTTCAGAAACATTTCCTTGGAAAGGAGTTGTTAAATAAAGAATCAAATAGTCTCATCTCTTAATAGTGTCTTTTTTTTTTTCTTTTGAGACGGAGTCTCGCTCTGTTGCCCAGGCTGGAGTGCAGTGGTGCGATCTCGGCTCACTGCAAGCTCCGCCTCCCGGGTTCACGCCATTCTCCTGCCTCAGCCTCCCGAGTAGCTGGGACTACAGGTGCCCGCCACCACGCCCGGCTAATTTTTTGTATTTTTTGTAGAGACGGGGTTTCACCATGTTAGCCAGGATGGTCTCGATCTCCTGACCCCGTGAGCATTTTCACAGATTGGTCGTTATGTCTTTTTATTTTCCTCTTCCTTTTCTGGATTGAGTCAACCCATTCACCGTCCTCCCTGAATCATCCTGTCCTCCATAAGACAACTTACAATATTTGCTATATCAAGAGCAGGGTGAAAATAGGTGATAGATTTTTCTCAAAGAAGAAAAAAATTTCGAGGTTTTACAAGAGACTTATCCCTTCCCATAATAATAACATTTTGTCTGTATCAGTACAGCCCTTCTATTTGCCTTATGACTTGCATTTCATCATCAGTAGTTAAAGCAGAGGAAACGTGGGAACCATTTACTGTTTCTGCTTATGGCCTCATCAACGGTTGCATCTGTTTTTTTGTGGATTCTTGGCATCCACGTTCTTGTGGATCTTGCAACAAACACATTATGGTAGGTAGCAGCAGCACTATCAGTTTCAGACGCGTCCACACCAAAATGGAATAAAAAGGTAATCGAGTCAAAGAAAGGTTGAGATCCTGTATTCCTTAAATTCGGTGTCCAGTACAAATCAGCCCAATTTCCTTTAAGTACCTGCATTTTTAGCGCACACATCGCTTCCATTCTGTAATTCTTTTCTTTTTTCTTCCTGTATTGCAAGCTTCTCTGTTCTCTCCTTTATGGGATATTTTCTTGGTAAGTAGGTAGGTAGGTAGGTAAAGTCCGCTTTGGTTGAGTTTATTTGGGTTTGTGTCGCGTTTGAAGAAAAATAAATTCAAACTCTAGGGGGAAGGCAGTAGAACTGGACTAGCAGTATAAAATTGGATGGCTAACCAAAAGAGAATAGTGACTATACAAATACTGACTATCCAAACGAGAAAGAGACGACTTAAGGGAAAGTGCTACCCTGCAAGAAATTCCGGGAATTGTCCAGAAGATCCACAGGGTCAGAGACACACGCGCCAGGAAAGGCGCCTTTCATGCACGGTCCGCTGGGTAAAACAGAGAAATATATATACGAGCTCTCTGTCTTTGGAAGCATTTCGGTTCCAGGAAGGGGGAGTTAAGGAATTCCTTTGGGACCGGCACATGTGAAATATCATCCAGGCTCTCAGCTTGGCACCCGGTACTTGCGTCCTAGGCAGGCAGATAAGTGGAGAGTTTTTCTAGGAATTCTGGGAAATGTAGTTTGGGAGCCCCGTGTAGTCGGGTAACTTCCGCTCTAGGAGGCTGAGGCCGTCTCCCTGATCCCGTCGGGAATTCTGGGAAGCGTAGTCCAGGAGGTCTCGGTAGGCAGAGCCACTTCCGCCCCAGGTACGCTAGGCCGCGGCCTTCGTTCCTCCCAGAAAGGTGAGCGCTCCCCGCCCTGCTTCCTGCTCCTTCCGTCCATACTGATGTTCGTTTTGTTGGGGTCCAGTAGCAACCGGGCAGTAGCTCTAGGGGAGGATAATCCACTTGCGGCGAAGGGCGGGATTTGTGTTATCTTTGAATGAGCCTTCTCCAGTGTGGGGCAGCTGGCGCATCCCCACTTAGCGCCGGGGGTCCAAGATCCTACATCGCAGGGACTGGGGATCTCCTGGGTTCTGTACTTCCCCAGCCCTTTCCCCTGACCATCAACCAGCTCTGCCACTTCCTAGCAGTATAATAACAGGCGAGTATCTTAATCTCTCTGCCTATGTTTCTTTTTCTTTAAAATGGTACTAGTATCTATCTAATGGAGTTCTTTTGAGAGTTAAATAAAAAGACTTGGAACAGAGCCTGACAGGTGGTAGAAGATGGGTCTCTTGTTATTAGCACTTTTTAATTTTCTGAGAAGGACTCAGTTCCCTGAAAGCTTCTGTGAACCCAGGATGGGGTCAGAGCTCCAGCTGCAGAGTATCCCTGGCCCTTTTCTGATCACTGAGAGATTTTTCTTTAGGACAGGATCACTCCTGGCTGTCTGGGTAGTCCATTGTAATTCATGCAGGAGTTCTGATTTCCCCCATCCTCCTTTCCTTCTTTAGCCTTGACTTCTTGAAAAAGGCTGCAGGGAGAAGGAGGGAATGACCCTTTGGCACTTGGCAGCGGAGTCTCACCTGAGTAGTACTTATCATCCTTTCTTTTCAGGGAAGACGATATTTCCATCATTCACTGGCAAATTCTGCTCGAAGATGCGCTGATATTTGTTCAATAAATGCAGAAACGGATGAGGGAGTACTTGGGCATGAGTAATAAAGATAGTATTTAAACATTTAGTGCTGATCATTCTAAGAGTTTGATATGAATTAACATCTTTAATCCTCACAAGAGCCCTTTGAGCCTGGGTTGGGTACCACCATTCCCATTTTAAAGATAAGCAAACAGACATAGAGCATAGGTGGTTTATCTTTAGGTCACCCAGGTGGTAAGAGCCTGAGCTGGGATTTGAATTCAAATAGTTTCCATCCATTGCCTTAGTTCTTGATGTGTTTAGTATCAGCTTCAGAACACATATTTGGATTTTACTAGAGGACCGTGAAAGCAAGGTTAATAAGCTTTGAATTTTTGATTTTTTAAAATTATCTGTAATTTAATTTTATTTGAAATATTTATAGTTCATATTCTGATTATATAAATTATTGCATATTGTAAAAGATTAAGAAAGTATAGAAAGTGTAAAAGAAAAAAATTATGCTAACCACAAGATATAACAGTAACAATATTAATATTTCAATGTTTTCCTCTTCCAGTAGACTTCTTTTTGGATTTTCACCCATGTTTAACCAAATAGGCTTCATAGCTTTTATTTTTCCCTTAAGTTTTTACTATGGAAATTTGTAAGCATAGCCAAATGTAATATGACTAAAATAATTCTGTGGAAGCGTCACCCAGCTTCAACCTTTGTTAACATTTGCCAGTCTTGTATCAACTCCCTGTCCCTTTTTTTTTTGTTTCAGTATTTTAAAGCAAATCTCTAACATCGACTTAGTATAATATCGTTTGATTGATTGTCATAATTGCCAAACGTTGATGATCATAAATTGCTTATATCCAAGACTTTGAAAGGGAAATGCCAGCAGCTACTCTAAGGTTTTCATTCGTTGAAGCTTACAGAATGGTCCTTACTTGAGGAAGCTAGGGGATGCAAGAGAATTGTACCTTGGAGAAGGATGGTGATGAATTTTGTGTTCCAGTATAGAGTTTGCCTTGCCTAAGTCTTATAGCTCTTTGTTTCTTATTTCTCTTTATCTAAATCCATACACTGAAAGTTCTTCTATTTCTGGGACCATGTCATACTTTTCTCCATGTGCCCAGCACATCGTACAAGGTTGTTAAGGGTTTATGGTTAGAGTAGCTACTCAACAGACAGCTGGCATCAAGGATTTGCAGTGTGGAATTGGAATTAGGTATCAAAATAGAATAGAAATAACCCCTGGATATATTCCTTAATCTCACTTAATATTGGTAGGTTATATAATCCACCAACTATTTCAGAGTATTGAAGAGTTGAAGAGCAATGATTGGTTATGTTTTGATAATCTAAAAAAATTCCTAAGAAACAAATTGTTAGAAATGGTAACAACATTTATAGACCATGCCTTATAACTGAGGTTGTGTTTCCAGGTTTTTAAAACAGGTTTTTAAAAAATGTTTTTACAGTGACATTGACTATTTTGTTATTTTTGGTATACAATTCTATTACAACACAGGCATAGTTTGTATAACGACTACCGTAGTCAGAAAAAGAACAGTTCCATCACCCCAAAAACTCCCCTCATGTCTTCCCTCATAATTACCCCTCACCATACCTGTAACCACTGGCAACTACCATAACCACTAAAACGCTATAGTTTTGTCTTTTTGAGAATGTCGTATAAATGAACTGATGCTATATGTTAACATTTGAGACCGGATTCTTTTACTCAGCAAATTGCTCTTGACATTCATCAAAGTTGTTATACGTATCAATACTTCATTTCTGTTTACTTCTGGTTAACAGAAGTGTCCACTTTATGGATGTATCACAGTTTATCTATTCTCTGGTTGATAGACTTTTTCCTCCACTTTTTGGCATTTATGAATAGAGCTGATATAAACATTCATGTACAGTTTTTTTTGTGCTTATTTCTGTAGGGTACGAAGCCAGGAGTGTGGTTACTGGATCATATGGGGAATGTATGTTTAACTTTATAAGATGCCAAACTGTAGTATCTGTACCATTTTGCATTCTCACTAATGATGTAGAAAGTTCCAGTTTATTTACATCTTCATCAGCACTTAGTATTTTCCTTATTTTTTTTTATTTTAGCCATTCTAAGCATTGTGACTTTAATTTACATTTCCCTAATGGCTAATGGTGTTCAGCAGATATTTCTTTTTTTGTTATTGTTTCTTTGCCATCCTTATATCTTCTTTGCGGAAGTGTCTGTATGCATGCTTTGCCCAGTTTTACATTGGGTTATATTTTTCCTATTGTTGATTTTTGAGAGCTATTTATATATTCTGGATATAAGTCCTTTGTTGGATGTGTGATTTGCAAATATTCCTTCTCAGCCTGTAGCTTGTCTTTTCATTCTCTTAATAGTGTCTTTTGCAGAACAAAATTTCTAATTTTAATTACATCTAATTTATCAATGTTATCTTTTTTGGATTGTGCTTTTGATGTCATATCTAAGAAGTCTGCCTAGCCCCAGGTCGTGAAGATTTTCTCTTGTTCTAGAAGTTTTATGGTTTTACACTTAAATCTGTGATCCATTTTAACTTTTTTTATAATATGTGATGGTTAAGTTGGGTTTTATTTCTTTACATATGAATGACCAACCATCCCAACACCACTTGTTTGGGTTTATTTCTGTACCATGTTCTGCTAAATTGATCTATGTGTGTATCTCTTCACCAGTACCAAGATATCATATTTACTGTAGCTTGATAGTAAATCTTAAGACTGGATAGTTTGATTCTTCCAAATTTATTCTTTTTTTCCAAAATTGCTTTTAGCTATTCTGGTTCCTTTGCCTTTCCATATGCATTTTAGAATCAGCTTATTTATATCTACCAAAAATTCAGCTGGTATTTTCATTGACATTATGTAAAATCAGTAGATCCGTCTTTATCACATTGAGTTTTCCAGTTCATTGATATAACATGTCCCTTCATTTAAGTGTTCTTTAATTTCTTGCATTAGTGTTTCATGATTTTCTGCATACAGATCTATACATGTTTTGTTTAGACATATGCCCGAGTATAATATATAATTTATTCTTCTAGAGCTATTTTAAATCATATTGTTTTAAAATTTTGGTTTCCAGTTGTACATTGTTAGTGTATAGAAATACACCTGATTTTTGTGCATTGACCTTGTATTCTCTGACTTTGCTATACTCACTAGAAATTTTTGTTTTTTGGTAGATTCCTTGGGATTTTCCACAGAGACACATGTTGTGTATTAATAGGGTCAGTTTTATTTCTTCCTTTCTAATCTGTATGCTTTTTATTTCTTTTCCTTGCCTCACTACACTGGCTGATTTTCAGTACAGTGTTGAATAGTTATGTCAAGAGTACACATCTCTGCCTTGTTCCTGATCATAGGGGAAAGCATTTTTATAAGTTCCATTATATTTTTAGTCTGCAAAAGTTCTGTCATGAGTGGATGTTGTATTTTGTCAAATGCTTTTTCTGCTTCACTTTTACTGGAGCTGGTGATTGCTGTGCACTTAAAAGTTTGACAAGTACCTGTAGAACAGCCTTATTTAATTTTTTAACATTTATTTTTTAACTTATCTACTTATAGTAGAAATTTATTCTTTTTGGTGTACATTTCTGAGTTTTGACAATTGCATTGTCATGTAGACTTCACCACCACAATCAAGATTCACAACAGTTCCATCGCCCAGAAACATCCCCTTGTGGTACCTTTTTGTAGTCAAACTCTTCCCCAACTCTTAACCCCAGGAAACCCCTGGTTCACTCCCCAACCCCATTGCCTTTTCCATAACATCACGTGAACAAATCAATGCAGTATGTAGAATTTTGAGTGATTTTTTTCATTTTTCTCTTTGATTTCTCACATCAGTATTTTGTGTTTTGTGTCTTTGAAGGAATTAAACCATTTCATCTATCACTTTGAATTCATTAATGTTAATTCATTTATATTTCTAATGCCTGTTAAGTCCGTAGTGATATCCCTTCTTTCATTCTTGATTTTGGTAATTTGTGTCTTTTCTCTTTTGTTCTTCATCAGGAGTTTAATTTTTACTAATCTTTGCAAAGAACCGCCTGTGGGTTGAATTAATTTTGTCCAGGAGCCAGCAAACCTATTTTTTTAGGCCCAGATTGTAAATATTTTAGTTTTTCCAGTTAACTAGAAATATCAGTACTATTATTTAGGTATTTATATAATGAGAGGAAACTTTAATTGACAAAATTTAAGATATAATGATTGAGTACAACTTAATTGAAGTTCAAGGTTGCTATTCCTTGTCATCAAAATTGACTGTAAATGTTCATCTGTTAATGCTGATTTGTAATGAGATTTTATGTATTTTATCTTTGAAAAGAAATTTTTTAAACAAATAGGTCCTATGAAATACTGATACTAATCCATAAGCAAATGATTTTAATTGTGAATATCAATGAGTTGAAAGATGTGGTAAACTGAATAGTGGCTCCCTAAAGATGTCCATATCCTAATTCCCAGAGCTTATGAATGTTACTTCACATGGTATGAGATATTTACTGGTGTGATTAAACTTAGGGAGTTTAAGATGTGTAGATTATCCTGGATTATCTGGTTGGGCCCAGTGTAATTACAAGGATTCTTATAAGAGAAAAGCAGAAGGATCAAAATTAGAAGAAAGTGACATGATAACAGAAGCAGAAATTGGAGTGCTGCAGCCATAAGCCAAGGAATTCCAGCAGCCTCTAGAAGTTAGAAAAGGCAAGGAAATGGATTCCTATGAGAAGCAACCAGCCCTGCTGACACCTTGACTTTAACCCAAGGAAACTGATTTTAGACTTCTGATCTCCATAACTAATAAAGAATAAATTGCATTATTTTAAGCCACCAAGTTTGTGGTAATTTATTATAGCAGCAATAGAAACTAATACAGAAGACATTTAAAGAATTACTGTAGACTCTTGATATTTACCTTTTAGTATGTCACTACATTTCAGAATAATCACTTTCAATGGAAGGTTAGGAGAATTATGCAGTGTACAATGAAATGGACTTTGAAATGCAGAAAGGTCCTTTGCGCTTGCATCAAGGTCTGAAAACACTGCTACAATTCTGAAGTTTGGGCTCAGATAACATATATACTACAAATTTGTGTGGGAATTGAGATATTACTTGTTTTAACTTTTGACAGCACTGGAAATTTGTAAAGTGGCTTAGCATTACCTGTGATTCAGACATTAACTGTCTTTGAAATAACTTTCCTACACTATAAGCTTCACAAATAAGTACTGTTTTGCCTTTTAATTTTAGGTCGAGTTCATTAAGAAGCATTATCAAGTCTGCAGCTAAAGCTAATTTCCAATGTCATTCAGTATTATATCAATAGTAATGCTTGAGGGAAGTTCTTATTCAGAAATATTTCAGTCTCAGCCCTGAGATTTAAAAAAAATCACAATAAAACTTCATTGCTGCTCAGACATTGAACTCTCATGTGGTAGGGCAAGTCAGAATTTTTCTGTTTCTCATGAAATTCATGCAACTGATGATGGTTAAATCTTTGAGTTTGAATGAAGTTCACTGTTGCCACTAGTGGTTCAATAGCACATGATAGATTAAAATATTCTCTGCAAAGTACCTGCTGATGAAGAATACAATGAGTAACCATAGGCTTTAAATACATGTTTTTATAAATCCAACCTCTGCCTTTTTCTGCTCCAACATATCTTTTACCACTATCAATTTTAACACTTCTTAGCAGATTGTACTGCCTCAGGTTTACTGAATTAGTATTTGTACCTTCTTTGGTAATATTTTCACCTGTGGTTGTTCCATATCGACTGTTCCTAGAGGCTAACCATTCAACCACTCAAACTTGGCATTGATTCCTTGAATACACAATATCTGAGCAACATTAGTAACATCTGTGAAATCAAGAGCCAAATAAATTTATCAGAATCATTTCCCTTGTATTTTAATGGACCATAATGTTGTTCCCATTGTCCTCAACTCTTAGAGCAGTTGGTCTTGCCCAAAGTCTACTAATCATAAACAAATTTATTTTATCTGGATACATTTCTTTGCCTTCTGCAATCAAACATGATTTAATTAATTCATCACTGGTAAATTACTTTCCTTGCTTGGGGCAGAAATAGAAGCTGAATATCTGAATATCAAAATGTACTGTAGTTGCTACCTCATTTTCATTATTTTTTTTGTGAAGAAATTCTGCTCTGATGAGACATTTTATTTAAAATTTTCTAATTTTTCGGACCATTTATTGTGAATTGAGAATATTGTGATGAGTGCTTAGCGTGACAGTGTTGACATAGGTTTGATTAGTTTAGCATAGATACGTTGTCACTGCATAGGAAGCACAATAAGCATGATAAGCTTTGCCATCTAATTCATTCACAAAATATTTCACCTCCATTGTGCCTTCAAAGTGTAACAAAGTCTGTTTTTCTGTTTTTTTTTCTTGTGTTTGGCTTGAAGAGTGTGTATTAGTAATACAAAAATTAAAATGTTGTGGTACAGCAATACATATGTTACTTGAAATGCTGTTCAATTAACAGCATTTAACCCAATTGAGTTAACCTAATGCTGAGTCACAGTGGTTTAAATTGTGCTTAGCAACAATATGAAGAAATGAGAGTGCCACCTATGAACTCTGTTATAACTACATAGCACTGCTGCTGTAATGCAAAAGCAGCCATAGGCCGTACGTAAACAAATGAGCATGGCTGTGTTACAGTAAAACTTTATGGACACTGAAATTTGAGTTTCATGTAATTGTCACATCACAAAATAATCTTTTCAGGATTTTTTTCAACCATTAAAAAGTAAAAGCCGTTCTTAGCTTACATCCTGTACAGAAACAAGCAGTGGGCTGGATTTGGCCCAGCCATATTTTGATAGGCTTGATTTTGTCTAGTGTTTTTGTGTTTTTAATTTCATTGATTTCTGTCTTAGGTTTACTACGTCCTTTTTTTCTGTTTGCCTTTAAGACCTCTTTTCTAATATATGCATCATTGCTATACATTTCCCTATAATATCTGCTTTAGCTGCATCTCTTACATTTTGATATGTTGCATTTAAGTCTTGATTCCATTTAAAATATGCTCTAATTTATTTTCTAAGAAGCATTTCCACTTCACTGCATCTAATTTCTTTTGTGACTAATTTCATTGGTTGCTTAGAAGTATGCTGCTTAATTTCCAAACATTTGGAGATTGTCCAGATATTTTTTCTTGTTCATTTCTACTTTAAATCTGTTATAGTTAGAGAAAATACTTTGATTTGAATTCTTAGGAAATTAAGATTTGTTTTATGAAAAAGATAACATCTGAAGTAAAAAAAAATTATTCGATGGGCTCAGTAGCAGACTGGAGATGACAGAAAAAAGAATCAGTGAACTTGAAGATAGGTTAGTATAAAAATGCAATTTGAGCAACAGAGAGAAAAAAAATTGAAAAATAAATGAGCAGAGCCTTCGGAACCTGTGGGACAATATCAGAAGTCTAATATTCCTGTCTTTGGAGTCTCAGGAGGAGAGGAGAGAAGTGTTTGTTTGGAAGTACTAGCTGAAAATTGCCCAAATTTGGTGAGAGACATAAATTTACAGATTCCAGAAACTCGTTGAATACCAAATACGATAAACTCAGAGAAAATCACTTCTGGATACATCATAATCAAACTTCTGAAAATTAAAAATAAACAAAAATTCTTGAATACAGCTAGAGAAAATGACATATTATATATCTGGTAGAACAATGATTCAGATATACGTGGATTTCTCATGGGAAGCCATGGAGGCCAGAAAACATTGGAAAAACATCTTTAATATTCTTAAAGGAGTTGTCAGTACAAAATTCTATATCCAGTGAAAATGTCCTTCAGGAATGAAATGAAAAAATGCCACATCTGTGCTAAAAGGAGCACTAAAGGAAGTTCTTTAGGCTGAATAGAAATGATATTAAATGGAAACTAGGAACTTCAGAAATGATGAAAGAGCACCAGAAATAGTAAGTTTTTTGGCAAATATAAAATACTGGTTTTCTACTCTTTAAAATATGCATGACTGTTTAAATAAAAATTATAACTTTCTTGGCTAGAGGTTTTTGTGTATATAGAGTAGTATATACAAATGAAACAAAGTGGGGAGATAAAGGAAACTATTTGTTGGTAAGGCATCTGCATTTTACAAAAAGTAGTAAAACAGTAATGCTAAATACACTGTGAAAGATTAGATATGTATATTACAACCCTAGAGCAACCACTGGAAAAAAAAAAAAAGGACATATAGCCAAAAGCTAATAGATACAATGAATGGAATAGTAAAAAAAAAAAAAAAAAAAAATCAACCCAAAAGAAGGCAGAAAAAGGGGTAATAGAGGGACAAAATCAGGGAGGACAAACAGGAAAAAAGATAATAAAATGGTAGACAGAAACCCAGCTATATCAATAATTATAGGAAATGCTAATGGCCTGAATACATCAATTAAAATATATTGTAAGATTGGATAAAAAGCAAGAACCAAGTATATGTGGTCTAAAATAACTCCATTTAAATACAAGGACATAAATAGTTTGAAAGTGAAAAAGTGAAAAGGAGCTGTACTACGGAGTGGCTATATTAATATCAAAGTAGACTTCAGACCAAGGCCAGGGATGCCGAGGGACACCATGCCAAGGGTCAGTTCCCCGAGTAGACATAACAATCCTAAAAGTGTACCTACAAAACAACAGTTACATGAAGAAAAACTGATATAATTAAAAGAAAAAAATAGAGAAACCCACAGTTCTATGTAGAAATCTCAACACTCTTTTATCAGTAATCAGTAGAACAAGAAGACTGAAAACCAGTAAGGATTCAAAAGACCTGAATAATACTATTAACATCTTGACCTCGTTGACATTTGTAGAGCACTCTATCAACAACAGAATGCACATTGTTTTCATGTGCTTCAGGTTTGATTGTTTCTGTTGACCTGTCTTTGAGCTCGCAGATGCTTCTGCTGCTTATTTCTGATCTGTCTTTCCCATTTGGCTACAGATTTCTGTGCAGCGGGAACTGTGTCAAATTCTCCATTTGCTTATTACCAAACGTAGGGATTGGCAGAGAGGAATTATTTGGTAACTCTCTGTGGTTGGTGCAGCTTTCCAGCAGGCAGCAGGAATGGGGACCTTCAACTCAGTGAGAGTATATTCAAATTTTCTGAAAATAGATGTGGGAGAATAAAAGATGTGAATATTCCCTGTCCCTTATCTCTGATCAGTTTTGGTGGGATGCTGAAGCCAATAGATTTTTCAGAATGTTGAAAGGGTGATGTACACCTATATGGTTAATTACTGACCTAAAATAAACATACTTTGCAACAAACCAGAGCTAATGAGCAGCTTCTAGATTTATTTCATAGTGATGATAATGAAGATGGTAGTAACAATGGCTAACATTGATCAGATTTTATTACCACTCACACTGACTTTCTAATATTATGATGCATTGAACTCACATAACATAACATAACAACCCAACGTTTATCTCCATTTTACAGATGAAGAACAGAGGCATTGAGAGGTTAATTAATGTGTGTCAGTTTATGCTGCCAGTAAGTGGTAGAGTCAGGATTGAAGCTTGGCAGCTTGATTCTGTAGCCTGGGCTCTTGGCCAAAGCATTCCGCTTTCATTAGGCTGGCAAAATGGGTTTTAGGAGCTAATGAGGCTTCAGCGAAACCTTCTTAAAGGTATCACAGAGCGGGGCACATACAAGCTCAGTGTTAAAAGCTAAGAGGATCTGTGATGGGAGTGGGCAAATTGCCTGTGGCTTGTTTTTGTGTGTCTCTTCTTCAGCTAAGAATGATTTTTACATTTGAAGGGTTGTGAAAAGAAAGAACAATATTGGACAGAGACAGCATGTGACCCACAAAGCCTGAAATACTCACTATCTGTCCTTTTTATGAAAGCTTTCCAACCCCTGCTCTAAGTGAAAAGAGAAAGGAGTGCAGGAGGGGTGGCACATGCAAGGGCCTGGAGACTCTTTTATGAGATCAAGTGATTGACACGGCTGGAGATCAAAGGGGAGAGAAGATTTGCAGAGAAAATGAGCAGACAGACATGAAAGATTCCTGTGTGGCTTGCTAAGAATCTAGACTTTATCCCAAAGGCAGCTATGCACTTGTTTTAACCAAGAAAGGAACATAATCAGGCTTTAATTCTATCAAACATGAAGAAGCAACAATAGTCTATAGGATGACCACTGTGTGATTTCATATTTAACAGAAATTCCCTTTTCTTTTGAATTCTCAAAGTCCCTTGGCTGATTAGTGACCCCCTGCTTGATAAAGGTGATCAGAGAGGTCTAAACTGGAAGGCTGTCCTCACACGGAGTGCGTGACTGCAGACACCCACAGCGCATGTTACTGCTCCTTCCTCTTAGTGACAGCTCCAAGAACATCATTTAAAAGAGAGAAATGGGGATCTGGGAATCAAGAGGCCTGGCTCCCAGGCCCTTCTCTGTTCCTGGCTTGAGTGTTCTCTGACAATTTTCTTGAGAGGCCAAATGGCCTAGTGGTTAATTGCATGGGCTTATCCTGCAAACTGTCTCTATGTATGTCCTGGTCTGTGGTTTGCAATCCTCTCTGCACACTGTAGTCACCTGGGGGATTTCATAAAAACTCTTCTTCCACAGATCCTCATTTATAGAGCCTGGACTTGGGTCTGGGCATTGGTTTTTTTTAAAGCTCCCCATTGATACCGGTGAGCTGGCAGCTTAAGAGCCACTGTCCTAGTAACTGAGAACACAGACCCTGGACTAATAGTCCTGGCCATTCTGCTAGCTAAAATGACAAAGCAGCTTAAAATATTAATGCCTCAGTATTCTCAACTGTAAAAAGAGTTACAAATTGTCCCAACTTCTTGGGTGGTTGTGGGATTAAGTGAGGGAGTTCCTCTAAAGCATGTGAGTTGGTCTTCTTACATTTTCTGCCTTCTCTCTTGCCCTAGATACCCACTAACTCTCATTCTGTTTCAATAGTCTGATGACTCCTTTCTCTTTGAGTGGCAAATATAGGTCAGTCACCTTCCAACATTAAGATCAGCCCTCATTTTCTCCATCCTCATCCATCCTCCATCATCATGTATGGATTTGAGGGCCCTTCCATGCTCTCTCAAAGGACTCCGTGCACCCTCTACCCTGGCATCTATCTGGGCACTGTATCCCTTTTAGAAGGCAATCCATAAATATTGGATGAGTGAAAGAAAACTCAGCTCTTTTACTGCTGATTACGCAGCCAAGTTCATACTTGTTCTTGGTAGTTGTGCTTACATCCTGTGGATTCTACAGCAGAGGCCAGGTGGGGCAGGAGGGAGCAGGTGCCTACTGGAGTAGTGCACCTCTCTTTGAGGTGGTGCTAGAAGGCTCTGCCTTACCCACAGTTCATTTTCAGTTCCTTTTTTATTTTTTTCAGTTCTTTCTCTTCCACAGATAGCCTTAATGTTGCCTGAGAACAGTAAGTAAAGTAAAGTAACAAACCTTGAGGAAGAACCATGAAATTAAACTCCTGGTGTCCAGTCCTCCCCAGGGTCAAGCACTGAGCTGCTTTTCACAGAGGAGCACACGCAGCCCCACAAACAACCCTGCAGGCTAGGTGTTCTCATCACCAATGAGATTTTGTCATATCTAGACAGAGGATCACATTTTTGTTTAACATGAGAAATGTAGTAGTCTCACAGGTTTCATTAGTCTTTTGTTGTACCCTGTGGGAAGAGGGATGTACCACTGAACTTCCCCTGAGCTCAGGAAGAATATTTACTAGCCACTGCATTTTTCATAAGGGTGGTCTCGATGTATATAGTATATACTGTGGCAACAAAAGTAAGAAGCCAGAGCTACAGACATTCCGAAGTTACGGGTGACTTTCCCGGGACAGAGCAGTAATCTCTGCTGTCCAGATGTCTTACAAAATACATTCGCCAGGGCAATTTTGTGATACAGAATGGTATCTGCATCTCTATAGTTGCAAGGAAGTAGAGATCCCTGGTATAGTTATAATAGGTTTCCTCTATGCACACAGATAATCCTAATAACAATCATATATTGTTGGCACTGTGTGGTCTGGATTTTGCAGATGACAGAACTGAAACATTAGAAAGGTTCATGAATTTAACCATGGTTACTCAGCAAGTATATGGTAGCACCAGGTTTTGAACGTAGACATTTTGTCCCCAGAGTCCACTTTTAACCAGTACATGACATGCCACTACCTCTCCTTTCCCACCTCTCCCAGAATCAGAATGAGCATGCTGGGAGCTGTAAGGCATGTGAGGCTACTGGGTACAGCTGTGCAGGTTGCTCCGTGCATGCGGGCACCCTGCCAGGAGAGCCAAGTGGTAGCTAGAATCCAACCCATGCTACCTGCTCCTTAACGCCGGTGTGTGGCCACATCTGCTGGGGGAAGGGACACCTTTTTCTAATTTGCACAAAGATACGTTTCCCTTTTAATCATGGCTTCTTTCGTATTACCCTGTTCTGCCTTCTCAGGTCTCTGCCTTTCTCTAGAAAAAGAAAGAGAAAAATGACCAAATTCCAGGTGAGCTGGTTTTCATTTATGCCGTTTTACATGTGACCTCATTTTGCAGTGAGTGGACATATCTTTTTCCCCCTTCTTTGCCAAGGGTAAAGAATGACAACAGGCATTTAGTATCATTTATGTATCAGGCTCTTGCTTTTTGTTTTTGTCCTTTTCTAAAATTTCCTTTTAGTTGTAAATGTGTTTTATTATTTATTTCATAAATAATAGTACAAAGAAGAATAGAAATTTTAAAATCCTACACCTTATTACCCTGCTTACAAATCTGTTTTTGTCCATGGTCATTTTTTTAAATATAACTGTTCTTGCATTAATACATAACAATTTTGAATTTTTATCCGCTTAATTTTTAGCAGTTAATTTTTATCATCTAATATTATTGACGTAAACTGTTGTTATCCCTCTCCCCCTTTTCTTTTTCTTTTTCTTTTTTTTTTTTGAGATGGAGTCTCGCTCTGTTGCCCAGGCTGGAATGCAGTGGCATGATCTCGGCTCACTGCACCCTCCACCTCCTGGATTCCAGCAATTCTCTGCCTCAGCCTCCCGAGTAGCTGGGATTACAGGTGCCTGCCACCACACCGAGCTATTTTTTTGTATTTTTAGTAGAGATGGGGTTTCACCATCTTGGCCAGGCTGGTCTTGAACTCCTGACCTCGTGATCTACGTGCCTCAGCCTCCCAAAGTGCTGGGATTACAGGCGTGAGCCACCGTGCCCGGCCCTTTTCTTTAAATTATTTCCAACTCACAAGCTTTTACGTTCCTGAGGATTCTTGCAGTTTTACATTGCAGTATCAGTTTTCCTACAAATAATCTTGACTCAAAAACCAGTGTGAGAGAATTTTGATATTATTTGTCCATAATGTTCTAGAGACTCAAAACTAAAAATATTTTCTCCTAAGTGATGTCTCAGGTGGAATACATAAAATATGATTTTGTCTAACAAGATTATATTGAAGCTAAGGTTGGGGGAAAAATAGATGTTTTTGTACAAGAAGAGCTAGATTCTTATATAAGAAGAGCTAGATTCTTCTCAGTACCTATAGCTATGTGTTTATCTATATATGTTTGTATGTCTGTGTGTGTTTCATTATTCATGTATTAATTTTATTAGAGTAATACAGGTACTTAGTTTAAAGTTTTTAGTCATACCATAGGATATATAGGCACTTTGCATCTGTCACACTATTCATGGCCCCAGATGACTGTTGGAGGGGAACTGTAGAGTCGTTTGCACTGTTAAGAGGTTCATGTTCATACAGGAAGATAAGCATTGGGCCAACTCTAAAGCCTTTGCTTTCTGGGCCAAGAGTTTCAGGCATATCACTTGCGTGGAAAGACTTACAAAAAAGCAAAGCAAACCAAAGCAGAGTTCTGCATTCAGAGCTGAAGCTGTTATGCTCAGAACTGCAGCCAGAAGAAATATGGGACTGAACAGTTGTTCATTTAAAAATTTAAAATTACCCTACAGCAAAAAGTTACAAGACAGCAAAGTGGAATGAAAAATATTTACAATGTCCATGGAAGAAAAGACCTCGGTGTCCTCCAAATGAATTATTATTACAAAACAAGAAATCGAGATGAACAGCAAATGTGTGTAAAGAGAATGAACTTTATTACCAATAAGTTTGTGAGAATGTTTTTAATAAATGATTTTTACTTCCCAAATTTACTTGTGAGATTATGAAAGATTTTTTTAAAAAGCTTTCATATCCAGTGTTGACTATGATTTATACTTTCTTGGAAGAAGGCTAAGATGGAAGGCGAAAGTCTGTTTTGGGAAAACACCTGCCATTATGATTTCAGAACTTTAAAGGTCATTATTCTTCAGCATTGCCATTGTTACTTTTTGGTATTTATTTTGAGGAGATAATCAACAGAATTCCAGAGGTTAACGTCAATGCAAAAGATTGTTTTTGCAACATTGTTCGTATAGGTAACCTCAAACTAAGTGTGCATTAGTTGGATCAAATTATTATATTCTAGACCATTAGTTCTCTGAATTACTTTGCAGCCCAGAAATGGGATAGAAGATATAATGAAAATATTAATAATGTAGCTAACATTTGTTGGGTACTTACTGTGTGCCAGGTGCTGTTTTCCATGCTTTACATGTGGTCACTCATTTTATTACTAGGACTGTATGGTATAAGTTTCACCATACAAATGAGAAGATAGGAAACTTGTCCAAGATCATAGAGCTAGCATTGGGCAGAGCGCCCAGATCCAGACACAGGCAGTCAGGCTCCAGAGCTGTGCCCATCACTGCAGCAGTCTCCAGATGAGCACAGAGGATGAGCTACATATTTGAGCAGTAAGGATGACTGATACCCTGTAAATTTGACAAATTAAATAAGTGATGTGTGTGTGTGTAAATGAGGAGAAACAGGTAGCATCAGTCACTGTTAGAACTAAAGCTTTTGTGGAGCAAATGACATTATTATTACAATTTAAAATATTGGTAACCTAGGGTGCAACAGAGTTCCAGAGGCTTACTTATAAGTGCTAACAAAAGGAAGTAATTTCAAAGTGCAAGGATTTCTTTTCTTGCAGCCCTTTTGGTGAATGGTATTAGCATTACAGAAGGTAAACAGAAGAGAACTATGTAAATGTGACTCAAGTTGCCCAGACTCCAGAACAGCTTCCAGTCCTTTACACCTTCTCAGCACTGCCCTTCTTCTGTAAACTTAGTGTGCATGTGTTTGGCATTGTAGGAGATGGTGACATTCAAGGATGTTGCTGTGGTCTTCACTGAGGAGGAGCTGGGGCTGCTGGACTCTGTCCAGAGGAAGCTGTACCGAGATGTGATGCTGGAGAACTTCAGGAACCTGCTCTTAGTAGGTGAGGATAGGTGCCCTTAGTTACTCAATGGCAGCCTCCTGGGGTGTCTTTGTGTGCTCAATTGTTAGAAACTCTGAAGCCCCTGAAATTATTCTCTGAGATTAGGTGCCCGAGAGTCCTAATAATCCCCGTGCAACACAGACAAGATGTTTCTGATGGTTTTGTCCAGTCTATCCTTGGAATAGTAAATATGGTCCTGCTTCATTGATTTGCCATCAAACAGTTTAGTAAGTTGTTCCAGGTTAGTAAGTTTATTTTTCAGGGCACCAGTAACTGTTGATGAACTTGACTTTTTAGAGGGGTTTTTTTAAAAAAACATTATATTTGTAAATAACTTTAAACTCACAGAAAACTTACAAAAGGACAAGAACACCCATATAGATTCGCCAAGATTCTACCTGGATTCACCTCTAATAACATTTTACCCTATTTGCTCTATCATTTATGTTCATGTTCTTTCCCTCTCCATACATACTTATGTATGTATATGAAAAAATATATATAGTCATAATATCTTTTTCTGAACGACTTGAGGGTAAGTTAATATACCATGGCCGTTTTTCTCTAAATACTTCAGTGTATATACAGAGTTCAGGAGTCCCCAAGTTCACTCTCACCTCTGATACCAATTGCAAGATTAGGAGTCCCCAAGACCCAAGAGTACTGAGCCCCACACTCAGGCTCAATAATTCACTAGAAGGACTCACAGAACTCACTGAAAGCAGTTGTCTTCACAGTTAATGATTCATTACAGGGAAAGGAATCAGATTAAAGTCAGCCTAGGGAAGAGGCCCAGGAGGCAGAGTCCAGGAGCGTTCCAGATGTCAGCTTCCACTTGTCATCTTCCGTGGAGTTGTGGACAGCACTGACTTCCCAGCAGTGAAGTATGACAATACGTAAGGAGCATTGCCAGCCAGAGAGGCTCATTTGAGCCTTGGTGTCCAGAGTTTTTACTGGAGCTTAGTTACCTAGATATGATTGACCACCTGGGTGGCTGCTCTTAGATTCCAGTTTCTCCAGAGGTTAAGCTAATACCACATGGCTCAAAGCCCCTACTATAAATCACATTGTTTAACTATCTGGTGTGTGGCCCAAGGCTTCTGGGTAAACGAAAGACACTCTAATCGGGCAGTATATTCCAGGGACTTAGCGATTACCTTCTCCAGAAGCCAAAGGCAAAATCCAGATCTCTCTTTAAACAAAACTAACTCTTTCCTTTACTGCACAGTCTGTTTTATAAAAAGAGGAATATTCTCTTACCTGTTCTCAGGACAGATATAATGTTTTTATCTTATCTATCATTTATGCTGTGATTTTATCCATAAAGCCAATTTTATATATATATTTTTTCTTTTGAGACAGAGTCTCACTCTGTTGCCCAGGCTGGAGTGCAGTGGTGCAACCTCAGCTCACTGAATCCTCTGCCTCCCAGATTCAAGTGATTCTCGTGCCTCAGCCACCTGTAGCTGAGATTACAGGCAACTACCACCATGCCCAGCTAATTTTTATATTTTTATTAGAGATGAGGTTTCACCATGTTGGCCACACTGGTCTCAAACTCCTGGCCTCAGGTGATCCACCTGCCTCAGCCTCCCAAAGTGCTGGGATTACAGGCATGAGTCACCACGACCAGCCTAATTTTATTCTTTAAAGCATATTTTTCTCCCTCCAGAACAGGATCTAGAGTCTAGTATAGTTGTTCTGTCTCTTTAGCCTTCTTTAATTTAGAACATTTCCACAGCATTTCTTTCTCTTTTATGACAGTAACATTTTTGAAGAACGCTATCACCTCTTCCCTTATTTTTAATAGAACATTCCTAATGATTCCACAAAATTAGATTCAGATGATCCATGCAGCAGGAACACTATGTAGGTAGAGTGTGCACTTTTGAGGGAATCACATCTGGAGGCACGTGAAGTCATCTGTCCCTCAAAGGTGGTGTTAACTTTGATTACCCAGTCACGATGTTATGCAGTTTCCCCACTATATAATTACTGCTTTTTTCCCCATTTGTAATCATCGGGTAACACAAGTATTTTCCTGTAGATTAAGCACCTGCTGATGATCTTGCCTTATCTGGTCCTTACCATGACAGTTACAAAATGATGACTTTTCTAACTTTACCTCCTTCCCATTTAGCAGTCAGCACCTGGCATAAACTTGCAGTCAACAAGAGCCCCCCACTTCTCAAGCATCATTTCAATGTTATTTGTAGGGATTTGTGAAATTTTTTAAAGGTTTATAGTTTATTACTGTAATTTTTTAGATGTTAAAATTGTCCCAAGTTTGGCCTCTTTAAGCTGGCTCCTGTGACCTTGTAACATGTCCCCAATTTTTTTTTTGAGCACTTTCTTACTTTGTTGGCAGAGAACAGTATTTTGTGCTCATCTTTACTTTGCCTTGGCTCTGGAATTATCTTTTTTTTTTTTTTTTTTTTTAACTGGGGAATGGTATTTAATGCCAAAGTCTGGATGCTAGGTATGGTCACTGTAGTATCTATGATCTATGTTTCTTTGTCTCAGGACATAGAGCTAGGGTGTGTGTGTGTGTGTGTGTGTGTGTGTGTGTGTGTGTATGTGTATGTATATACATACACATATACACACATAGAAATATGTATACATATGAATAGATGTTCAGTTTATTTCAAAAGAAATGTTCATTACAATTATACTGAAATGCCATTTCTCACCCATGAAATTGGCAAAAATTCAAAAACGTAACACTATACGTTTTTTGGCAAAGCTGTGGGGAATGAAGAACATTCATGCGTTGAAAGGAAGAATGCAAAATGATACAACCCTTAGGGAGGGGAAGTTGACAATATCTAACAAAGCTAGGTATTTACCCTTCCCCGGCAACCCATTTCTGGGGATTTTCCCTAAAAATAGCCATGTCCAAAAGAATATTAATAGTATACTACAATTCATGTAAGAAATAAGGTAAAATAAGTAAATAGACAGTGTGTGGGTACAGACATATATATATAATATATATTATTATATATAAAATATATATTATATATATTATTATATATAAAATATATATAATAATATATATTTTACACATATACAAAATGTATATATATTTTATACATATACAAAATATATATATATTTTATACATATATGAAATATATATAATATATATAAAAATATATGTAATATATAAAAATAATATATATTTTATATATATACTTATTTTTATAAGAAGAAACACAAGAAGGAAGGTTTAATGAAAATAATGGCCAGGCGTGGTGGCTCACACCTGTAATCTCAGCACTTTGGGAGGCCAAGGCAAGAGGATTGCTTGAACCCAGGAGTTCAGGACCAGCCTGGGCAATGCAGGGAGACCCTGTCTCTACAAAAAATTTAGCTGGGCATAATGATGCACACCCATGGTCCCGGCTACTCTGGAGGCCCAGGTGGGAGGATTGCTTGAGCCCAGGGGTTGAGGCTGCAGTTGTAGTGAGCTGTGATCATGCCACTGCATGCTGGCACAGGCAGAAAAGTGAGAGCCTATTTAAAAAAAAAAAAAAGAAAATCATGAAGTTAGTTTCTTATAGTGAGTGGAAGGTAACAGGGTGGAAGGGATGTGGGAGAGAGTCTCACTTGTCTGTGTATACCTTTTTGTCTAGTTTTGACCAATTGAATGTCATCAAACTTAAAAACTTTTGCTGTCCTTTCCTTCTTTACAGCACATCAGCCCTTCAAGCCAGACCTAATATCCCAGCTGGAGAGAGAAGAAAAGCTTTTGATGGTGGAGACAGAAACCCCAAGAGATGGATGTTCAGGTGAGAACTGTGCTGCAGGAACACAGCAGCCAGGGAGCCCCTTCTAGAACATGAGTCAGAACACATCACTTCTCTGTTTAAGCTTTCCTGTGGCTCCCCATTTCACACATAGTAAGTTTAAAGTACTTAAAGTGGTCTATTAGGTCCTAAGGTATCTGTCCCCTCAACCTCTTCTCACTTTCCATATTCACCTACCATTGTTTGTTTTTGCTCATTCAGTCTGTTTCAGAGGCACTGCCCCATGATTGCCCCCTCAGACCTCTCAATTATGCTTCTGTGTCAATTTCCTTGACTTGCTTTTCTCTCTGAATGAATTGGGTAATAGATGCATGATCTTTGCTCTCTTCAATTCACCCTGAGGCAGCTAATAGGTGTAGAATAAATCTGTGTAATTGAAGGGTATTCTAGAATACTGTTTCTCATCTGATGGATGCCTGTTTTAACTGCTTAGCTGTCCTTGAGTATTCATAGATGGGTAGCCATTAATCCTAAAAGATAAGAATAGCCAATCAGCTAAAGTAAGTATCAAAAATGACCAATGCCAACATTATAACTGGTCTTCCTCATGCAGCATTTTCAAGTGAGACACCCTTGTATTCATATGTCCATCTTCTTATCCTCCCATTCTGTCCCATACTCTCGCACCCAAACAATCTCTTGACATAGCCACAGTCTTAAAGTAGAATCTTCAAGTTGGACATTTATGTGAATCCAAACATTTTGATAGTTTCTTGAGTCCTCAAGACTGACATCAAAAGCCACCGTCGCAACTGTGTAGCTAAGGATGCTGCTGGATAAGAAGAAAGAGTCAACAGAAAATTCAAAACAAATTAACTCATTTCTATAATGGTTTGTTTCCATCTTGGTTAAGATTCAGGGTCCTACATGGTACCCTTGAGAGTAGGAGTTAAACTTTTTCTCTAAAGGTCCAAGTAGTAAATACTTTAGATTTTCCTGGCCACATGTGCTCTTTGTCACAGTCTTTGTTTTTCTTACACCACTTTAAAAATGTAGAAAGCGTTCTTGGCTCCTGGGTTGTACAGAAACAGGCCGAGGCCATGCTGTGCCAGTCTACCTTCCTGATACTGTCAGCTGGAACATAATGTCACCTTTTAAAATACCTTAATTTTTTTACCTATACTAACATGATCATATACCTCATATTAATGTAAAAATTTGTTATGTACATTCTTGTTTTTAATATACTAATTTTTCTTCTTTGCCGTTACCTTGGGGAAATCCCTCCCAGTCTAAGATTATAACTCTTGTTTTTGTAATGGATGCATAATACTCTAATAAACAAACTAGTTACTTCCAAGATACAATGGGGCTACAGCCTTTGGGTAAATGCCCCCATTCTGAAAGGGAGAAATCAGGCAAAACAAAGGGGCTGCAGGCCCCATGCCAATCTGAAACCCAGCAGGGCAGTCATTAAATCTCAGAGTTCGAAAATAATCTCCTTTGACTCCATGTCTCACATCCAGGCATGCTGATGCAAGGGATGAGCTCCCAAGGCCTTGGGCATCTCTGCCTCTGTGGCTCTGCAGGGTATAGCCCACTTGGCTATTTTCATGAGCTGGCGTTGAGTGCCTGCATCTTTTCCAGGCACGTGGTGGAAGCTGTTGGTGGGTCTGGGGTCTGGAGGACGGTGGCCCTCTTCTCACAGCTCCACTAGGCAATGCCTCAGTGGGGACTCTGGGGGCTCCAACCCCACATTTCCCTTCTCCATTGACCTAGTAGAGGTTCTCCATGAGGGCTCCACCCCTGCAGCAGACTTCTGCCTGGACATCCAGGTGTTTCTATAAATCCTCTGAAATCTGGGCAGAGGTTCCCAAGCCTCAGCTCTTGCCCTCTGCACACCACAGGCCCAACAGTACGTGGAAGCTGCCAAGGCTTGGGGTTTGCACCCTCTGAAGCAATGGCCTGAGCTATACCTTGGCCCCTTTTAGCCATGGCTGGAACTGGAGCAGCTACAATGCAGGGTGCCGTGTCCTTCAGCTGTAGAAAACAGCAGGGCCCTGGGCCTGAGCCACAGAACTATTTTTCCCTCCTAGGCCTTCAGGCCTGTGGTAGGAGGGACTGTCATGACTGGCTCTGAAATGCCCTGGAGGCATTTTCCCCATTTTCTTGGCTATTAACATTCAGCTCCTCTTTACTTAGGCACATTTCTGCAGCCTTGAATTTCTCCCCAGAAAATTGGTTTTTCTTTTCTACCACATGATCAGGCTGCAAATTTTTCAAATTTTTATGCTCTGCTTCTTTTTTAAATATAAGTTCCAGTTTCAGATAATCTCTTTGCCCATAAATATGAGCATATGCTGTTAGAAGCAGCCAGACCACATCTTGAATGCTTTGCTGCTTAGAAATTTATTCCACCAGATAACCTAAATCATCCCTATCAAGTTCAAAGTTCCACAGATCTTTGGAGCAGAGGCATAATGCTGCCAGTCTCTTTGCTAAAGCATAGCACCAATGTTGGGAAAATGTATAAATGCATTTACAAACCTAAATATATCTAAATATATCACCAGTTCCAGTCCCCAATAACTTCCTCATCTCCATCTGAGACCACCTCAGCCTGGACTTCACTGTCCATATCACTATCCGTATTTTGTTCAAAACCATGTAACAATTCTCTAGGAGATTCCAAACTTTCCCTCATCTTCCTGTCTTCTTCTGAACCCTCCAAATTATTACAACCTCTGCCCATTACCTGTTTCCAAAGTGACTTCCACGTTTTCAGGTATCTTTATAGCAATGCCCCACTTTTCTGGTACCAATTTTCTTTATTCGTCCATTCTCCCATTGCTGTAAAGAACTACCTGAGACCAGGTAATTTATAAAGAAAAGAGGTTTAATTGACTCATGGTTCCATAGGCTATACAGGAAGCATGGCTGGGGAGGCCTCAGGAAACTTATAAATATGGCAGATGGTGAAGGGGAAGGAGGCATGTTTTACATGGCAGAGAAAGAGGAAGAGAAAGAGGGCAGGAAGTGCTACATGCTTTCAAACAACCAGATCTCTTGAGAACTCTGTCACGAGACAGCACTTGGGGGATGGTGCTAAACCATTAGAAAGCACCCCCATGATCCAATCACCTCCCACCAGGCCTCAACTCCAACACTGGGAATTACAATTCAACATGAGATTTGGGTGGGGACGCAGAGCGAAACCATATCAGTGGTTAAGAAAGGAGTCAGCACAGCAGCTTAAATATTTGTGATCAAAACATTGTCACCACTATACCTTGTATTGTCTCTATCTAAAAGCGAAGTAAGAACGGAAGGTGATCTCAGCCTGGGTAACCTGAGCTGATGTTCTCGCTTAGCTTTTATTAAAGAAGAAGAAGAAGAAGACATAAACAAAGATTTTTTTTCTCTGAGTTCATTATAGCTAACTATTAAATTCAAAGGAATTACTTGTCTTTATGACAAATATAGCACCTTTGTTATTGAATTGATCAATTTGGGTTGCTTGAATCATTGACTTTCTCAACCTCTAAGTGCTAAAGCAGGATTGCTATGAAGATGTAATAAATTCTCAACCTTCTTACCTCAAATGATGTCTTCGGCATCTTTTGTCATGCTTAGTTTCTCCATCAAATAAAGTTCATTTATAAACTTAACACAATTTCTTATTACCATTCTACCATTGATATTGAAATAGAACTTAAATGTTGAGTTATTTAAATAAAGTAACAAGGTGTTTCGGTCTATACCATTGACTAAAGGAAATTAATGTTGTTACATGTGTGGTCTTTTTTAGAAGAGTGTGAAACAAAGTGAAATGACCTTTTATTTTTTTTCTTCCTCTATGTCCTTAACATTGCAAAACCCACTGCTCAGAGAGAAACTTTAATCTCATATATTTGAGAGATTTTTATATCATGAATTATGTACTAATTTGCATTGAAACAGTTGCTTTGTGAGAAATTGGGTTTTGACTAACAAGCTACTTTCATGTTCTCAAGCCACTACATCAGTCCCAAAAGACAGGACATATTAAACTGTATCTTTATGGATGTATATTGAGTGTTTTTTATAATAGTAAAACAAAACTACAAGGATTATGATTAACCCTAGCTGGAAGCTCAAACTTCTCACATATAAGCTATATACTTTATCTGATATGCCTCCTATAATATATCCCTTCATTTCATCATTATATGATAAAATATCATTATAATAACTGAAAGCTTCACTTTTGAGAAGGCAAAGACATCAGTAAATGTGCTTTTAAAGTACCAAGATGCATACCTACTGATATACCTTGAAGTGTTATCCCACAATCAGTGTGCTGCCCCAGAGCCTAGTGATACAGATTCATCAGTGTGGCCTTTTCTTTTTTCCTTTTTTAAAAGTTGGGATAGGGTAGGGCTTACGGGTAAGATTTTGTTCAAGAAAAATTACACCATTTTGGGTTTTTTTGAGACAGAGTCTTGCCATGCTGCCCAGGCTGGAGTTGCAGTGGCTGTTCACAGGTGCAATTATATTAATAGGTCACTGCATCCTCAGATGCCTGGGCTCAAGCATTTCTCCTGCCTCAGCTTTCTGAGTAGCTGGGTCTACAGGATTGCGTCACCATGCCTGGCTCACAGTTGTACCATTTAAAAAGTTACTTTAAAAATGAGAAAGACTCAATCCACAGGCCCTGCCTATGGGTCTTTTTGATCTTACATTTTTATTTCATCCACAGTAGATTCTTGTGACCTTTGCTTTTCTCATCAGCAGTATCACTCTGAATTGTCGCCCTACGTCTCCTATAGCCTTTCAGCTTTCCAGCAAAGTTGCCACCATCACCAGTTCCTTTCCCATTTAAAAAGCTACATTACATGCTCTTTTAGTTCTATGAGTGAGAGCAACTCAAACTATGATTTATTCATCAATGTTTATTGAGCAACTACTGTTCACTTGGCAGTGAAAGGAATGCAGTGCACAAAACAGTGTTTGTTTTCATGGATAATACATTCCAGTGTGGAGAGGCAGACAAACACAAAGAAATAAGGCAGAATTATGTTTGAGGGTAATATTCATGAAAAAACATCCCTTTTACTGCTTTTCTTCTGGATATTATAGAGACTTAATCTACTTCTAAGTGTTAGAAGAATGCATGTTATTAATTCAACCCTGTTTAACCAGTTGTCCTTAGGGAGGATATTTGTCACTAGTATATGAAGATCTGCTGTCTGCTTATAATCTGAGCTTTAATAACTAGGTAACTATTTCTACCCAAATATCCTGTCTTCAACCCTTTCTGGTGCCTCAAATTTCCTAAACACTAACATAATTTTCCAGTAAAATGGCACAAGCAAAAGTCAGTATTCATTGAGTTCTGTTCCTGGCTAATGAGCACCTCAGAGGACACCTACAGGTGCCATAATTTTTTTCTGATTTTTTTAGTTGAATTCTGTCACAGTCTTTCACATTTTGACCTACACCATGGCCGTTGATAATTGTGAAATATCTTTTGAAAAGAGTTAAAATCTGTAATGGCCTACAGGGACTTAGAAGAGCTTATTATTCTCTAAGCCCTCTTAGCGCAGCTGGCAGCGCGTTAGTCTCATAATCTGAAGAAGAGCTTATTATTCTCATGAGGATAAATAGCTCATTAGTGACAGGATATGTGATGCCTCAAACATAAAGTAAAAGTCTGTATTTACCTTCTTCAGCATATCATTTAACGCACACAGTACACTTACAAATGAACAACATTATCATGTTTATGTGCCAGACAAAAAAGAAAAACTTATTAGGACAAAAGGCGTTTGTCCATTTGCAACTATATTTTTCCAGTTTTAAGAACATCCTCTTTTCCCCTTCAGATCTCCTGGAAACCCATGATTAATCCATGATAACATGTTTATAGTTGTGTTGTTTTGTTTCGTTTGAGACAGGATCTCATTCTGTTGCCTAGGCTGGAGTGCAGTGGCATGATCTTAGCTCACTGCAACCTCTGCCTCATGGGTTCAAGTTATTCTCCTGCCTCAGCCTCCTCAGTAACGGGGACTACAGGTGTGCAACACCACGCCTGGCTAATTTTTGTACTTTTAGTAGAGATGGGGTTTCACCATGTTGGCCAGGCTGGTCTCAAACTCCTGACTTCAGGTGATCCACCCGACTTGGCCTCCCAAAGTGCTAGGGTTACAGGCATGAGCCACCATGCCCAGCCATGTTTATGGTTTTACTAAGCCTTTTGAACACAGCCATCATGTTCGATGTCCAGGTCGTGCTGCAAAGTCCTGATTTTGAGGCATCAGATATCCTGAATTATGTAGATGCTATTTGTATGTAGGTTAAATATCCCTTCTCCAAAATGCTTGGGACCAGAAGTGTTTTGTATTTCAAATATTTTCAGATTTTAGAGTATTTGCATTATACTTACCAGTTGAGCATCCCTAATCAGAAATCTGAAATACTCCAATGAGTATTTCCTTTGAACATCATGTAGAACATTAAAAAAGTTTTGGATTTTGGAGCATTTCACATTTCAGATTTTTGGATTGAGAATACTCAACCTGTAACTGGTATAGCCAAAGAGGAGATATTTTCTAAGTATTCTTAGAAATAGTGGCATGAATTTTCCTCTGGTTCATTCAAGTTTCATGTTATGACCTAAGTGTAAAATCTTCAAATCTCTTGAATAAAGCATTCACTCGTGCACATCTGAATTCTCTTTATCCTTATAGGAAGGAAGAATCAACAAAAGATGGAGAGTATTCAGGAAGTAACAGTAAGCTACTTTTCCCCCAAAGAGCTTTCCTCCCGTCAGACCTGGCAACAAAGTGCAGGTGGGTTAATCAGGTGTCAAGATTTCCTGAAAGTTTTTCAAGGGAAGAATTCTCAGTTGCAAGAACAAGGTAATTCCCTCGGCCAGGTTTGGGCAGGAATACCAGTTCAGATTTCTGAAGATAAGAACTATATATTCACTCATATAGGGAATGGCTCCAATTATATAAAAAGTCAAGGGTATCCATCTTGGAGGGCACATCATTCTTGGAGGAAAATGTATCTGAAAGAGTCACATAATTATCAGTGTAGATGTCAGCAAATTTCCATGAAAAATCATTTCTGTAAGTGTGACAGTGTCAGTTGGCTCTCACATCACAATGATAAACTGGAAGTACACAGAAAAGAAAACTACAGCTGCCATGACTGTGGAGAAGATATCATGAAGGTATCATTACTTAATCAGGAGTCAATTCAAACAGAGGAGAAGCCCTATCCATGTACTGGGTATAGAAAAGCCTTCAGTAATGACTCCAGCTCTGAGGTTCATCAGCAGTTCCACTTGGAAGGGAAGCCCTATACATACAGTTCATGTGGAAAGGGCTGTAATTATAGTTCACTTCTTCATATTCATCAAAATATTGAGAGAGAAGATGATATTGAGAATTCACATCTGAAATCCTATCAGAGAGTGCATACAGAGGAGAAACCATGCAAATGTGGTGAATATGGTGAGAACTTCAATCACTGTTCCCCTCTTAACACTTATGAACTTATCCACACAGGTGAGATGTCCTATAGGCACAACATTTATGAGAAAGCCTTCAGTCATAGCTTAGACCTTAATAGTATTTTTAGGGTCCATACTAGGGATGAACCCCATGAATATGAGGAAAATGAGAATGTCTTTAATCAGAGTTCATGTCTTCAAGTCCATCAAAAAATCCACACTGAAGAGAAACTATACACAGATATAGAGTATGGAAAGAGTTTCATTTGTAGTTCAAATCTTGACATTCAGCATAGGGTTCATATGGAAGAGAATTCATATAATTCTGAGGAGTGTGGTAATGGCTTCAGTCTGGCCTCACATTTTCAGGACCTTCAGATAGTCCACACTAAGGAACAACCATATAAACGCTATGTGTGTAGTAACAGCTTCAGCCATAATTTATATCTTCAAGGTCATCCAAAAATTCACATTGGAGAGAAACCACGTAAGGAGCATGGGAATGGCTTCAACTGGAGCTCAAAACTTAAAGATCATCAGAGAGTCCACACTGGACAGAAGCCATACAAATGCAATATATGCGGCAAAGGTTTCAATCATAGATCAGTTCTGAATGTTCATCAGAGAGTCCACACAGGAGAGAAACCTTATAAATGCGAGGAATGTGATAAGGGATTCAGTCGGAGTTCATATCTTCAAGCCCATCAGAGAGTCCACACTGGAGAAAAACCTTATAAATGTGAGGAATGTGGGAAGGGGTTCAGTCGAAATTCATACCTTCAAGGCCATCAGAGAGTTCACACTGGAGAAAAACCATACAAGTGTGAGGAGTGTGGGAAGGGCTTCAGTCGGAGTTCACACCTTCAAGGCCATCAGAGAGTCCACACTGGAGAAAAACCATTCAAATGTGAGGAATGTGGGAAGGGGTTCAGTTGGAGCTTTAATCTTCAAATTCATCAGAGGGTTCACACAGGAGAAAAACCCTATAAATGTGAAGAATGTGGTAAAGGCTTCAGTAAGGCCTCAACACTTTTGGCCCATCAGAGGGTCCACACGGGAGAGAAGCCATACCAATGTGATGAGTGTGGTAAGAGTTTCAGTCAGAGATCATACCTTCAGAGTCATCAGAGTGTCCATTCTGGAGAAAGACCATATATATGTGAGGTATGTGGAAAGGGCTTCAGTCAGAGAGCATATCTTCAAGGTCATCAGAGAGTCCACACTAGAGTGAAACCGTATAAATGTGAGATGTGTGGGAAGGGCTTTAGTCAGAGTTCGCGCCTTGAAGCACATCGGAGGGTTCACACAGGAGGGAAACCATACAAATGTGAGGTGTGTACAAAGGGTTTCAGTGAGAGTTCACGCCTTCAAGCACACCAAAGGGTTCATGTGGAAGGGAGACCCTATAAATGTGAACAGTGTGGTAAGGGTTTCAGTGGGTATTCAAGTCTTCAAGCCCATCACAGAGTCCACACAGGAGAGAAACCATACAAATGTGAGGTATGTGGAAAGGGCTTCAGTCAGAGATCAAATCTTCAGGCTCACCAGAGAGTCCACACAGGAGAGAAACCATACAAATGTGATGCATGTGGTAAGGGTTTCCGTTGGAGCTCAGGTCTTCTCATTCATCAAAGAGTCCATAGTAGTGATAAATTCTATAAAAGCGAAGACTATGGTAAGGACTACCCTTCATCAGAGAATCTACACAGAAATGAAGATTCTGTTTTGTTTTGAAGTCCTCAAATGGGAGCTGAAATTTTCCAGTCACTAGAGTTCTTTCAGTAGAAAAAGAATTTTTAAAAATTAAAATGTAATGTTGCTGCCCAACTTCAACATTCATAATGGCCAGGAGACCACACAACAGAGACATTTAATGAGAGGGGTTTCACGAGGGATTTTGTTAGAACTTTAACATCAGTCATTGCACAGGAGCTAAGGCTTATAAAATATGAGTATGGTCAGGAATTTAATAAAAGTACAGTGATGAGCATGCCTAAATCCATGTTCTCTAGAATGTAAGCTTGGTGAAAGAAGGGACTTTGTTCATTGCTAGTCTACAAAACTAGGACATTTCATAACGCAATGTAGGTGCTCAGTACTTTTTGCTAAATAACTAAAAGTATGTAAAGGTAAAAGGTTTGAAATTTTTAAGCGCATTTTTTAAAACTTAAAATGTATTTGGAGGAGAAATCCTGCAAGTAATCTTAATAAAATCATTTCAAGTAAATATTTGAAATGTAGAACAATAAGCATTATGATGATCTGAAATAACATTAATTTGATTGTAACCCTATTGGGGTTAGTTCCCACCCTTTGTTCCATCTTGAGCAGAGATGTGCTGCATTTCTTAACGTTTGGTCTCTATACATTATACCATCTGCTGAAGTTTAGCTTTGTGTGTGTGTATATGTACCCATGTGTGCACTTGAAATATCAGTACAAACTGATAAACAATGTTTCTGGTTAATGTTGCAAAAATGGAACACTGTATTTTACATAATTGATTTTCTACTCCTGCCCTGTGAATTAAGGCAGAGTTTTACTGTAATATTTGCAAGTATCCAAAATGGTTACTGATGACAAATACTTTTTAATAAATGTCAAAATCACAATACTTGGGGTTTTTTTATTCTCCATATTTCTCTAAAAGTCCATTTGATCTGACTGATTTCTAAATGTTGTAGCCTTTGTCCAATCCACACCTCCTTAAGCAGGGTCAAGTTTGAAAGATTTTAATTTTGTCAAGTTTTCCATTCCCATACTTCTCCCACTCACACACAAAAAAAGGGAAAATCTTGAATTTTTCTAAGCATATTTATCAATGTATTGACTAGCAGGATAGGGTTGCCATTTACTTGCTAGTGTCTGTCTTCAAGAATGATGCATTTTGTTGGCGAAAGTGAAAAATACAAGCTTGTCGTTCTATATATATCAAAATACTTATCAAGCCCCCCATATATATCGGAATGTAAAATGTGCATACCGATCTGGAAATCGTAGAACAGTAATTTATAATTAAGCAATTTTAGCAGTAAGAAAGGATTTTACAATGATAGTAATGTTTTAAGCTGGAAGTAAATGTCCATCAATATGAATTTGGGTAAGTTTCTGTATGTTCTATACTATGGATCTACAGAAAGTATGATTTAGCTCTAAAATGACAAGAATGGATCATGCATATTGTTTAGTAAAAACCTGGACTGTACGTTCATAATAGCCAGCTAATTTAAGCCTGTGTGCATGTATGTTCAAATATATGCTTATAGATAATGTGTGAAAGATTACTCATTATTATATCCACAGTAGTTTTCTCTGGAAAGAAATTTTTGGCTTAGTTTTTCTGTGCTTTATTTAAAAATATTTATAATGGACATTTACCAATTACACCAAAGCAGTAAACAGCTATTGATATATTATCTCTTATACTTAAGAACTCATGATATGATTGCTTGATTTCACTGTATGACATTATGACCAACAACAGTAAAGAATAAACCCCCTGAAGTTAGTTCTTAAAATTTCCTGGATTTTTAAGAATACAGATAAATTAGGTGTCCATAACTTTATATTTCTGTGAAATTTCCTTAGGTCTCAAAATCCATGTTGCCTAGGATGTCCTAGTGCAATCCAGTTTTATAAATTGATGCTCACGGCTTTTCCATCAGATTTCCCCTTGCTGGATGAATATGATGACCAAAGCACTGGCATAACTTGGCTTTTGAGGTGCTGGTTCAAGTTGCACAGTATCATCAGAAATCCAGGGCTTCTAAAGCATGTCTTTGATATCATCACTTACAGGGGAGAGCTCATGGTGGTTTTATCAATTGGAATGCTTTTAGTTCTAAGTAACAGAAAATTTAGAGTTGCCTAAACCAAAACTGTTTCTTAGTTCATATAAATGAAAAGATACAGATAGTGTAAGACTAGGGTCTGGGTAAGGTAGGGGGATTTTATATTGCTTTCTTTTAATTCTCTCACCTCTCTTTTCTTGTGAATTCTTGTCTTCATGTTGTTCACAATATAGCAGCATCACCTGCTTTCTTTTCACAGCCGAAGGAAGAGATATTCTGTACCATTTTAGTCCTGTGTGGTTCTGGCTCCCCAAAATGCATAGAATCTCTGACACTCCAATTCCCACTAACAACTGAGACTAACCAAGACAACAAAGGACACCGCTGGTCCCCTAGCCTATTCCTAGTGAGAAGCAACAGCAGGCTACCGTGAGAAAAGGGAAGAACATGGAGAATCTTTCTTGGCCCTGGTGCCAAGGGATGGCCAAAAGCTGAGGATGGGGCAACAGGAACATTGAGAAAACTTTAGCACTCCAGTTCCCACCCTAAGCACAAGGTAACACTAGAGAAATTTGAAGCCATGGTACAACTAAGATAAATATTGCAACAACAAAACCCAATTCCAGCTTGATTCCTGACCAGATTAATTCAGCACTCCACCCTGACATCCTAGCAGAACATGTGTGCCCAGTTTTAGGCAAAAAATAATGTTGTCTTCAGTCTCTACTGTTTTGTATATGTTATCTGGCATTTTATTTTAAAAACACAAGATCAAAAGTTGAGAACAATCTTCTGCCAATAGATAGCAGACCAATCAATAAAACCACACTTATAGATAACCATATTTTGGAACTATTAGGGAATTTTACATAACTGATTGATGTGCTGAAGACTCCAGTGAAAAGGGCAGATAATATGCATGAGCAGATAGGGATTTCAGTAAAATTTAATAGTCAAATGGGAAATGCTAGGAAAAGAAAATTTATGCTACTGCTTTTACTTTTATCAGAATGCTTTTGAAGGACTTATGAGTAGGCTCAACATAGTTGAGAAAAGTGTCAGAACTTGAATATAGGTCAATAGAAATCATGCAAACTAAAACACAAAAAGAAAAAGTGTGAAGAAAACAATACAAATAGGACAACATTGTAGGATCTAATATTTGCATACTTGGAAACCCAGGGTCGGGGGAGAGAATGGGAAGAAAAGATATTTAAAGAGATAATGGCTGAGAATTTTCCAAAAATAATAAGACTTCACCCAGATTCAAGAACGTCAGAATACCAAAGCAGTATTTTTTTAAAAAAAGAACAAAACTAGAGGTATTATTGCCCAATAGCTAAAAATGGATGGACAGTGCAAAGAAAATATTAATGGCAGACAGAGGAAAGGGACACATTACATATAAGAAGCAGAGTGAGAAAAACATCAGACTTATCATCACAAACCATGCAAGCAAAAGACAATGGAGTTACATCTTTAACATTTAGAAACAACAATAAAAAAAATGATCAATCAAAAATCTAAGCCTGGTGGAAAAAATCTTTCAGAAGGTATGCAAAATAAAGGCATTTTCAGATGAACAGAAGCTGATAGAATTCACTGTTAGCAGACCTGCACTGTAAGAGATATTTAGCATACCAGAAATAGACTTGGATCTACCAAAAGACATAACTATGAAAATAGTTATTTCAATCATTTTAAGTGTAAAATAATTTTTATTTTTATTACTCCAAAATATAATTCAGTAAAGCAAAATTAGGAATGAGGTTTTATGAATTTAGAGGACATACAAAAATAAGATGTTTCGTAAGAACACTGCAAAACAGGGAAGACAGAAATTAGAAATATACTAGCAGAAATTAGAGGTATATGGTTGTACTCTATACATGAATTGGCATAATATGATTTGAAGATAGACTGTGAAAAAATACAGGAATATATTTTAAGCCCTAGAGTAACCATTTAAGAATTTTTTAAAGTACATCTCATAAGTCAGTAGTAGAAATTAAATTCTGGTTCCAAAAATAGCAATGTAGAAGCAAGCTGGCTTCACTCCTTTCAATAGAAAACTAAAGACAAATATACAGCACCAAGATTATCACCAGCAATATCCCAGAACTCAAATAGAAGGAGACAGTTCCTGAGGACACAAATAAGTGGAAAAAACTGAGCAGATGATAAGAGAAGTGGACTTTCCTATCCACAGTGCCCTTCCCCCTAATCTGCCTGGTGCCAAGACTGTGGAAAATTTTCCCGTCTCACGGTTTCTATACTGGAAAAAGTTAATCAAGGTGGACAACCAGCCTCCTCCCCATCTTGGGTTTCCTGGCAGGAGACTTGTCCCTGACTCAACCCACAGAAAGCATCAGGAGTAACTGAAGAGAGAAATATCCCTGAGGACAGCCAGAGACAAAGGAGGGAGGTGGGAATACTGTCCCCGTCATGGAAACTCTACTCTGCAACTCAGCCAAAGGAGACAACAATCAGAGTGGCTGTTCAGCATCACTATACTGTAGGTCCCCAATCATGAACCACTAGCCAGCTTTCTTACAACTAGGATATCCCCTATGGGACCTACCCCTTTTGGGATGGGTGGCACTATGATTATTTACTAGAACTGAGGCAAACCTGGAGTTAATAGGCTATCTAGTACCAAAAAGGAGTCAGTAACCTAACGGGAAAGAAGAAAATCAACAGGTAAAATATAAAGAATCTCTAGGGAGCCATATCCAATGAAAAACAAAACCAGCCAGACAGAGAATAGTGGAATGTATAATCATTCGATGCAAAGACAGACACACATCCATAAGCAACAACAGCAAACGGGGAGCCATGGCATCCCACAAATGGACAAAGCAAGGAACCAGTGACTGATCCTAACAGGAAGACGATATGTGAACTCTCTGACCAAGACTTCATAAGAGCTGTTTTAAGGAAACTCAGTGATCTCCAAGATAACACAGAAAAGCAATTCAGAAATGTATCAGAGAACCTGAACAGAGAATAAAATAATTTTTTAAAATCAAACAGAAATCTTGGAACTGAGAAATATGTTTGCTGCACTGAAATATCCATTAGAGGCTCTCAACAGCAGAATGTATCAAGCAGAAGAAAGAATCAGTGAGCTCCAAGACAGGCTATTTGTGAATACACAGTCAGAAGAGAACAGAGAAAGAAAAAGAGCAAATATTGACTGAAAGAGATAGAAAATATCTCAAATGACCAAAACTAAGAATTACTGCTGTTCAGGAGGGAGTTGAGCAAGAGCAAGGAGTAGAAAGTATATTCAACAAAATAACAGAAAACTTTCCAAAATTTAAGAAAGAGATGAATATCCAGGTACAGGGAAATCATAGAACAGCAAACAGATTTGACCCAACTAAGACTACCCCAAAGCATATAATAAACTCTCATAGGTCAAGGAGAAAGAATTATAAAAGCAGCAAAAAAAAAAAAAAAAAAAAAAAAAAACAAGCAAATGACATATAAAGGAGCTCCAATTCATCTGGCAAAAGACTTCTTAACAGAAGCCATATAGGCCAGGAGGAAGTGCAGAGACATTTTCAAAGTGCTGAAATTAAAAAAAAAAAAAAACTATCATCCAAGAATACTGTATCTAGCAAAGTTATCCTTCAAATATGAAGGAGAGATAAAGTCTTTCCAAGATAAACAAAAGATGAGAGAATTTACCACAACAGACTTCTAAGAAAGGTTCAAGGGAGTTTCCAATGTGAAAGAAAAAGCTACTAATGTGCAAAATGAAAGCTTCTGAAACTGTAAAACCCAGTGGTAAAGTTAAGTACACAGACAAACCAAGAATAGTATTGTAATTGTGATGTGCAATCCACTCATAACTAGTATGTAGCCCAAAAGAAATCTATCAAAAAGAATAATAGCAAGAGCAATTTGTTAAGAAATAGGTAATATAAAAATATGTACATTGAGACAACCAAAAATCAAAAGGTGGGACGGATGGGAGTTAAGTGTAGAAGTGTTTCTTCTTTTCATTTTTCTTTGTTTCTATTACTTGTAATCTAAGATAAGTTGTCATCTCTTTAAAATAACCTGTTATATCTATAAAATGTATTTTGTAAGCTTTATGGTAAACACAATACAAAAACCTATAATAGATTCACTAAAAGTAAAAAGCAACAAATTAAAACATACTGTTAACCACAAAGGAAGACAGAAAAATGAAGACTCTTAAATATTTAAGCAAAAAAAGAAGACAGTAAGAAAGGAAGAAAGAAAGGGAGGAGTTACAAAACAACCAGAAAACAAGCAACAAATGGCAGTAGTAAGTCCTTACTAATCAATAATAACACTGAATGTAAATTGACTCATCCTCTGATTAAAAGACATAAAGTGGCTGAATGGATAGAGAAACAAGACCCAACTATATGCTGCCTGCAAGAAACCCACTTCACCTGTAAAGACACACATAGTCTAAAAGTGAAGGGGTGGAAAAAGACATAGCTTGCAACAGGCAACGAAAAAAGAGCAGGAGTAGCTATACTTGTATAAGATACAATATAGACTACAAATCAAAGACTGTAAAAAAGACAAATAAGGTCACTATAAAATGATTAATGGGTCAATTCAGCAAGATGATATAACCATTATAAATATCTATGCATTCAACACCAGAACTCCGAAGTTTATAAAGCAAACATTAATAGATCGAAAATAAGAGATATATGGCAAAATAATAATAGTAGGAGACTTTGACATCCCACTCTCAGCAATGGACAGATCATCCAGACAGAAAATCAACAAAGAAACATTGAAGTTAGGTCACACACTAGACCTAATAGACATAACTGACATTTACAGATCATTTCACCCAATTGCTGCAGAATAGATGTTCTTTTCATCAGTACATGGAACATTGTCCAGAATAGACTATATCTTAGGCCACAAAACAAATCTCAACAAATTAAAAAAAAAAGAGAGATTATATTCAGTATCTTTTCTGACCACAGTATAATTAAACTAGAAATCAATAACAAAAAGGACATTGGAAGCTTCACAAACAACATGGAAATTAAACAGCATGCTCCTGAATGACCAGTGAGGCAATGAAGAAATTAAGAAGGAAATTTAAACATTTTTTGAAACAAAGAAAATAGAAATACAACATGGCAAAATCTATGGGATACAGCCAAAGCAAAACTTAGAGGTTTATAGCAACAAACATATATCAAAAAGGTAAAAAGATTTCAAATAACAACCTAATGATGCACCTCAAGGAACTAAAAAAGTAAGAACAAACCAAATCCAAAATTAGTAGAAGAAAATAAATAAAGATCAGAGCAGAAATAAATAAAATTGATAATGAAAGAAGAATACAGAAGATAAATGAAAGAAAAGTTGGGATTTTAAAAAGATAAACAGAAATCATCAAACCTTTGGCTAAACTAACCAAGAAAGAAAGAAGATCCAAGTAAATAACATCAGAAATGAAAAAGGAGACTTAACAACTGAGACCACAAAAATAAGAATCATTAGAAATAAGAATCATTAGAGACTGTGATGAACAATGATACACTTTGGAAAACCTAGAAGTAATGAATAAATTCCTGGACACATGCAATCGACCACAGTTGAACTATGAAGAAATAGAAAACCTCGATAAACCAGTAACAAATAATGAAATTGAAGCCATAATAAAAAGTCGCCTATCAAGGAAAAACTCATGACCTAATGGTTTCACTGCTAAATTCTACCAAACATTTAGAGAACTAATACCAATTCTACTCAAACTCTTCACAAAAATTGAAGAGAAGGGAATAATTCCAAATTTATTCTATGGGGCCAACAGTATCCTGATACCAAAACCAGAAAAGGACACAATGGAAAAAAAAACTGCAGGACATTATCACTGGTGAACATAGATGCAAAAATTTTCAACAAAATACTAGCAAACTGAATTCAGCAACATATTAAAAAGATCATTCACCAACATATTAAAAAGATCATTCACCATGATCAAATGGGATTCATCCCAAGGATGCAAGGATGATCCAGTATATGCAAATTGATAAGTGTGATACGTCACACTAACAGAACCAAGAAGAAAAACCATCTGATTATTTTGATAGATGCTAAAAATAAACATTCAATATAATTTAACATCCCTTTATGATAAAAATCCTCATCAAACTGGGTGTAGAAGGAACATACCTCAGAATAATAAAAGTTATATATGACAAGCCCACAGCTAACATTGTGCTGACAGGGAAGAATTGAAGGCCTTTCCTCTAAGATCTTGAAAAAGACAAGGATGCCTAATCTCACCACCTTTATTCAATATAGATAGTACTGGAAATCCTGCATAGAACAATTAGGTGGGAGGAACACTGAGAAAACTTTAGCACTCCAGTTCCCAGAGAAATTAAAGGGCATCCAAATTGGAAAGGAAGAAGTCAAATTAGTCTTGTTGACAGATGACATGTTATTAAAAATGGAAAATACTAAAGACTATCAAAAACCATTAGAACTGATAAGAAAATTGAGTAATGTTGCAGGATACAAAATAAACATAAAAAATCAGTATTATTTATATATGCCAACAGTGAACAATCTGAAATCAAGAAAGCAATCCCATTTACAATAGCTACAAAGAATATACAATACCTAAGAGTGAGTTTAACCAAAGTAGTGAAAGAACTATCCAAGGAAAACTCTAAAACACTGATGAAAGAAATTGAAAAGGACACAAAAAATAGATAGCCCATGCTCATGGATTGGAATAATTAATATTGTCAAAATGACAATATTACTCAATGCAATTTACAGATTCAATGAAATTCCTATGAAAATACTAATGACAGGCCAGGCACAGTGGCTCATGCCTGTAATCCCAGCACTTTGGGAGGCCAAGGCAGACCAATCACGAGGTCAGGAGATTGAGACCATCCTGGCTAACATGGTGAAACCCTGTCTCTACTAAAAAATGCAAAAAATTAGCCGGGCATGGTGGCGGGCACCTGTAGTCCCAGCTACTTGGGAGGCTGAGGCAGGAGAATAGCGTGAACCTGGGAGGCAGAGCTTGCAGTGAGCCAAGATTGCGCCACTGCACTGTAGCCTGGGCGACAGAGCAAGACTCCTTCTCAAGAAAAATAATAGTGATAAATTTAATTTAATTTAATTTAATTTAATTTAAAAAAAGAAAATACTAATGACATTCTTCACTGAAATAGACAAAAACAATTCTAACATTTATATGGAACCACAGAAGATGCCATATAGCCAAAGGCAACTCTGAGCAAAAGTAAGAAAGCTGGAGGCAGCACACTATCTGACTTCAAAATATACTACAAAACAACAGCAACTGAAACAGCATAGTACTGGCATAAAAACAGACACATAGACCAATGGAAAAGAATAGAGAGCTCAAGTATAAATCCATGCATTTATAGTTAACTCATCTTTGACAAAGGCACCAAGAACATACAATGGAAGAAAGGTCAGTCTCTTCAATTAATAGTGCAGGGAAAACTGAATATATGCAAAAGAATGAAGCTAGACCCTTATCTCACCTTCACAAAAATCAGATCAAAATTGATTAAAGACTTAAATATAAGACCTAAAACTATAAAACTACTATTAATAGAAGAAAACATTGGGGAAATGATTCACAACATTGATATGGGCAAAGATTTCAGTAGCACCTCAAAAGCACAGGCAGCCAAAGTGAAAATTAACAAATTGGATTACATCAAGCTAAGAATCTTCTGCAGAGCAAGGGAAACAATTTAAAAAGTGAAGAGACAACCCACAGAATGGGAGAAAATATTTGCAAACTGACCATCTGACCAGGGATTAAGACCCAGAATATATAAGGAGCTCAAACAACTCAATAGCAAAAAAGCCAAATAATCAGATTTTTAATGGGCAACAGATCTGAATAGATGTTTTCAAAAGAAGACATACAAGTGACCAACAGGTATAAGGAAAAAAATGATCAATATCAGAGAAATCCAAATCAAAACCACAGTGAGATCTCATCTCACTCCAGTTAAAATTACTTTTATCAAAAATACAGGCAATAATGGATGATGGTGAGGGTGTGGCAAAAGGGGAATGCTTGTACACTGTTGGTGGGGATGTAAGTTGGTACAATCACTATGGAGAATAGTATGGAGGTTTCTTTAAAAACTAAAAATAGAACTACCATACAGTCCAGCAATTCCAGTACTGGGTATATATTCAAAGAAAGAAAATATATCAAAAAGACACCTGCAATCTCATGTTTATTGCAGCACTATGGACAATAGGCAAAATATGAAATCAACCTAACTGCCCATTAATGGATGAATTGTATATATGCACAATGGAATATTCTTCAGCCATAAAAAAGAATGAAATACCATCTTTCGCAGCAACATGGATGGAACCGGGAGTAATTATATTAAATGAAATAGGCCAAACACAGAAGGACAAATAACATATTCTCAATTATATATGGAAGCTAAAAAAAGTGGATCTCATGAAGATAGAGAGTAGATTGCTGGTTGCCAGAGGCTGGCAAGGGTAGTAGGGAGGAGGGATGAAGAGAAGTTGATTAATGGGTACAAAAATATGGTTTGATAGAAGAAATAAGACCTAGCAGTAGATTAGTAGGGTGACTATAGTTTACAGTAATCTATTGTATATTTCAAAATGGCTAGAAGAGAAGCATTAGAATGGTGCTAGCATAAAGAAAGGACACATATTTCAGGTGATGGATATTCCAAGTACACTGATTTGATTTTTACAAATTACATAAATGTATTAAATTATCATAAAAATAAGAAACAAAACAATAAACTGAGAAAAAAATTTAAATGACCTACAACCTAATTTTTAATGCCTGCATGGTATTCTTGTGTATTAATGTGTTATTTTTACTTAACCAATTTCTTACTATTGAAGGCCTGTTTACTGTTTTTCACTCTTCTAAACCACAATGCAATAAAAACCAGAGAAAAATAAGTTTCATCTCTTTATATTCATCATCTCCATAGAACATTTAAATGTGTGGTTGTTGAGTGAATAGACGTGTTTTAAATTTTATCTATATTGGCTCATTGTCCTGCCGAAAATGAAAATCCTCATATTCTCCAAGTCAAAAATAATGGATCACAACATCATGTGAGTAAAGTTTGTGATATGCCTGTCCTCTGTCTGCCAGAAGAAAACTTAGATCCTCTGAAGGAAGATTACATTATCTAGAGTCAACACCATTTTTTATACAAAATACCTGGCATTCAACAAAAATTAATGGGGCTTGCCAGAAAATTGGCCAAATGCCAAAACAAAAACAAAAGACAATATAAACATTCAAACTTGGGGAATGAGTAGATTCCTTAAGACTGCAGGCAAAAGAAACTGTACATAAGCATGATATTCTAATAGTTGAAACGGACTTCCAGATGATCCAGATATTGGAGTTAGCGGGCACAAACTTTAAAACAACTGATTAAAGAAAATAAATGAAAACTAAAAGTAATCACTTGGTTCTGTTTTTGAAAAGTTTATGCTTAGTGTGGCATTTAAAAGATCCATTTTTAAAAAATGGTTATATAAAAATTTAAAATCCTAGAAAGCTCAACACAATGACTGACATTAAGAATTTAACAGATGGGAGCCAGGCACGGTGGCTCACACCTGTAATCCCAGCACTTTGGGAGGCCAAGGCAGGCAGATCACGAGGTCAGGAGTTTGAGACCAGCCTGGCCAATATGGTGAAACCCCATCTCTACTAAAAATATTAAAAAATCAGCTGAGTGTGGTGGCTTGTGCCTGTAGTCCCAGCTACTAGGGAGGCTGAGGCAGGAGAATCGCTTGAACCTGGGAGGCGGAGGTTGCAGTGAACTGAGATCACGCCACTGCACTCCAGCCTGGTGACAGAGTGAGACTCCATCTCAAAAAAAAAATTAACAGATGGGATTAATAGCAGTTTAGATATGGCTAATATTTTGTCCTTATTTCTCACAGTTCTTAGTCTAGCTAAAGGCTTATGAACATTGCCATTTCAAAAAAAATCTTTCCATTTTATCCTCTGTATTGTTTTTATAGTTTCAATTTCATTTATTTCTGCTCTGATCTTTATTATTTCTTTCTTTTTACTAATTTTGGATTTGGTTTGTTTTGCTTTTTTAGTTCCCCTCACAGTCCTATAGCATTTTTAGCTCAGTAGAGTGGGAACTCCTTAAGAGTAAATATGGTGCTTTATACATTACAGGTGTACAGTAAATGTTTGCAAAGACAATGATGCCCTATAGAGGCCCAGAGTTAAGGTTTCAACAGAATTAAAAGTTACTTGTCTTACCATAAGTACTGCCAAAAACTAATAATGATTATTGAGAGTAAAAGCAAGAGTATGGCTATAGGAATCCACTCTGAGATCTCTCCAAACAACAATTCGAGTGCCTTCTATTTCAGACTGATTTGGGTCTAGGTAATGTAATTTCTTTTAGGGGTGTAAGAAAAGCATGGTTGATTTGATCCTAAAATCCTGAAAAGAGAGGTGGGAATTACAGAGGGTAGAGTTTAGAGATGTGAGGTGGAAGTCTGTGGAGGGCAAAAAGAGAGAAAAGGAAAGACTGATGGAAAATTGTATATGAGAAAGTTGTTTTCCAAAAGAGTTGCGCCATTTTACATTCCAGCCAACAATGTATGGCAGTTCGTTTCTCTGTATCCTTGCTAACCCTCGTTATTACTTGTCTTTTTCATTACAGGAGTTCTAGTGGGTGTGAAGTGGTATCACGTTGCAATTTTTATTTGCATTTCCCTAATGAAATTATATTGAGCGTGTTTTCATGTGCTATTTAGCTGGTTCATCCCACCAAACCCATGGCTGGAATTGCCCCAAAAGCAGTGGCAGGGGAGTTCCCACCATGGAGTACCCCCAAACCATCCTGAGATGGGGCTGGTTGGGATTCTAAAGAAAGAAACACTAAATGCCAGTGTGATCAGTCCAAAACATTTAGTAGTGGAACTTAAAGAGGGCTGCAAGCAATTCTTGTGATGGACAGTGAAAGAAAAGGGTCATTCTACCTAGGTATGTTCACAGCGAGGGAATCAGGGTATGGAGTTTTTATGGGGGCTTAAGGAATTTGGTCCAGGGCCAGGGCCAGTTTCTTTCAGTATTTTGGGCAACAACCTAGATGCCTTTATCAATGTCTGGGAATGTTTAAGGCCCCGGTTTGGGTTCAAGCCTGCTGGAAAAAAAATGTGCAGCTGGCTGGGTCACAGAGTGGTCAAGGCACTCTGTGATTTTTGGTCAGGACACAGAAAGAGAGGGTAACTGGAGGACCCTACATTAGCCATTTGTGTGTACCGGACACTTCTTTGGAGGACTACCTGTTGAAATTCTTTGCCCATTTTAAGTTGGATCTTTTCTTCTCATTGTCTTCCACATGCTAAATATTATATAACAGTCTCCTCCATTGTTGTCTGTAATGTAAAACCATATTGGGAGGGAGATCCTGGGAAATGGGTAGATGCTTGCTTTTCTTCTTCAATACAGACAAGTTGTTAGAGGGGGTTGTTGTGATGCCAAGTCAATAATAACAGCCAACCCAACACAGGGATCTAAGGGTTTGAAGAATAGCAAGAGTCTTAACATTAGAATCCATACACGTGTGTGTTCAGACCCTTTATGTGATACTGCAGTTAGGACTATGGTAAGGTTTTACCTCCTTGGAGACAACAAAAGTGCCCACACAGCTGAATATCCCTATCAGCGATATGTGACATAAATAATGTTTCACTGTGTGAACAAAACCAAAGGATTAGAAATCAGAGAGAGGCAACCCCAACAATACATATTGCAAAAAATAAAAAATATATATAATAGAAAAAATATCATAATGAACAGGCAAGTCACTTAAATAAAAGTTCAAATTGATAGTGAAAATATGTAAAGGTACCCAACCATGTTAGTAACTAGGGAAGTCAAAACTACAGCCAGATCTATTTTTATCCCTTAAGGTTGTCAAAGTTTTTTCTTTTTTTTCTTTCTTTTTTTTTTTTTTTTGAGACAATCTCACTCTCTTGCCCAGGCTGGAGTGCAGTGGCATGGTCTCGGCTCATTGCAATCTCCACCTCCCAGGTACAAGTGATTCTCATGTCTCAGCTTCCCAAGTAGCTGGGATTACCGTCATGCACCACCACACCTGGCTAACTTTTTTATTTTTAGTACAGATGGGGTTTCACCGTGTTGGCCAGGCTGGTCTCGAACTTCTGACCTCAGGTGATCTGCCCACCTCGGCCTCCCAAAGTGCTGGGATTACAGGTGTGAACCACTGCACCCTGCCAGGTTGTCTCAATTTTTTCAAGAAAATGTGGTGAATTTGCTACTCTCATAAACTGCTTGTGGGAGTGGAAACTAGTGCAATTGCTTTGAGGAATTAATTAGCAGTAGCTATCAAATGTTTAAATATGCTTACCACATGACCTAGCAATTGCAATTTTTCTGCCTCTCCCATGGAGAATGGTCACACCTCATAGGAGGGCATGAATGAGACGTTTATTGCAGCTTTGTTGTAATAGTGGAAAAATTGAAAACAATTTCTGTGTCTTTCATATAAACTGTATAAGCACATTTGCAAAATATTATATAGCATGTAAGATGAATGATGTTCTTTAAGTCTTACAAGGACACACATTCTACACATTTAAATACATATAAAAGAGTCCAGAATAAATAAATAAAATACAGAATAAAGAGTCCAGAATAAATAAAAATACAATAAAACAAACAAACAAAAAAGAGTCCATAAGAATAGATACTAAACTGATAATGGTCTCTACCTTAAAGACAGGGAATGGAGAAGAGTACTGGGCAGCTGTGGTGGTCGAAGGAGATTTTAGCTGTTATCTTTAGTATTATTTAAAAGAAAATAGTAGATTATGATTTTATAATTTAAAAATATTAATACTAATAATATCATTACTACTAATAGGGGAAATTGAGTTAACAAATACCCAGTGATATCATAGAAGTGGAAAATGCAATTTCTCAATCCAGAATACGTGGAAGAAGTATAGCTTAGCTAAGCGTGGTACCAAGAGAAATATGCACTGACTGGGTGATGCACCAAAGATTAGCAGCCTTTAGAGAAAGGAGCCTGCTGCCCAAAGAGAAGCATTGTTGCGGGTTGCATTCCCTGGGAAGTAGACTCTGAAATGGACAGTAGCACTCAGGTGGTGCAAATGTATTAGAAATATCAAGAAAAGTATAATTTGAAGTGGAGCCTGAAGATGTGACAAAATGGCTACAATTTCATGATAAAACTTGAAAGGATAAGGAGTTGTTTCTTAAGGATGAACAAAGAAAGTGGTTTCATGAAATGGAATCTACTTTTAGTGAAGATGCTGTGACCACTGTTAAAATGACAACAAAGGATTTCGAATATGATGTAAACCTAGGTGATAAAGCAGTGGCAGGGTTTGAGAAGACTGACTCCAATTTTGAGAGATGTTCTACTTTGGGTAAAATGCTATCAAACACCGTCACATGCTACAGAGAAATCTTTCATGAAAGGAAGAGTCCATCACGGGGGCAAACTTCATTGTTGTCTTATTTTAAGAAATTTCCACAGCCACCCCAGCCTTCAGCAACTACCACCCTGATCAGTCAGCAGCCATAAACATCAAGGGAAGACCTTCCTCCAGATAAAAGATTACACAACTCACAGAAGGCTCAAATGATTGTTAGCATTTTTTATCAACAAAGTATTTTTAAATTAAGGTATCTACATTGCTTTTTTTTTTTTTTTTTTTTTTTTTTGAGACAGAGTCTCACTCTGTCACCCAGGCTGGCACGATCTTGGCTCCCTGCAACCTCCGCCTCCCGGGTTCACGCCATTCTCCTGCCTCAGCCTCCCGAGTAGCTGGGACTATAGGCGCCTGCCACCACGCCCGGCTAATTTTTTTGTATTTTTAGTAGAGACGGGGTTTCACCGTGTTAGCCAGGATGGTCTCTATCTCCTGACCTCGTGATCCACCCGTCTTGGCCTCCCAAAGTGCTGGGATTACAGGCATGAGCCACTAGACATAATGCTATTACACAGGTAAATGGTATGTTTACAGTATAGTATAAACATAACTTTTATGTGCAATAAGAAACCAAAAAATTCATGTGACTCACTTTATTGAGATACTCATTTTATTGCAGTGGTCTGGACCCAAACCTGCAATATCTCCCAGGTATGCACATATTAAGAAAACTTTGATCAAGTAAGGTGGTCATGCCTGTAATCCTCTGCACTTTGGAAGGCTGAGGTGGGAGGATTAAGATTGCTTGAGGCTGAGAGTTAGAGACCAGCCTAGGCCACATAGGAAGACCTCATTTCTACCAAAAAAAAAAGTTAAAAAATGATCCAGGCATGGTGGTACATGCCTGTAGTCCTAGCTACTCAAGAGGCTGAAGCAGGAGGATTACTTGAGCCCAGGAGTTTAAAATTACAGTGAGCTATGATGATTTCACCAGTGCGCTCCAAGGTAGGCAACAGAATGAGACCCTGTCTCTAAACAAAATACTTTCTGCCCTGAGGTTCGTAAAGGTATTAGCCCATATTATTAAGTGGTGTAATTACTTCTGAAACTAATTACTCAGTGTTAGGTCAAACTTCACAGTTCAAGTGCACAGTGCTCAGAAGACTTTTTTCATTCCAAACTGCAAGTTCAAGGGTTTCCATGCCACCCTCACTTCTGACCAGCTGACCACTTCTGATCACTAACCTCTCAGGTTTAACAATTTACTGAAACAACTCACAGAACCCAGGAAAATTATATTTATTAACTACAGCTTTATTATTAAAAAAAAAAAGGATACAAATCAAAACCAACCAAAGGTAGAAACGCATAGGACAAGGTCTGGGAGGGTTCCAGATGAAAAATTCCATGGTTCTTTCTCTTGGGGTCAGGACACATTACCCTCCCAGCACATAGCTGTATGAGAATACTTGCCAACCATAGAAGTCTATCCAAGCTTGTGTTCATAGATTTTATTGGGGCTTTATTACGTAGGTATGACTGATTGAACTGACATGTAACTCAGTGTCTAGCCCCCATCCTCTACACAGGCTGGTGTTATTTGGCTCATAGTCCCAAACTTCAAATCACATGATCGATCTGTCTGGTGTAACTAGCACCTATCTGAAGTAATCTCACTAGCATAACTTATCCAGAGGCCCATCATGTGTCACCTCTTTAGCACAATCTGTCAGGTATAGTGTGAGTGGCCCACCGTGAATAACAAAGAGCTTCTATAATTCAGGATATTTTAAGAGTTTAGATGCCACCTCCCAGGAACTAGGGACAGAGGCCAGAAAAGTTGGAGAAATCCGGAATGTGTAATATCATAACAACTGACCTAATTCCTTCAACAGGTCAGGGTCTGAAACAAAGGAGTGATGTAGTAGTGTTCAATAATAAATACACCTAAGTAGATAAATAAAATGAATGGGCTAGATATTGATTTGACAAACCAGTCATGAGATATTTTTAGGTAATCAGGAAAATTTTAATAGAGATTGGGTATGTAAAGGAAAATAAACATCTCAGGATCCTCCAAACTTAGGCAAGTGTGGAGATTAAGCCCTGGAGTTCAGTCATTGCAATACCCTCTTCCAAACGAACAGCTGTGCATTAGCCAGATCCCCATGAAAGGTGAAAAGCCTCAGGTATTTGGGAAGAGCTTTCCCCATAGATTACTCATAAGTAAAATTTTTGCTGACCTCTCATAAACAGGCACATGCCAATTGTTGCTTTAGTTCTACAATCTAAGTCTAGCTCCTAAAACTCCACACTGATCATGAAAGAGCCTTTGCAAAAATGATGACAGTGGAGAAATCTGACATAAGTGACTCCATCTTGGTTCTCACCCCACAAGCTGTACTTGCTCATTCCTGTGCATAGGCCAAGCTAACTATGGGAAGAATTCAGTTTAGAGTTTAACTTTAAAACAAAGATGGGGCCGGGCGCGGTGGCTCACGCCTGTAATCCCAGCACTTTGGGAGGCCGAGGCGGGCGGATCACGAGGTCAGGAGATCGAGACCATCCCGGCTAAAACGGTGAAACCCCGTCTCTACTAAAAATACAAAAAATTAGCCGGGCGTAGTGGCGGGCGCCTGTAGTCCCAGCTACTTTGGGAGGCTGAGGCAGGAGAATGGCGTGAACCCGGGAGGCGGAGCTTGCAGTGAGCCGAGATCCCGCCACTGCACTCCAGCCTGGGCGACAGAGCGAGACTCCGTCTGAAAAAAAAAAAAAAAAAAAACAAAGATGGTAAAAGTCCCCTCCTGGAACTAACCCCTTCCTTGCTTAGGGACTGAAACTGCCTTCGTAAAGCTAACAAATTGTCCACAAGGAGTCACAAAGCTGTAAGTCACAAGATTTGTAACCTCCTTAATTGCTCCTATAGATAACGTCACTACTGTAAAACCTAGAACTGGTGCCTGAGGTATTTTTCAAACCCTGCATTCTGATGGACCAGATGATGTCACCCAGACCAGTATCCCATACCAAGAAACTGACCTCCACCCTGGAACTAACTCAGTGCACGAAGACAGCTTCGACCCCTTATGATTTCATTCCCAACTAAATCAATCAGTATTCCTCATTCCCTAGCCCCTGCCCACCAAACTATCCTTGAAAAATCCCAGCCTTTGAATTCTCAGGGAAACAGATTTGAGATATCTCCCATTCTTCTATTTGGCTGGCCCTGCAATTATTAAACTATTTATTTGCTTCAAAACCTGCTGTCCTCAGCGCACTGGCTTTTCTAGGCAGTAAGAAGAACCCTCGGTGATTACAATAATGTTGATTACAAGTTTATCTTCCCAGGTGCAGAACAAAGTCAAGACTCATTCCTCCACCTACTCTCCTCTACCTCCACATACATCTACATAATTGACTCTTCTTTTACTCCCTTTTCCTTTTAAGACATTCACCTTATTTATGTAAAAATGTAGATTTATTGGGGACTAACTAAAGTCTCACAAGAATGTAACTATTCGCCTAACTGCATACCTACCCCTCTTCCTATATCCCTTCCCCACCCCTTTAAGGAAATTGACAAATACTAAACCTCCCGAAAACCTCTTTGGAAAGATAGTCACAGATGTGTCTGTGGCTTTGTTTTTCCCCGGCAGGTCCTACAGCTGGCTTAGTAAACCTCAATGACTGAGACTTATGCCTGAGTCACTCATTTTGGTTGTCAAGTATTAGGAAATACTAAGAAATAACTGGTATTTTGTTCAGTGTGATAATAGTATTGTGGTTTTGAAAGAAAATATTTTTATTTTAAAATATATTTAGCAAAGCATTTTGAGGTGAAAAGACATAATTACAGGAATTTGCTTTAGAATTGTAACTAAAAAAACAGTGATAGATGAATTAAATAGGCTAAACAGTGTTAATTATTGAATTTGGGATATCAGTATATAGAGTTCATTTTACTATTCTCTCTACTTCTATATATGTTTGAAAACTTTGATAATAAAATGTAACAAACTACAGCTGACCTTTGAACAAAACAGGTTTGAACTCTGCAGTTCCACTTATACATACATTGTATTCTGCTTTTGCCATCCCTGACACAGCAAGACCAACCCCTTCTCTTCCTTGTTCTCCTCAGCCTATTCAACTCAGTGAAGATGATGAGGACGAAGATCTTTGTGATGATCTGCTTAATAAATAGCAAAAAATACTTTCTCTTCCTTATGATTTTCTTAATAACATTTTATTTTCTCTAGCTTTATTGTAAGAATACAGTCCAACCAAGGCGGGCAGATCACCTGAGGTCGGGAGTTCGAGACCAGCCTGACCAACATGGAGAAACCCCGTCTCTAAAAAAAAAAAAAAAATACAAAATTAGCTGAGCATGATAGTTTATGCCTGTAATCCCAGCTACTCGGGAGGCTGAGGCAGGAGAATTGCTTGAACCCGGGAGGTGCCATTACACTCCAGCCTGTGCAACAAGAGCAAGACTCTGTCTCAAAAAACAAAACAAAAAACATATATATATATACACATATATATGTTAATTGTTTATGTTATTGGTAAGGCTTCTGGTCAACAGGTTATTGGTAGTTAAGTAAGTTAAGTTTTGGGGGAGTCAAAACTTACAGGTAGATTTTTCAACTGCCCAGGGGTCAGCTCCCCTAACCCTTGTGTTTTTCAATGGTCACCTGTATATTTATACCTGCCTAGGAGAAAAATCACGGCTTCTTTGTTTCATCTAGTTTATTCAACCATAAGACACTTAATTTCATTTATGTCAGGATCAGGATCAAAGTATGTAATGAAATATTTGAAGCCGAACACAAATTAGAAAACAATTCAAGATTTTACACATGCCCATATTACAACGTTGTCTTAGATTCCCGGCCAATGGAGCTGCTTTTGTTTGCCATAACAGTACACATTTAAAATAAATGAAGTTCAAGATATTTCTCTGGCTTAATATTTATATTGCCTTTTTGTGGGTTCTTAGTATATTAGAACGAATAGCACATTAAACAAAACACTGTCATGAGCCCTTAGGTACCTTGAGGAATAATGGAGGGAAAAGAGTCAAACACTTTACTCCCTTCTCTCCTTGTCACCGACCCCTAAATATACACAACTTGGACACTAAGGACTAAAACTCCATCCTCTTTCCCTGCCCCTCACTGATACGGAAGAGGGGAATGGAAGTGCTGGAGGGGAGAAGGGTGTGGTCCCTGACTAGGGCTCTACCCCCAGGCCTGTGGCCACGGACCTAGGTGAGGACAGGCATTCCTGCCTTTGTGCCCAAATATTGCATTTCCCAAGACCACCCTGGCCCACCACGCCCCCATCCTGTGCCTATAAAAACCCTGATACCCTAGCAGGCAGAGACACAAGCTGCTGGACGTTGAGAGGAGAGCATTGGCGGACACACAAACAGCTGGCTGTCGAGAGGCTGTCGAGGGGAGCGGGTCGGCAAAAGAGCACACTGAAGAGACCGGCAGGCCAGCAGGCCATTAACCGGTGGAATAACGCAGTTTGGCCTGGGTAGTCGGAGGAGCGCCCAGGCCGCTGAGAGGCTGACTCCAGGCGAAAACCATCTCCCTTCTGGCTCCCCCTTCTGCTGAGAGCTACTTACAAATCGTTCTCCAAGGTTTCTCCAATCCTTGCACTCTTTCTCCAAGCCTATGTGTGATGCGATTCTTCTGGTACACCAAGGCAAGAACCTCTGGGATACAGAAAGCCCTCTCTTGCTTGCGATAAGTCAGGGGTCTAATTGAGCTAACACAAGCCTCCTACAGATGGCTGAACTAAAAAAGCACCCTATAACACACGCCCACTGGGGCTTCAGGAGCTGTAAACATTCACCCCTAGACACTGCCGTGGGGTTGGAGCCCTACAACCTGCCCGTGTGCATGCTCCCCTAGAGGTTTGAGCGGCTGGGCACGAAGAAGCGAGCCACACCCCATCACATGCCCTGGGAGAGGGAGAAGTGAACTTTTCCCGTTTCATCACAATTTACTTTCGGCACTAACATGATTGTTCAGCTGTCTTCATCAGCAGGCCTTTATTCCAGGAGATTCCTGCCCAAGCAAACTGTTTAATTGTTCATTATGGGAACTTCCACAGAGACCCATCAAATTTTCAATCTCTTCCAAAGAAAGTGTCAATAGATTGCAATTTAAGATTCTTTGCTTCAAAAATCCTTGCTATATCCACCAATCCTGGACTGTAGTATCATGATCATTATGCAATACTAATAAAATCCCTTGCATTGAAAGACCCGCCTTAAACATCCAGTTCTCAATCAGTTCCAACCTTGCCTTGACACTTTGCTCTGTGAAGGTGCCAACGCTCCGTCGAAGTGTTGTTCTCCATTACTGCAATCAACAATAAATTCTGTTTTTTGTCTTATCAACAGGTTGAGTTGATGATATTTGGGGAGCCGGCATTTGACACAAGTTTGAGATCTGGTGTTCCTTAACGTTCAGCGTCCATCGGAGCTCAGCCTAAGTCACTTTTACGCTTCCCATTTTAGCCTACCCTCTGCTTCTGCGAAAAATTTTGGTTTCTAACTTATTTTAATAATACAAGCTGCACTTTTCATTTTTATATGTCATCACTTTAAAAATTTTACAATTATTTTCTCATGAGCTTTTAAAAATGAATAAAACAAAAACGAATCTCACAGTAGTAGCACCAGAGAAGTGGCTCAAACCCAACCGGCTTGAGTCAAAACAAAGCCCAGCTGGTGGGAAGCGCTGCCCTTGGAGCATTCTGGGAACTGTAGTCCAGGAGTGAGAGAACTCTGAGACGCTTCCGCTTAGGAATTCTGGGAAGTGGAGTCCACGAACCGTGGGCACTCGGAGGCACTTCCGCTCCAGGAAGGCGAGGTCGGATCTGAGATATCTCCCAGGGAGGTGAGTCAGCTCCGGGTCTCCAAGACTTCTCCGAGCCCTCTTTGCCTAGGCGTGGGGCCAGCAATGAACCCGTCCTTGGCTTGGGGAAGAGAAGCCGCGGCCAGCGCTGGAGGGCGGGGTTGGGAGGCTGCGGGAGTTTGCGTCCCCTCGGCAGAACCTCTTGCGTGGGAGGCGGGCTCGCGTCGTCCTTCGAGGTTGAGGGTCTGCTGCCCTAGCCGTCCTCACGCACCTACCAGCCAGTCCTGCCTGCTCCTCGCAGTAAAATATTGGGCAAGTTACTTAATCTCTCCTTGTCTCAGTTTCCTCGTGCCTGTAAAGGGTTAGTGCGTTCCCAGTGATGTTCTTGTGAGAATTAAATGAGGTTTTATAGAAATAAGCTTAAAACCAGTGCATAGGAAAATGTTGGATGCCACCGTTAATTCTGTTATAATACTGAAAAAGACGCCTGTTGTTTGGAAACTCCTCTGAGTCTAGGAGATCCAGCTACGGAGCCGCTGTCCCTTCTCTAATCCTTGCCTGATGTGGGGCCGTTCCTGGATTCTTGGACTTTTCTAGCCTCTTGTTTAGGAGACAGGAATTAGTTCCAGCGGAGCCTGGGGAATGTCCTGTGTGTTTTATCTCAGATAAGCGATCGTCATTACGGATTTGCAGAGTGCCAGAGGTGTCCTGAGGCCCTAATAAATGTTCAGTATAATGTGGTTATAACCAATAATCCCGTGTGGTTAACTTAAGTGTAACACCATTTCTTAGAGAGTTTTAGGTTTTTATTAGTCATTGCTTTCATGCATGTGGAAAAAGAGACTTTCTTGAGGCTCCTCCAGCTTAGTAACATTTGCAAGTAATTACATCTGTTGGAGGAAAAAAAAACCTGTGGCAGTTTAACTATCATTACCAACGGAACTAATTATGTTAGACAACCAATCACAGTTACAGACTTTTCTGAGGGTAATGGTAACTCACAGGACAGAGCAATTATTTTTGAGTTCTGGGTTTCTTAAAAGATTCATTTTCTAGAAAGCATACTCAAAAGGGCAGTTTTATGAAGCATAATAGCACTTGCTTGTCAGAAGCTGCAGGAAATAGAGAATACAGGCATTATTATTGTCCCCATTCACAGGTAACTGAATTAAGGCACAGAGAGATTAATAATTCGCTTAAGGTTTATACTGCTGATCAGTTGAAAATAGGTAGAAATGCCAAAATTTGAAGCCAGGCATTTTGGCTCTGTTACATTCCCCTGCCTGTCTGTGTCTCATTTCCTTGGAAACTAAAGTTCAGAAGGAGTACACAGAGAGCTGTATTTGATTTAGGTCTGTTAATATGAAATGTTCATGAACAAAAGCAGCTGGTTGAGGGGGCCGAGGGGTAGCTGGGAGCTAGCTCCCGTTCTCCTCACTAAGCCGTGTGCAACTGTGTCTGCCTAGAGACAGGGGGACCTTTCTCTGAAGTGTCACATAAAAGTGCCATGGTGACTAATGCCATCCCTAACCTATCTCATGATGCCTTTCCCTCCCTCAGGTTCACTTCCCCGGAACTCTGCCTTTTCCCAGAAGGAGGAGGGGAAAAATGACCAAGTTCCAGGTAAGTTTGGTTTGCCTTTGTGTTTCTTAAAATGACATCTCATTTCACAAAGATTGGACACATTTTTCCTGTTTGGGAACAGTAAAAGGGAACGAAAGGCACTTGGAATGTTGTTATATGCCAGGTTGTTGCCTTTTATTTCAATATAATAGTATAAAAATTAACAGAGAGATATATATATATCTGTTAATTTCTAAAATATATTTCTATATAATTATATATTTATATATACGTATATATTTTATATTTATATACAAATATATATGTATATATTTATAAGAAATATACGTATATTTGTATATATGTATTATATATACAAATATATACGTATATTTTATATAAATGTATACAATATATACGTATATTTTATATAAATATATACGTATATATGTATATATTTATATATAAATATATACATATATACGTATATATTTATATATACAAATATGTATATATAAATACATACAAATATATACGTATATATTTATATACAAATATGTATATATAAACACATACAAATATATATAAGTATATATTTACTCATATATAAGTATATAGTTATATATATATAAGTATATATATACTCATATATAAGTATATAGTTTTATATATATATATATATGTAAATATAAATCTCTATATATATTTAGAGACAGAGTCTCACCCTGTTTCCCAGGCTGGAGTGCAGTGGCTCACTGCAGCCTGGGCCTGGGCTCAAGAGATCCTCCCACCTTAGCCTCTTGAGCAGGTGGGACCACGGGCACACACCAGCACAACCAGCTAATTATTTTTAGTAGAGATGGGGTGTTCCTGTGTTTCCCAGGCTGGTCTTGAACTTCTGGGCTTAAGAGATCCTCCTGCCGTGGCCTAACAGATATATTTTTTAAATGGAAAACAACTCTCACATTACAAATATGTTTACAAATCATTTCCCACATTCCTTTTCATTTGCACTCAACATATATAATCATACTTTAGGTACAATTTCGAATTTTTTAAATTTAATTTTATATCACCTGCTTTTTAAATGATCACATCATTTTCCATCATTTACTTGTTTTTATTTTTCCTCATTCTCCATGTTTATGTAATCTATGAATTTTGCCATTTTAAGGACATTGACAATAGCAGTTTTTCCCCATGTAACTTCTCTTCCCAAATAAGGATTCTGAGAATTCTACCATTTTTTTAATCTTTAAAGTTTTAGACTCATTTTCTCATACACAGCACCTCATTTTATGGAGAGAATAAAGTATAGCTTAGTGCAGTAGCATCTGACTGATGCCAAACTCAGAGAAAGTAATTTTAGTTTCAAACGAGCTAGATTTCTTTCTTTAATTCTAAGTAAAACCTTGTATTATAGTTAAGTATCTGTTTTATTCATTAACATGTTATTATATTTTAAAGATGCACATACTTAGTTTAAAAGTCTTATAGCACTAGGAGATTCACCAGGAATTTGCACCATGGAACAGCTTTGTGAGGATGTAGATGGCCTTATCTGTATTTTAAACATAAAGAGACAGGTGTGAACCTTTAGACACTTATTGAAGTCCACTCAATGCCCAGCTGACGTTAAAGCTTCCAGTGCCTAAGCCAGAAGTTTCAGGTGTTCCATTTGGGTGAAGGCCAGGCACAGTGGCTCACCTGTAATCCCAGCACTTTGGGGCTGAGGTGGATCACTTGAGGTCAGGAGTTCGAGATCAGCCTGGCCAACATGGTGAAAGCCTGTCTCTACTAAAAATACAAAAATTAGCTGGGCGTGGTGGCGCACACCTGTAAGCCCAGCTACTCATGTAGATGAGGCAGGAAAATTGCTTGAACCTGGGAGGCAGAAGTTGCAGTGAGCCAAGATCACACCACTACACTCCAGCCTGGGTGACAGAGTGAGACTGTCTCAAAAAAGAAAAAAAAAAAAGAGACTATTCAGGGACTTGAGGCTATGCTACACATGTATGTGTCCCTGGCATGTCCTGGTGGATGAAGGGCTCCAGAAATCACATTGCTCTTCACCAGATTCCCTTTCTCAGTGCATGGCTCTTTGCCACATGTGTCATCGAGTTGTTTGGTACATAGATGTTCAGAACTCCAGCCAAAACAAATGCAGGGATGTGCAGTGTCTTCAGATAAAAAATGTTAATTTCCATACAGAAAAACACCATATACAAACTTTATGAGACAAGTAGGAAACAGGTGCGGGGTAGGAATTTATATATTCTAGAAAATGACTTAATATTCTTAATAGTAATGTTACTGATACATGAAAAATCCCAGTAGGATTAAGGAAAGGCAATATGTGAAGAAAAGTAATATCAGATCATCTTTAAAAAAATTAAATAGCTGTTTATATCACTCACCAAATTACTCAAGATTTAAAAAAAAAAATGTCCAGTTTTGGCCAGAGTATGGAGAATCGGGAATACTTATAATCTCTTACGGGAAGAGTTAATTGAGAAAATTAACATTATACCAGCAAAACAAAGGTATATATATTTTTTTACAATGTAATTACCACTTCTTGGAACTTACCTTTTTTTTTTTTTTTTTTTTGAGACGGAGTCTCGCTCTGTCATTCAGGCTGGAGTGCAGTGACATGATCTTGGCTCACTGCAACCTCCGCCTGCCGGGTTCAAGTGATTCTCCTGCCTCAGCCCCCCGAGTAGCTGGGATTACAGATGTGTGCCATCATGCCCAACTAATTTTTGTATTTTTAGTAGAGACAGGGTTTCACCATGTTTGTCGGGTTGGTCTTGAACTCCTGACCTCAAGTGATCTGCCCGTCTCGACCTCTCAAAGTGCTGGGATTACAGAAGTGAGCCATTGCCCCCAGCTGGAACTTATCTTAAGGAAATAACCATACGAGCTGGCTAAGATCTATGTAAAAATATGTTTTCTTGTGGCATTGTCATTTTTAAATTTAAAATGATCAAATGTGCATTATTTAGAATGGTTAAATATATTGTAGATCATGTTTATGGACTATCATGCAGCTATGAATGGGATGAAATAGATGATGGTGATGATAATAAGAGTTAATGATCAACATTTATTGAGTACTTACTGTATGTCACACACTGTCCTAAGTTCTTATATGTATTCACTCATTTAATCCCTTCAAGGACCCTATGATATAGGTCCTCTTATACAGATGTGGAAATTGAGGTTTTGTGACCAGCGTCACAAAACTAGCAATGGATAGACCCTTGGAATGTGAACTAAGGCAGTCAAACTCCAGAGCCTGTACTCTTAACCTTGACCCTAAATGCTGCTGCAGTTGACCAAGACAGCATGTTCCTGAGAACCCAGAGAGTGAACTGCGTACTTGTGCCAGAGCTTTATGAAGGCCTGTTGGATTGACAAAATAGTGGTAGTACTATCAAACACTGTTGGGAAGAAATTAATGCAAAATTTCTTATCAAATTTGGTGCTATCAGTCAAATGGTAAAATGTGTGTATGCCATGATTTAACAATGACAGTTCTAGGAATTTAACTATATAAAGGGCACCACGTTACATGTACAAGGTGTTTTCCTTCTTCCCCCTAGCATTTTTGGTGTGATTGTGGAAGGGGAAGAATAGTAACTCTACAGAAAGAGTTGCTTAGGTGCCAGTGGCCATTGGGTGTGAGATTGAGGTTACATGTGCTTGATGTTCTAGGAGGCAGTGACATTCAAGGATGTGGCTGTGGCCTTCACTGAGGAGGAGCTGGGGCTGCTGGACTCTGCCCAGAGGAAGCTGTACCGAGATGTGATGCTGGAGAACTTTAGGAACCTGGTTTCAGTGGGTAAGGACAGGCACCCTCTGTAATTCAGCAGGGTTTCTCAACCTCCATGCCATTGATGTTTTGGGCCAGATAATTCTGTGTTGTATCAGGCTATCCTGTGTATTTTGGGATGTTTAGTGGCATCCCTGGCCTCTGTCCCCTTGTTCAAGGCTTTGGGACTGCTCAGAGACTAGAGTTTTTCTATCTCTTTAGAGCATAGAGACAAGATGTTTCTGACCTTTGTTCCAAGACAGATGATTTTCTTTTAGACATGAACTATAAAAGAACAGTTGAGCTTGGCTCCTCCTGATTCCTTATTTCGTATATCTTTTTTAAACTTGTGGGTCATGATCCATTGGTGGGTCAGTAAATTAGTAAGTTACATAAGCATTTTTGTAATAAAATAGAGTAACAATATCAGAGCCCCTTAGCCAGAATGGTGCACATTGTGGCAATAACTGCTGCTGCTTGCCGTAAGGGATGTGATGAAAACAGATATTGATTAGAAATAGGTCCTTTAACCTTTTATTTCAATAGTTTACACAGGGTAATGTATTTCCAGTGATAGTAAATGTATTTCTTATAATGTGTCATGACAAAAAAAAATGTTCCCTAAACATTGCATGCTGGGGCAGGGAGGAGACTTACATCATGTGATTGGAACCAGATTTTTTCAGTACTCTTTGCCTTTAACATTTTCACTTAAATACTATCTTTTTATAGGACATCAGTCCTTCAAACCAGATATGATATCCCAGTTGGAGAGGGAAGAAAAGCTTTGGATGAAGGAGCTTCAAACCCAAAGAGGTAAGCATTCAGGTGAGTACTGTGCAGCCGGAATCGTAGTTAACAGCTGTTATTTTTCCTTTATTCAGGATAATTTCTTCTCCACTCAGCTACCTGAGAGACTTTTTTAAAAAACATCTGTCATGGTTGGGCGCGATGGCTCAAGCCTCTAATCCCAGCACTTTGGGAGGCCTGGCAGGTGGATCACTTGAGGTCAGGAGTTCAAGACCAGCCTGGGGTCTTTAACATAGCAAAACCCTGTCTCTACAAAATGTAAAAAAATTAGCTAGATGTAGGTGTGCCTGTAGTCCCAGCTACTCAGGAGGCTGAGATGGGGGGATTGCTTGAACCTGGGAGGCGTGGGTTGCAGTGAGCTGAGATCTGCTACTGCATTGCAACCTGGGTGATAGAGCGAGACTCTGTCTCAGGAAAAAAAAAAAAAGAATGAAAACATCTGTCACATCATGTCACTCTCTGCTTCAGATCCTCCACTGGCTTCCCATTTCATGAGTAAAATCCAGTGTATTTAAGGAGCTTGTAAGGCTGTATAATGTTTGCCTATTCACCTAGCTTTACCATTCTGTTTTTCCCCCTCCCTTTGTCTCTGCCACCCTCACTTGTTCCTCAGATATGACATCTGCATCACAGCCTTTTACTTTCTATTCTCTGGCTGGAATGCTGTTTTTTCTTAAACCTTTGTCTTTCTGATTGATTGATTGATTGAGATAGGGTCTCACTCTGTTGCCCAGGCTGGAGTACAATGACACAGTCTCGGCTCACTGCAGTCTCCACCTCCTGTGCTCAAGCAATCCTCCCACCTCAGCCTTCTGAGTAGCTGGAACTACAGGTGTGCACCACCACACCCAGCTAATTTTTATATTTTTTGTACAGACGAGGTTTCCCCATGTTGCCCAGGCTGCTCTTGAACTCCTGGACTCAAGCAATCTGCCCACCTCAGCCTCCCCAAAATGCTGGGATTATAGATGTGAGCCACTGCGCCCAGCCCCTCTTCCTTATTTCATTCATGCTTCTGCTCAGAAATCATTTCATGAGAGGCTTTCTTAAAATACCATCTTCCAGCTGGGCGCGGTGGCTCATGCCTGTAATCCCAGCACTTTGGGAGGACAAGGTGGGCGGATCACCTGAGGTCGGGAGTTCGAGACCAGCCTGACCAACATGGAGAAACCCTGTCTCTACTAAAAATACAAAATTAGCTGGGCGTGGTGGCACATGCCTGTAATCCCAGCTACTCGGGAGGCTGAGGCAGGAGAATCGCTTGAACCCAGGAGGCAGAGGTTGCAGTGAGCCGAAATCGCACCATTGCACTCCAGCCTGGACAACAAAAGCGAAACTCTGTCTCAAAAAAAAAGGTTAGATTCCTTTCTTCTGTCAGTATTGGGTTTAATTTGGTTTTGTTTTTTGCTTTTCACATTTTTATTGGGAGCCACTGGGGAGGGTCCTCCTCCCTGTCAGTGGAGATGCTCACAGTTTCTTCAGCCACTCCAGGGTTGGGCCCTAGGAGTCCTGGGGGTGGCTGGACACATAAGGCATGCTCCCATCATCTCAGACAGGCATTGGGTAATTGTAGGGTGTGGCCTGGTTGATCATGATGGCATACTTGGTGTAGGGGCTGAGTGGGGGCAGAATTATAGCATGGCCTGCAATGGTGAAGGACACAGCCAGCACTGGCTGCTTGGCCCAGGCATTCCTGAAGAAGGCAGCAAGTCTTGCAGCCATCTTGGTCTTGGTAATGGCGATGGCTTGTTACTTTTTTCATTTCCTTAAGGTATAAGGTTATGATGTTGATTTGAGACCTTTTTCCTTTTCATTGTAACCATTTATAGCTATAGATTTCCCCCTTAGCACTGTTTTTGCAGTGGATTCGTTTTCATTTATCCCAAGATATTTTCTAGTTTCCCCTGTGATTTCTTCTTTGATCTATTGGTTGTATGTGTATTGTTGAATTTTCACATATTTATGGAATTTTCAGGTTTTATTCTGCTATTCATTGCTAGTTTCATTTCATTTTGATCAGCAGAGATACTTTGTGTGATTTTAATATTTTTATATTTATTAAGGCTTTTTTGTAGTTTAACATATGGTGTATCCTAGAAAATGTTCTGTATGTACTTCAGAAAAATGTGTATTCTGCTGTTATTGGGTGGAGTGTTCTGTATAATCATAGTCTACGTGTATATATTTGTTAGGTCCATATACTTCAAAAATGTATAAAACATAGAAAATTGATTAATTCTAAAATTGCTTATGTCCTTTGTTAAGATATCATCTAATCCACCAAACTGAGGGAGATATGTGACAAAAATGACTTAGTAGGATGCCATTTGTAATCCCACCATTCAGTTCAGTTTTAACATTCATTTTACATCTTTTTCTGTTAATGAAAATTGACTGATAGTTTAAATGGATAATTTCTGCTTCTCCACCCTTCCCCCAACATACACATAATTTGGATGACCTATTTGTTTTCCTATGACTTTAAACTTTTTATTTTGAAAACTTAAAAAACATAGAAAAGTAAATAATGCCATAGACTCTGTATATCCATACTGTCTTAGCAGTTATCAACTTTCTGCTGTTCCTGTTTTATCTTTCCCTTTTATTTTTTGCTGGAGAATGTCATATCACCCATAGATTTATCAGTGTCTATCTACAACAGTAACTCCTTATTGTCACTTACTATCCATTTTATAATCAGTATGGGCTCATATGTATTTATTTATACTTCGTGTTATAATCCAGTATTGCATTGTTTATTTTGTTACCAAGTTATTTCTACTTTGACCACTTGGAGCTTTTTCAGGTTGCCTCCTGTGGTTGAAATCACCAGTGATTTCTAGAAATGCAAATTAAAACAATGGTGAGATATCATCTTATACCAGCCAGAATGGCTATTATTAGAATCTGTTATGGATCTCTGGAGATCTCAGGTAATGAACTCAAGATGGATTAAATAGCACCATTTATTCAATAGGATGTCCTTTCCCCAGTGTATGTTTTTTTCGACTTTATCAAAGATCAGTTGGCTGTAGGTATGTGACTTATTTCTGGGTTCTCTTTTCTATTCCATTGATCTGTGTATCTATTTTTATATCAGTACGATGCTGTTTTGGTTACTATAGCCATGTAGTGTAATTTGAAGTCAGGTAATGTAATGCCTCCAGCTTTGTTATTTGCTTAGGATTGCTTTGTCTATTCAGGCTCTTTTTTGGTTCCATATGAATTTTAGAATTGTTTTTCCTCATTCTGCAAAAAATGACATTAGTATTTAGATAGCCATTGCATTGAATTTGTAGATTGCTTTGGGCAGTATGGTCTTTTTAACAATATTGATTCTGCCGATCCATGAACATGGGATGTTTTTCCATTTTTTTTATGTCATCTACAACTTCTTTCATTATTGTTTCATAATTTTCCTTGGTTAGATCTTTCCCTTCCTTGGTTAAATACATTCCTAGGTATTTTAATTTTTTTGTAGATACTATAAATTGGATTGTGTTCTTGATTTGGTTTTTAGCCTGATCATTATTGTCGTATAGAAATGCTACTGACTTTTGTATATTGATTTTTTTTAATCCTGAAACTTTATTGAAGTCATTTGTCAAATCTAGGATTCTTTTGGAGGAGTCTTTAGGGATTTGTAGGTATAAGATCAGATTGTCAGAAAACAGAGATATTAAATGACTTACTCTTTTCCAATTTAGATTGGTTTTCTGTCTTTCTCTTGCCTGATTACTTTGGCTAGGACTTCCAGTGGTACGTGAAATAGGAGTGGTGAAAGTGGGCAATCCTTGTTTTATTCCAGTTCTTAGGGGGAATGCTTTCAGCTTTTCCCCATTCAGTATGTTACCTATGGGTTGTCATATATGGCTTTTATTATTTTGAAATATGTTTCTTCTGTGCCTAGTTTGTCAAAGGTTTTTATCATGAGAGGATGCTGAATTTTGTCAAATGGTTTTTATATATCTGTTGAGATGATCATGTGGTTTTTGTTTTTAATTCTGTTTATAGGCTGAATCACATTTATTGGTTTGTGTATGTTGAACCATTCTCGCATCCTTGGAATAAAACCCACTCGATCATGGTGGCTTATCTTTTTGATGTGCTATTAGATTTGGTTTGGGGGGTTTTGTGGGGGGATTTGTGTTTGTTTTTGGAGGATTTTTGCATCTACATTCATCAGGGATATTGCTCTGTAGTTTTCTTTTTTTGTTGTGTCTTTATCTGACTTTGGTATCAGAGCAAGAGTGGCTTTCTAGAATGAGTTAGGGAGGATTCTCTCCTCTTAGATTTTTTGAAAGAGTTTTAGTAGAATTGGTACCAGTTCTTTGTACCTTTTGTGGAATTCCAGTGTACCTTTGTCTGGTCCTGGGCTTTTTTGTTCTTGGGAGGTTTTGCATTGCTGATTCAATCTCACTGCTCATTACTGGTCTGTTTAGGATTTCTGTTTCCTCCTGGCTCAATCTTGGGAGCCAGATGGGCTCAATCTTGGGAGGTTGTATGTTTCCAGGAATTCATTTTCTCTAGAATTTCTAGTTTTCAAGTGTATTGTTCATAAGAGTGTCTGATCATGTTTTTTATTTCTATGGTATTAGTTGTAATGTCTCATTCATTTCTGATTATGTTTATTTGGATCTTCTCTTTTCTTGGCTAGTCTTACTGGCAGTCTATCAATTTTATCTTTTCAGAGATAAAAACGAGCTTTTCGTTTCATTGATCCTTTGTATGGTTCCATGGTTCTCTATTTTATTTAGTTCTGCTGTGGTCTTTGTTATATCTTTCTTCTGCTGACTTTGGGTTTGGATTTTTCCTGTTTTTCTAGTTCCTGGAGGTGAGACACAGGTTGTTAATTTTTTATCTTTTTTTTTTTTTAGTGTAGACATTTAACACTATAAACTTCCCTCTTAGCACTGCTTTTGCTTTATCCCAGAGGTTTTGGTATATTGTATTTTCGTTTTCATTCATTTCAAGAAATTTTAAAATTTGTCTTGTCATTAACCCAAAGATTGTTTAGGATCATGTTTAATTTTCATGTATTTGTATAGTTTCTAGAGTTCTTCTTGGAATTGATTTCTAGTTTTATTCTGCTGAGGTGTGAGAAGATACTTGGTGTGATTTTGGTTTTTAAAAATGTATTGAGACTTTTTTTGTGACCTAACATATGTTCTATCTTGGAGAATGCTCCATGCACTAATCAGAAGAGTGTATATTCTGATGTTGGATAGAATGTTCTGTAAATGTCTGTTAGCTCCATTTGACCTAAAATTTAATTTAAGTCCAGTGTTTCTTTGTTGATTTTCTGTCTCAGTCTATCTAGTGGTGTCTGTGGGGTGTTGAGGTCCCCCACTGTTATTGTATTGCTGTGTATTTTTTTAGGTCTAATAATATTTGTTTTATGAATTTGGGTGCCCTGATGTTTGGTGTGTATATACTTAGGATTGTTATCTTATTTGTTTATTGATCACTTTATCATTATGTAATGACTTTGTCTTTTTTTACTGCTGTTGATTTAAAGTCTTTTTTTATCTGATATAAAAATAGCTACTCCTGCTCGTTTCTGGTTTCCATTTGCATGGAATATCTTTTTCTACCGCTTTACCTTCAGTCTGTGTCTTTATCGGTAAGATGAGTTATGTTGCCATTTGACTTATCTTCTTTCTTTGTGTAATTATTTTATAAGGCCTGCAAGTTTTATACTTTTGTGTCTTTTATCATGGCAAGTATCAACCTTTTGTTTTCATGGTTAGAACTCACTTGAGCATTCCCTGTAGACCTGGTCTAGTGGTGACAAACTCCCTAAGTATTTGTTTATTTGGGGAAGGCTTATTTTTCCTTCATTTATAGAGCTTATTCTAGTAGGATACAAATTTTTTTGTTTTTTGAAGCAACTTGAAAATAGAATCCAATCTCTTCTGGCTTGTAAGGTTTCTACAAGTTGAATTGTGTGATGGAGCTTCCTTTATAGGTGACTAAACACTTTTCTCTTGCTGATTTTAGGATTTTATCCTTCATATAAACCTTAGTCTGATGACTGTATGCTGTGGTGAGTTCCATCTTGCAATGTATTTTCGTGGAGTTCATTAGATCTCTTTTATCTGGATATCTAAAGCTCTTGCTAGATTAAGGAAGTTTTCCTCAATTATTTCCTTAACTAGGTTTCCAAACTTTTTACTTTTTCTTCTCCCTCAGGAATACCTATGATTCATAGGTTTGGTTGCTTTATGTAGTTTCATACTTCTTAGAAGCTTTGTTTTTTCTTCCTTATTCTTTTTTCTTTACTTTCGTCTGACTAGATTAATTCAAAAGACCTGTCTTGAAGTACCGAGATGCTTTCTTCTGCTTGTCTAGTCTATTGTAAAAGCTTTCAACTGTATTTTGTAATTTCTTCAATGATTTTTTCATTTCCAGAAGTTTTTATTTGTTTGGCTTTTTAAAAAAAAGATACCTATCTCTTTCTCTTTGGTAAATTTCTCATTCATATCCTGAATTGATTTTTTGTATTGCTTTTCAAATTTCTTTTGTATCTCATTGAGCTTCCTTAAAATCAGTATTTCAAATTATTTATCTGGCTCATTTTTTCCTTTATGATCTTTATTTCTTTTATGTTGTTTTTTTCCTGTCTTACTGCACTGACTAGAACTTCAGTAATGTTGAATAAAGGTTGTGAGAGTGGATATACTTGCCTTGTTCCTGATTTTCTGAGGGAAGCATTTAGGTCTAATTTTAGAATACTAAATCAGCCTTGCATTCTTGAGATAATCACTACTTTGTCTTGATTTATCCTTTTTATACATTGTTAGATTTGATTTGATCACATTTTGTTAAGAATTTTATAAATATGTTCATTAGGAATGTTAGTCTGTAGTTGCCTTTTCTTGGAATGTCATTGTCTTATTTTGGTGTTAGAATAATGCTGGCTTCCTAAAATGTGTTGAGAAGTATTTACACCTTTTCATTTTTCTGGAAGAGTTTGTCTAGCATTGGTATTGTTTCTTCCTTATATGTTTGGTAAAATTCATGGATGAAGCCCTATAAGCCTGAACTTTTGTTTGTGGAAATATTTGTAAGTATGAATTCTGTTTCTTTGGTAGATAAGGGCTATTCAGATTATCTGTATGTTCTCAAGTAAACTTATTTTGTGTCTTTCAAGAAATTTGTCCAGTTCATCTGCATTGTTGCATTTATTGCCATAAAGTTCATAAGTCCCTTATCCTTTTAATAATATATACAGGATCTATAGTGATGTCACCTCTCATCCTGATATTTGTAATTTGTATCTTCTTTCTGTTTTTATCATGAGTGCTAGAGTTTATTAATTTTATTGTTCTTTCCAAAGAACTAGCTATTTGTTTTCTTATTTTCTATTTATGCTTACTTTGTGTTTAATTTGTTCTTGTGTTTTTAGTTTCTATGACACATTTCTGCTTTATAAATTTTGCTCTAAGTAGAAATTTTGATATATTGGTTTTTTATTTTCACTCAATTTATAAAGTCTGTTTTGAATTATTTTTGATCCACAGTTTATTTAGAAGTATGTTATTTATTCTCTGAATATTTGAAGATTTTGCAGAGATGTTTCTGTTCATAATTTCTGATTTAAATCAGTTGTGGTTAGAATACCCTTTGTATGACTTGACTCCTTTTGCATCTGTTAGAACTTGTTTTATGGCCTAGAATATGGTCTGTCTTGGAGTATGTTCCATGTGCACCTGAAAATAACATTTTCTGCTCTTACTGGATAGAGTGTCCTAGAAAGACCAAGTAGTCAACTTGGTTGATAATATTGCTTCAAGCCTGTATCTTCACTTATTACCTACTTGTTTTTTGTTGTGTTTTGCTTTATTTTTTATATAATTTATTGTTTTTGTTTTGTTTTGTTTTCTGACTGCTGATGCTGCTGCAGCTAAGACCTTTTTTGTTTCTTCAGCTTTTGCACATTCTGGAAAACCTGAATTCACAGAGCCTTCTTAGTCAGAAGCGACGGTCAGTGGGCTGTTTGGTAATTCAGAGGGGAAAGGTGTCTTCAGTCCCCAGTTCCCTGCATGTCTTCCCAGAGTTGTCATAATAGGTTTTGTGGAGGTTTTTGAGCATCTTTTTCCTCTGGTTGATGCTTATCAGCAGATAGCATTTGTGGGCTTTGTCCTTTCAATATGTCAGCATGTGTTTTTCATAACTGCAGATCTTGGCCAGGTGCAGTGGCTCATGCCTGTAATCCCAGCATTTTGGGAGGCTGAGGTGGGAGGATCGCTTGAACCCAGGAGGTGGGAGAATCGCTTGAACCCAGGAGGCGGGGGTTGCAGTGAGCCGAGAACATGCCACTATACTCCAGCCTGAGTGGCAGAGCAAAACTCCATTTCAAAAAAACAAAACAAAACAAAACAAAACTGTGGGCCTTGATGTTCAAGTCGATAATTCCAGCCTCTGTGGAGCTGGTGTCCTCAGGGCTTGCCATGTCCTTTTTTATCAACTATTCTGGCTTAATTTTTGGCTTCTCCTGGTTGGCCATTTCCAAAGACAAGTGTCTTTTCCCAATGTCATCAACCCTCTCAATCCTGGGAAAGTTCTGGTAGTCTTTGAGCAGCGTATAAGGGGACAGGTCATCATCTTGGCTGGGCTGGACTGGTTTCTGGATGGCATATCCACAGGTGGCCTGGAGGAAGAAACTTGGAGGATACCAGCACCACTGGTTGGAAGGAAGCCTGGTGCTCCCTCCTTTTGGCTTCTCAAAAACTGGAGCTTGGGTCTCAGTGGAACTTAGCACCTTTCACACAGCCCTTGGCATGGTGACTTCTGACCCCCAAGGGGCCAGGGCAGCTGTCCCTTTCACAGCACGGACTCAGTTACATGAGTGCCACCACATATCTTCCTACTTGGTTTACTAGCTGTTGGAAAGGGGTATTGAAATCTCCAGCTATAAATATGGATTTGTCTATCAGTTATTTTGAGCATGTTTCTAGATGTGCAGGTTGTATAATGAGAGCCTATAATTGAGGCATATATTTTGCCTGATTTATGTAGTTGCTACTTACGATTCAGTTGCTGTAGCCAAAGAAGAGGTGACTTTTAATTTACCATTCTTATAGGCAAAGAAGTCAATTTTTCCTTTCTAAGTACTTACTGAGATATCATTTTGTTGTTCTGCAGTTGGCTGGTTTCTACCTCTTGTCCTATTCTTAGATCTGTAGTTCTGTGTTTCGAGAGGCAAATAAAATCCAGGAAAATCTGTGATGGTAAAGATAAGCTGAAAGTTTCCATCATGAACTAAAGCCTGATACCGAAGGAACTATGTGTAAAATTTGGAAACATCTGGACAAAGCATTCACTTTGGAGTTGTGTATACTGGAGAATACACACAGGCAGCAAGACTCATACTCAGAAAAGACCCAAGATACACCTTAACCATACCCTGGGCTGATCTCAAATTTTCTATCTTAAATATGGCTTTTTAAAACATTTGGTGTTCTCTTGGTTGCAGCTGCTTTTCAGAGTTCCTATAAATTTATTTCAGCCAGTCTAGTTGTTTTTTTGACGTTTCCATGGGGAAAATGAGAGCTTAGATCTTAATTCTCTACTTTGCTAATGTCAGTCTCTTGGTCCTTTATTCCTTATTCTCTCTATCCTTTCAGGAGACAGGAATCAAAATGAGATGGCAACTCTTCACAAAGCAGGATTAAGGTGCTTTTCACTGGGAGAGCTTTCATGCTGGCAAATCAAGAGACACATTGCGAGCAAATTAGCCAGAAGTCAAGACTCCATGATAAATATTGAAGGAAAGAGCTCTCAGTTCCCCAAGCACCATGATTCCCCCTGTCAAGTGGGAGCAGGAGAATCTATTCAAGCTTCTGTGGATGACAACTGTCTAGTGAATCACATAGGGGATCATTCCAGTATCATTGAAAATCAAGAATTTCCAACTGGGAAAGTTCCGAATTCTTGGAGTAAAATATATCTGAATGAGACACAGAATTATCAGAGAAGTTGTAAGCAGACTCAGATGAAAAACAAACTATGTATATTTGCTCCATATGTTGACATTTTCAGTTGTATTTCACACCACCATGATGATAATATAGTGCACAAAAGAGATAAAGTTCATAGCAATAGTGATTGTGGTAAAGATACCCTAAAGGTATCACCTCTTACCCAGCGTAGTATTCACACAGGACAGAAAACCTACCAGGGTAATGAATGTGAAGAAGCCTTCAATGATAGCTCCAGTCTTGAACTTCATAAACAGGTACACTTGGGAAAGAAGTCTCCAGCGTGTAGTACACATGAGAAGGACACCAGTTATAGCTCAGGTATTCCTGTTCAACAAAGTGTTCGTACTGGGAAAAAACGCTATTGGTGTCATGAATGTGGTAAAGGTTTCAGTCAGAGCTCAAATCTGCAAACTCATCAGAGAGTCCACACAGGGGAGAAACCCTATACATGCCACGAGTGTGGTAAGAGCTTTAATCAGAGCTCACATCTTTATGCTCATTTGCCTATTCACACAGGAGAGAAGCCCTATAGATGTGACAGTTGTGGGAAGGGCTTCAGTCGTAGCACAGATCTTAACATTCATTGCAGAGTTCACACTGGAGAGAAACCTTATAAATGTGAGGTGTGTGGGAAGGGCTTCACTCAGAGATCACATCTTCAGGCCCATGAAAGAATTCACACTGGAGAGAAACCATATAAATGTGGGGATTGTGGTAAACGCTTTAGTTGTAGCTCAAATCTTCATACCCATCAGAGAGTCCACACTGAAGAAAAACCATACAAATGTGATGAGTGTGGTAAGTGCTTTAGTTTGAGCTTTAATCTTCATAGTCATCAACGAGTCCACACAGGAGAAAAACCATATAAATGTGAAGAGTGTGGTAAGGGTTTTAGTTCAGCCTCAAGTTTCCAGAGCCATCAGAGGGTCCATACAGGAGAGAAACCATTTCGATGCAACGTGTGTGGGAAAGGCTTCAGTCAGAGTTCATACTTTCAAGCACATCAGAGAGTCCACACTGGAGAAAAACCATACAAATGTGAAGTGTGTGGGAAGCGCTTCAATTGGAGCTTGAATCTTCACAATCATCAGAGAGTCCACACCGGAGAGAAACCCTACAAATGTGAAGAGTGTGGTAAGGGTTTCAGTCAGGCTTCAAATCTTCAAGCCCATCAGAGCGTCCACACTGGGGAAAAACCATTCAAGTGTGATGCATGTCAGAAGCGATTCAGTCAGGCCTCACACCTTCAAGCCCATCAGAGAGTCCACACCGGAGAGAAACCATATAAATGTGACACTTGTGGTAAGGCCTTCAGCCAGAGGTCAAATCTTCAAGTCCATCAGATAATTCACACTGGAGAGAAACCATTTAAATGTGAGGAATGTGGGAAAGAATTCAGTTGGAGTGCTGGTCTCAGTGCCCATCAGAGGGTCCACACAGGAGAGAAACCCTATACGTGTCAGCAGTGTGGGAAGGGCTTCAGTCAGGCCTCACATTTTCACACACACCAGAGAGTCCACACTGGAGAGAGGCCTTACATATGTGATGTCTGTTGTAAGGGCTTCAGTCAGAGGTCACATCTCATCTACCATCAGAGAGTCCACACTGGAGGGAATCTGTAGAAATGAGAGGTGTGGTTCAGCCTTCAGTTAGAGCTCACATCTTTGTCTCCGTTGGGAAGTCCATGCTGATGATTGTGAAAAGTTCCTTTAAAACTAGAAGCTTCAAAGAATCTTGACAGGAAAGAAGTCTCTCAAATGCTGTGTTTTAGACTTGGTTAGGACATGAATTCTTTACAAACGTCATATTTCACAGATGCGAGAAAACTTTGTTCTGTAAATATGATCAGTGTTTATATCAGAGTACCAGGTGTCCCGGTTCTCAAGATGTAACACAGCAGAAAAGTCTTGTCGGAGTCTGCACAGGAGAGAGGCCTTCCTTTAACAAAAGTATGATTGACAGAAAAAATGGATGTCAACTAAAATGTAACCTCTATGTAAGGAGGTGTTTTTCACCACTCTATCTCTACCATGTAGAATTGTGCTTGGCTCATAATAGGGCCCAGCAATTACTGAAGAAAGTGAAGAAAATACCTATAATTAGGACAAATACTTGAAAATTCTAGTCTGTTTTCTACTCTAAATTTATATTAATTTATATTCAAAAGGAATCCTGCAAGTAGCCTTAATAACGTTAGTTTCAGTAAGTACTGAAAAGTATATAATACTGCCATCCATACTAACACAAATTTGGAAAAAAGACATGAATGGCTCCCATCCTTCAGCCTTAGTTCTTTGTACAGTGTATCATCAGTTGTGTACAGTATGATTTTTAGTGTCAGTTTATAGACTGAACAATACTGTTTTTATCTAATGTGACCCTGCAATTTACATGATTAGAATTTTTGGACACTAAGCTGTACTGTAACTCTGAAAGTGTTAAAAGTAGTTACTGATGACAAAAAGTTTCTTAGTAAACTTGAATTGTTAATACTTGGTTTCCTTTCATTATTTTCATTCAGGTTCAGGTCAAGTTGCTTTTCTATGTGTAGTCTTTCCTCCATGTAGGCCGCTTTAGAAGGAGCTTTGGCAGATTTCAGGCATGTTAATTTGTCACATTTATCCCCTTAAAAGGAAGTGGCAGGGCAAGAAACCTGTTGAGTCTTTATTGAAATTGTATCTTATTGTTTATTTATTTTGTTTAATAGAGCCTTGCAGTGTTGCCCAGGTTGGTCTCAAACTCCTGGCCTCAAGCATTCCTCCCACCTTGGCTTCCCGAAGTGTTGAGATTATGGATGTGAACCTCTGTGCCCAACCTTGAAATTGTATTCAGTGTAATGATTTAGATGGATTACCACTTACACAGCATTCTATGCTTAAGACCTCTTGGTATTAGTGGACAATAAATACTCTTTGCCCTGGCAGTCCTAGCACTAGAAATTTCACTTAGGAGATTGTGACAAAAGCGAGAAAGATTGTACACAAGGATATTTATCCTGAATTCAAAAAGGAAAAAGTAAAATATTTGAGTAAGTCTTGATATATCCTTATAATATACAGCCATTAAGATGATCAGAGGTCTGTAATGACTAGAGAAGACATTATTCATGAGAAAACTAGGTTAGACCCTTCCTGGGATTATCCAATTAATAGAAGTATGTCCACCTAATGATGTGATTATATGCATAGAAATAATAGAAGGATATTAATATGCTAACAATTGTTTACTGTGGCATGGAAGGTTGGGATGATATTTTAACTTTTCAAAAAATTACAGTGACATCAATTTTACCAAAGTAAAAGTGAAACAAAGTTATGCATAAATGAAAATCCCTTATAGCTAAATCTTGTTTGTTTTATCTCATTATATGGCATGTAATCCTGTGTTATGGATGTGTAACTGGCTTAAGTCCAGCTGCTTGCTACTCAAAGGCTGAAAACATGAAAAGCAAAATGTAGTAAAAGGAAAGCAGTTTTACTAATCAAATGTTAGTAATTGGGAAATGGCCAGGCTCATACCTTAAAAGACCATTCCAACTTTTTGGGCTGAGTGAAGGAGTTTAAGAGGGAAAACTTGGTGTGGGAAATACGTGGGAGCGGTGCAGTCGGGTGCAGGTCTTGCATGTCTTCTTCTGATGGTTTATCTTGAGCAGTCACCCATTTGGAGGTCTGGTTTGCATCTTCTTGACTTTGGCCCAGGAGTGGTGGATGAACTGTTCATAACTGCCCTTAAGTGGGAGGATTGTGCAGCTGATTTATTTAGTCTGTGTCTGTTTTGCTTTAAAATTAGTGCTTGGAATTTCTAAGCAAGCACAATTATACAAGTGAGCACTGTGCATGAAGTACCTCGTGGGAAAGGGAGAGATGAAGAGTTTTAACATATAAGGCCACATTCTGAGATTGGGGAGGAAAGGGAGAAAAGTTTTAAAATGCATTTCAAAGCTGGAGTACTCTGTAAGAATTCCCCACTGTCAAACTTCATCCTATTTTTATGGAAAGTGGGCAACGCAGTTAATCTGGCTGCTTCCTGCTGAAAGGGGGCATAGTTGGGAAGTACCAGAATGGAATCTATTCACTTGGAGTTGGAAATATATCCACATTCCCAGATCTATAGCAGGAACTTGCTGGAGCCTTACAGTGTGAGGACTGAGGACCTAGGAACTTTTGAGAAAGTCTGTCCTCAGTGTATAACAGTAGTAAAATCCATAGCAGCTGATGAGGACAATGAGAAGAATACCAACCATACTGTATATGAAAGTCTTTTATAAGGAAGTCAGCTGGACCACACTGTTAAAGGGTCCTGGGAGAGGATCCTATATCTGTATCAGAAATATGGATGTCCAGTGTATGCATAGCTTAGGTCATAGTGTGAGAATAATGTGGTATATATTCACAATACTTAGTCTTTTTTTTTTTTTTTTCCTGAGACAGCCTTGCTGTGTCACCCAGGCTGGAGTGCAGTGGCACAATCTTGGCTCACTGCAACCTCTGCCTCTCAAGTTCAATTCTCATGCCTTAGCCTCCCCAGTAGCTGGGATTACAGGTGTATACCACCATGCCCAGCTAAGTTTTGTATTTTTAGTAGAGAGGGTTTCACTATGTTGGCCAGGCCAGTTTCGAACTCCTGACCTCAAGCGATCCACCCTTTTCAGCCTCCCAAAGTGCTGGGATTACAGGCACTGTAGTCCACTGCTCCCGGACAGAACATTCAGTCTTAATCAGTGCACAAGGGCTGCCTTGTGCTGCAGTCAGGATATCTAAGGCCATGTGGTTGTGCAGGGCGACTTGTCTAATCTTGTGAGGGTTTTTCAGCGAGAAAGGGGATGACATGATGGATATTATTAAAGGTAGCAGCCGTTTGTTTAACCAGGTCTTTTATTTGTAATTTTACATCTGTGGCCACTGCCTGGGGGAAAGAAAGGACTACTGGGTACAACCACCTTGATGCCTATTTTTGATGGGATCGTCTCGCCTTTTACACTTTCCCAGTTGGCATGGAGAGAGTCTAAATGGGAAAGGATACATCCTGGTAGGGAAGGGCGCCCCTAGGTGCATCTACCATTCCAGTTGTAAGTGCTGGGAAAAGGGCTTGTGGAGTGCCTGCATAAATTGGCCATAAAAATATCGGACAATAAGTTGTGGAAAGCCACAAGAGGCCTCTGAGGAGGAAAGCCTCCTAATTGCCATCATGTTCCCATGCTCAGAGTGAGACCTGCTCTCTTATCTGTAAACGCTGTGTTCAGGAAAAAAGTCACTCCTTTAAGACATTGAAATGTAGACAGATACGCAAGCTCCTAGTTAAGCCTGCTCCCACCAGCTACTCTCCGATAAGTTAAAGATACACTGAGCACAAAGGAGATTCACTTAAACCGCCACTGCTATAGATCACGCATATAATGCACTGCCTCCCTTTCACTGTTTCGCCCTGAACATCTGCTTCTCAGATCTAAGTGATCATATTCAATAAATAGTGTAGAGACTTCAGCTCCGGGCCTTTGCAGCCTCTGATTTGCTCTGGCCCCCTGGCTCCCACCTTTATGAACACTTAACCTGTCTCTTCTCATTCCTTTGTCACCACTGGACTTCGGGTACCCTACAGGTGGTATTAAGGCTGATCCCCAACAGTAAGGCCAACCATGAGTGCCGCAGACCCATAGCAAACCCCAGGGGGAAGGATGAGGCTCTGTTATGGAGGTGGATGCTATTTTGATTGTGCCATCCTAGTCACATGTTATTAGTCAGTCCAAGGGTTTGGCCACATTGTTGAAGAGGTAGTCATCCCATATCGTGGGAGATAGTGTGGGGTGTACTGTTACTGTGTTTTTCAATGCATAGAAGTCTTGACCCATTACCTGGATTTACACTGCCATCAACCATCATATGCCATCATCTATGGCATATCCTGTAGTGGGGGTGGCATTAACCTGTTTATGAACCAGAAGGAAAATACGTTTCTGTGTTTTCTCAGAGGCAGGGAACTCATGGTAAGTGGTACTCTAATCATAGAAGGGAAACAGGTAAGTATTTTTACTCCAAGTATAAAAATACTCAAGTGCTCAGGTTAGCAGTTTGTATGCACCATGGCAAGCCTGTGATTAAAGAAAGGGGTAGCTCCCTGCAGACCCAACAGCCTTTTATTTTGGAGGAAAGTCACCATCTATGCCCATTCAGCAAAAAGGTTAGTTTTAGCAAAGATAAAGAATGTAGTTACGACTGTACAATTCATTAACAATTCATGTTAACAGAAGGGTGTTACTTATTTGTATGATTTTTCTTTAATAAATAGCTTTAGGTCCTCTCTTGATTTACATGACCAAGCAGTCTGATTGTCTGAGGTATCAGGTTGAGGAGGAGCTGCCTTCACCCGAGTGTGATGCGTCTATGGTCTGATTCCAGCCAGTCTGACAGATGAATGGATGGTTAGCAGCACGTCATGAGTTACTGTCTACTTTTTGGCTAGCTGTTGGTCTGGCCCTTGGTTTCTCTAGAATTTTAGTAGCATTTTATTTTCAATTCATAGAGGTCTTGACCTATTACGTGGATTTACACTGTCATCAACCATTCTGTGCCATAATATATGGGAAAGTAGAAAGGGTGAATGAGTATTATTTAATTTAAAGTTTTTAGGGTTTTAAATTACACAAAAAGTCTATAAGCATTTATCTCATATGTACTCGATATTTTCTCATTTTTAACAGCTTATCTAGATTAGTACTGAAAACTGAGATACTACATAAAGCTGGTGATTATTTAAAGTTATTTCCCTGTTAACCATTTTTAAAATCTGAATATCAGGTATACATCTAAGTAAGAACCTTAAACACTGGGCATTTTGCCAATAACTCAGAAGATTTAGCTGTTTTCATTAAACTAAAAATTTTAAATTAGTTTTATTTTTCAAAAAAAATACACAAAGATTACTCTGTTTTCAGTTGGGTTTATAGTCTCAGAACCTTTGTGCCAAACTGTGACACCTTAAAACATTTAGCCAAGGCAACTATAAAACTATAAAACTTATTTGCCCAGACAAAAATGTATGCTGACAATTCTGAAGACATTTTTATCTTACTAATGATTTTAAAACCAGTTTTATTTACTGAAGATCTGTGTGAACTTGAAAAGCATTTGTACCTAATTTATAATTATCTACTTACAAGGCCATTTGGTATCATGCTAGACCAACACATAACATAATACATGTTACATACATGTAACAATATAATCACATAAACATATCTAAATATGTGCACACATATACAAACAAAGATCCAATAGCTTTTACTATGGGGAAAAGAAAGATCAGACTGTTACTGTGTCTATGTAAAAAGAAGTAGACTCCATTTTGTTCTATACTAAGAAAAATTCTTTTGCCTTGAGATGCTGTTAATCTGTAACCCTAGCCCCAACCCCGTGCTCGCAGAGACATGTGCTGTGTTGACTCAATGTTTAATGGATTTAGGGCTATGCAGAATGTTCTTTGTTAAAAAAGTGCTTGAAGGCAGTATGCTTGTTAAAAGTCATCACCATTCTCTAATCTCAAGTACCCAGGGACACAATACACTGCAGAAGGCCACAGGGACCTCTGCCTAGGAAAACTAGGTATTGTCCAAGGTTTCTCCCCATGTGATAGCCTGAGATACGGCCTTGTGGGAAGGGAAAGACCTGACCGTCCCCCAGCCCAACACCCGACACCCATACAGGGTCTGTGCTGAGGAGGATTAGTAAAAGAGGAAGGCCTCTTTGCAGTTGTGATAAGAAGAAGCATCTGTCTCCTGCTCGTTCCTGGGCAATAGAATGTCTCGGTGTAAAACTCTATTGTATGTTCTATTTACTGAGATAGGAGAAAACCGCCTTAACGCTGGAGATGAGACATGCTAGCGGCAATACTGCTTTTTAATGCACCGAGATGTTTGTTTACGTGCACATCAAAGCACAGCACCTTTTCTTAACCTTGTTTATGACACAGAGACCTTTGTTTACATGTTTTCCTGCTGACCCTCTCCCCACAATTACCCTAATGTCCTGCCACATCCCCCTCTCTGAGATGGTAGAGATAATGATCAATAAATACTGAGGGAACTCAAGAGACCAGGGCTGGCGCGGGTCCTCCATATGCTGAGTGCCGGTCCCCTGGGCCCACTTTTCTTTCTCTATACTTTGTCTCTGTGTCTCTTTCTTTTCATGCTGCTGATAAAGACATACCCCAGATTGCATAATTTATACAGGAAAAAGGGTTTAATGGGCTTACAGTTTGACATGGCTGGGAGGCCTCACAATCATGGTGGAAGGCAAGGAGGAGCAAGTCACGTCTTACATGGATGACAGGCAAAGAGAGAGCTTGTGCAGGAAAAGTCCCACCCCCCCTTTTTTTTCTTTTCTTTTTTGAGACAGAGTCTCTGGATTGCAGCAGGCAAAGAGAGAGCTTGTGCAGAACAACTCCCCCCCCGCCCCACTTTTCTTTTCTTTTCTTTTCTTTTCTTTTCTTTTCTTTTCTTTTCTTTTCTTTTCTTTTTTGAGACAGAGTCTCGCTCTGTCACCCAGGCTGGAATGCAGTGGTGCGATCTCGGCTCACTGCAACCTTCCCCTCCCAAGTTCAAGCAATTCTCCTGCCTCAGCCTCCTGAATAGCCGGGATTACAGGCATGTGCCACCACTCCCGGCTAATTTTTGTATTTTTAGTAGAGACAGGGTTTCACCGTGTTAGTCAGGCTTGTCTTGAACTCCTGACCTCGTGATCCGCCCGCCACAGCCTCCCAAAGTGCTGGGATTACAGCCATGAGCCATCGCACCTGGCCAAACTCCCCTTTCTAAAACCATCAGATCTCGTGAGATGTATTCACTATCATGAGAACAGCACATAAAAGACCTGCCCCCTTGATTCAATTACCTCCCACCAGGTCCCTCCCACAACATGTGGGAATTCAAGATGACATCTGGGTGGGGACACAGCCAAACCATATCAGGAAGGAAAGGGAGAAAACTTTTAAGATGCATTTGAAGACTGAGACACGCAGTTACAGATGTGTGTAAATGGATGTTCACAGTTGCATTGTTGATAATAGCAAACTTTGCATTTATCAGTTGGATTGACAAAATATTTGATGACTTATCCATTCAGTGGAATACAGAGTGAAATGAGAGGAGGTACATTTATAATTATTGACGTTGGTAGTTACTGAGAATATGTTTAGGAAAGTGGGCAGAGACAGGATTTTGTATGAGTGTGTATATATGTGTATGTGATATGCGTATATATGTACACATATGATCTTGTTACTTTAAGGGGGCTCGTGTAGTAATTTTTAACATTTTTGTAATGTTTTTTAAAGTTCTAAAACTTTTATTTTGAATTAATTCTAAACATTAAGAAAAGATGCAAGAATAATACAAAAGAATCCCACATATTCTTGGGGTCTCTAATGTGATTGCAGTTAGACCTGTTCATTTCCACATCTACTGCCTGAACTGAGAGAATGACACAGCTTTGGTTTCTCAGACATGTCTTTCTATCTCTCTGTGACCTCTTCAGCATGGTGACTTCACAGAAACTGGACATTACATGGTGGCTCAAAGCTAGTATCCAGATAAAAGCCAGCACAAATACTATGACCCTTTTTAATCTCGCCTCGGAAGTTCCAACATCACTTCTGCCTCGGTTTGTTGAGACAGTCAAAAGCCTATCTACAATCAAGGGGGTAGTAAAATAATCTGTAAACATATTTTAAGACCATTGTAGGTTGAAACAGTAATGTTGGCTGGGCGTTGTGGCTCACGCCTGTAATCCCAGCACTTTGGGAGGCCAAGGCGGGTGGATCACAAGGTCAGGAGATCGAGACCACAGTGAAACCCCATCTCTACTAAAAATACAAAAAATTAGCCAGGCACTGTGGTGGTACCTGTAGTCCCAGCTACTTGGGAGGCTGAGGCAGGAGAGTGGCGTGAAATCAGGAGGCGGAGCTTGCAGTGAGCCAAGATCATGCCACTGCACTCCAGCCTGGGCGACAGAGCAAGACTCCATCTCAAAAAAAAAAAGAAAAAGAAACAGTAATGTTTCCTAATCTGCAGAGTTTATTTAAATTCCACAGTTGTCCTATAATGTTTATAGCATTTTCTAGTTCAGGGTCCAATCTAAAATGTATCATGCCTGCATTTCATTGTCATGTTTCTTTAGTCTTCAACCTGGATCAGTTCCATAGCCATTTTTTGTCTTTCATGAAATGAGCATTTTGAAGACAACAAGCTATTTTGTAGAACAACCCTAAATTTGAGTTTGACTCCTCATGATTAGATTCAAGTTAAATGTTTGTAGATTGAGTATTGCATGACTAATGCATACTTGTCAGTGCATCACAATAGGAAACACATGATGTGTTTTGTTGGCGTTAGCGTTGATAACTTGTGTGAACTGGTGTCTCCTAGGTTTTTCCACTAAAAAATTGCTATTTTGGCTTTGAAATTAATAAGCAATTTGTGGGAAGATCTTTGAGACTATGTTATCATCTCGTCTTTCACCCACTAGTTTTAGTGTTCATTGATGATTCTTGTCTGAATCAGTTATTACTGTGATGACTGCAAAATATGACTTTCTGACTCCGTCATTCCTTTTATTTTTAGTAATTGGCATCCTACTGTTTGTTAGAAGAGCTTTTCCTTCCCCTACCCCCATGTCTCTCTACCTGTCTGTCATCCATATGAACCTTTGTTTTCTGGTACAGTAAGATATTAGGTTTATCTTGTATATTCCCTGCCTCAGCCACAGATTCTGTAGAGCTCTGATTGCTTTTAGTGGGGAATGATACTTAGAAACCAAGATCTGGGTGCTGTGCATACTAATCATTATTGGGATAATAGTCGTGTGTGTGTGTGTGTGTGTGTGTGTGTGTCTGTGTCTGTGTAAAATACTGACCCCTCTCATTTTAAATAAGTATTGCAGGATTCTTCCTAAGGGATTTTCCCATTCCATATTTACTTCTTTCTCCAAGAGTCAGAAATTGGCCCCCAGCATCATCAGTATGTTTATGCATCTGTTCAGTCCTCCAATACCTGGCAAGTAGTTTTGGAGTTGCCAACTAACATGAATGCACATAACAAACTTTGTTAGTGTTCATGATTTCTTTGCAGGTCTTTTTCTGTTTAGACCAAGTATATATAGATAAAATTCTTTATTCAGGCCAGGTGCAGTGGCTCATGCCTGTAATCCCAGCACTTTGGGATGTCGAGGCAGGAAAATAGCTTGAGCTCAGGAGTTTGAGACTAATCTGGGCAACATGGTGAGACCATCTTTACAAAAAATTGGCTGGGCATGTTGGTGCATGCCTGTAGTCCCTAGTACTCAGGAAGCTGAGGTGGGAAGATTGCTTGAGTCTGGCAGGTTGGGACTACAGTGAACTAGGATTGTGCCACTGCACTCCAGCCTGGTCAACTGAGACCTGTCTCAAAAAAATAAATAAATAAATAAAAAACAAACAAAAATCAGACAATCTCTTGCTGCAAATGACAGGATTTTATTATTTTAATGGCTGGATAATATTCCATTGTGTGTATATACCACATTTTCTTTCTCCTGTCATTTGCAGCAACATGGATGGAACCAGAGGATATTGTGTTAAGTGGAATCATCCAGGCATAGAAAGACACATTTTGCATATTCTCATTCCTATATAGGAACTAAAAATATTGATCTCAAGGAGGAAGTGATTTAGAATGGTGGTTATCAGAGGTTGGGATGGATAGGGGTGAGGGAAGGATGAAGAGAGGTTGGTTAATGGGTACAAAAATATGATCAGATAGAACAGTGTCAGTAACACTAGAACTTATTTATTATAGCTAATCAATAACACAGTAGGGCAACTACAGTTAACAAGAATTTGTTGTATATTTCAAAATAACTAGAAGATTTAGAATGTTCCCAACACAAAGAAATGATAAATGTTTGAGGTGATGCATATCCCAATTACCATGATTTGATCATTACACATTGTATGTGCACAAATCAAAATATCACGTGCATCCCATAAATATATACAACTATTAATATATTAATAAAAACTACTTCACGTGTTTTAGAAAAAAATTAATTTTACTCTGGAAAAATGTATATACTTTAAAAGATTCTCCAGAAGGTTGATGCATGGTTCAAATGGCAAACCATAACCCACAGTACCTCTATGAGTTATTTGTTTAGGTATGATATATTTAGGAAAATGAAAAGTCTCTACATGATTAAGAGCAAAAAGAGGTTCCGAAAATAACTGCTTTAGAAGTGCACAGAAAAGGGAGTGTGTGATATGAGAATGTTAACTGAGCATCTATTCTTTAAGTAAATTTCCTCAGTAGGTTGGAATGAACAAATGTGGGAATCAACTCAACCAGAAGGGCAGAGGTGAGGGAATCACAGAAGAATTGACCCAGAGCCCTGTTTCAACGAGACCTGGTCCTGTCCTACCTGTATTCTTTTTGTTTTTTGTTTTGTCTTGTTTGAGATGGAGTCTCATACCGGCCCCCTGGGCTGGAGGGCAATGGCGCCATCTTGGCTCATGGCAACCTCCGCCTCCCGGGTTCAAGCGATTCTCCTGCTTCAGACTCTTGAGTAGCTGGGATTACAGGCACCACTACCACACCCGACTAATTTTTGTATTTTTAGTAGAGGCTGGGTTTCACCACATTGGCCAGGCTGGTCTCAAACTCCTGACCTGTGATCTGCCCGCCTCGGCCTCCCAAAGTGCTGGGATTACAGGCATAAGCTACCATGCCCAGCCTCTTCTTTTTAAATATGCATACCAATAAATTTTGTTCCAGCTAGTTGGAGTGTGATTTTCCATTTCTCACAATTGAAAACATCTTGATTTAAACAACCATGTGCTCCAGCAGCCCACCCTAGTAATCTGGTGGTGATGAAGCAAAGCATTATTGGCCCTGTATTTCTTTTTTTGTTTTTATCTTTTTTATTTATTTTTTCTTTTTCATTTATTGGCCCTGTATTTCTGATGGTAGCATGAAATGAGGTATCATGGAACTTAAGTATTCATTGTCCTGGAAGGTAAGGTCCAGGACAAAAAAAAAAAAACAACAGTGGGAAACTTTCTCCCACCTCCACTAAATATACACCTGAGTAAACCCTTCATCCAATTACTATGATTTGATCATTACACACTGCATAACGTGTAATGATGTCTGAGAAGTATGGGGTGTTGTCCAAAATGCTGTGTCCTTAACAGCTTAGTTTAACATCTAAAATGCATGCCATATGATATTCCCCTTTTTTGCAAAACCTTTCTCATGAAGCTTTATGGAACTAAAAACCAGTTGGGATTTTTTTCTTCATTCAGTCTGTTTCTATCACACTAGCTCCCAAAAAGAAAGATAGCAAAAGCCCCCGCCAAAGAAACATAGCACAGCTGTACACTGTATGGAAAAAGTCTTAAATAATCAGATAGAAACTTTGGCCTATTATACTGCTTGGAAAATGAAGCTGAACTGAGGACAGAAGCCAATTGCAAAAACATTACTCAGATTGTAGACTGCTTGGTTTTATGTGTTTTAATTAAATGTCATTTCCTTGAATTCATTTTAAGGCTTCTTGCAAGAATCCTTTTCCCAGTACAATTATAATGACGAATTGGGGCTGAGCTCACTAAAATATTCAAATATATGTCCTATATATGATAGATTTTTCCTATCAAGTTAAACAATTCCAGGGAAGCCACTATTTCTTAGGTACTTGTTCAAGGTCACGATCATGCAGCAGTAAACAATGTTCCTGCATGGAGCTTAGATTCTAGTGGACACAGATTTTGTCATGTCCCTCATTATACTTTTGCTAAATTCTGACCTTACTTATCATTTTGAAGGCTTCACTCCTGCATATTGCTTATTGGATGTGAAGGTTCTGATTGAAACATATTGTATCATTCTTTATAGGGTTTCTCTGTTGTGTGTTCTCTTGACAACTGTGACATTTTGGGCTCTGCTTGAAACTGGTCATATTCATACAAAAATAGGTTTTCTTCAATGGAATTCAGATAACTATAAAAACTCAGCTCATGAATTCTTAAAACATGACATTTTATAAATATTCTGTGCTGTGTGGATTTTCTGAGGAAAATGGGAAGTCTAAGTCTTGAAGAGCACCCCTATCACACTCATCATGATTAATAGATTCATCACCATCATGGACTCTCTGATGAATCTGAAGACAACGAACTCTTACTAAAGCCCTTACCACACACAAAACATTTGTATGGTTTCTCTCCAGTATGGACTCTCTGATGGGCTTGAAGATGTGAAGTCTGACTGAAGCTCTTACCACACATGCCACATTTATAGGGTTTCTCTCCCGTGTGGATCCTCTGATGAACATGAAGATATGAGTTCCAGATGAAGCCTTTCCTACATTCTTCACATTTGTATGGTTTCTCTCCTGTGTGGACTCTCTGATGGGCTTGAAGATGTGAACTCCAACTGAAGCCTTTCCCACACACATCACATTTGTAGGGATTCTCTCCAGTATGGACTTGCTGATGGTCTTGGAGATGCGAACTCTGACTAAAGCCCTTCCCACATGTCTCACATTTGTATGGCTTCTCTCCTTTGTGAACTCTCTGATGGGCCTGAAGATGAGAGATCTGACTGAAGTCCTTCCCACATGTGTCACATTTGTAGGGTTTCTCTCCTGTATGGACTCTCTGATGGGCCTGAAGGTGGGAATTACGGCTGAAGTTCTTATCACACACATCACATTTGTAGGGTTTCTCTCCAGTGTGGATTCTCTGATGGGCTTGAAGATTTGAGGCCTTACTGAAGCCCTTATCACATACCTCACATTTATATGGTTTCTCTCCAGTGTGAACTCTCTGGTGAAGACCAGAATTCCTATTAAATATCCTGTCACTTACTTCCCATTTGTATGTCTTGTCTCTAGAGTGACCTCTCTGATGGGCTTGAAGTTGTGATGTCTGACTGAAGCCTTTATCATATACATCACATTTACAGGCTCTCTCTCCAGCACTGTCTACACAGTGAATGTCAAAATCTAAGCTATGATGGAAGCCCTTCCCACACCTGCCACATGTACACAACTTCTCTCCTGGGTGAGTAAGCTCATGAGAGGGAAGACAGGAGTTCTGGTTGGAGCTCCGGGCATATACCTGACATCTGTAGAGGTTCTCTCCTGTGCTGACTCTCTGATGAGGTTGCAGATGTGAGCCCTGACTGAAGCCCTCACCACTGTCACCATTCCTATAGCATTTCTCTCCTATGTGGAAACACTGATGCCTGGGAAGCCCTGAGCTGTAACCTATGCCCTTCCCGTACTCAACATTTACATGAGGCTTGTCTCTTAAGTGTAGTTGCTGGTGAAGTTCAAGATTAGAGCCAACACTTAAGCCTTTTCCATTTTCATCAGAGGTTTGCTCTCCTGATTGGATTATGCTATGCTGGGATGATTCCTTCACACAGTCTTTTCCACAATTATTGTGGCTAAAAGCTTTCTCTCTTTTGTGTACTCCATGATCATCATGTTGATGAGCAATTCTTTGCCTAACACAATGATCACATTTACAGAGCTTATTTTTTACATCAATTTGCTGACACCTACTCTGATAATTCTGTGGTTCTCTCAGATACATTTTCCTCCAGAAATCCCAGGTGGTCCTCAATGGAAGCTCTTGATTTTTTATGCTATTTGAACTCTCCCCTTGTAGCTTTATTACATAGTTCTCATCTTCAGAGACCTGACTAGATTCTCCTGTCCACACCTGACAGGGGGAATCACCTTGTTTTAGCAACTTGGACCTCTTGCCTTGAAGATTTATTATTAGGTCTTGATTACTGGTTAATTTACTTGTAAATTGTTCCCATATTTGCCAGCATATAAGGTCTTCATATGAAAGGAATCTTAATCTTACTTCTTGAAGGGTATCTATCTCATTTTGATTCTTGTGTCCTAGAATGATAAAGAGAACTCAGAAATGAAAATGAAGACAACTGAACATTTGTTCAGAAATAAAAAAACATTTCACAGGTTGACCACATTGGGAAACCTTAATAAACCAGTGGAGAGTTCAGCTTGACTTTATCATTGTTTTTTTTTCTCTTTTTTTGTTTTTTGAGACGGAGTCTCGCTCTGTCACCCAGGCTGGAGTGCAGTGGTGTGCTCTTGGCTCACTGCAAGCTCCACCTCCCGGGTTCATTCCATTCTCCTGCCTCGGCCTCCCGAGTAGCTGGGACTACAGGCGCCTGCCACCATGCCCAGCTCATTTTTTTGTATTTTTAGTACAGACGGGGTTTCACCATGTTAGCCAGGATGGTCTCGATCTCCTGACCTCGTGAACCGCCCGCCTCGGCCTCCCAAAGTGCTGGGATTACAGGTGTGAGCCACCGCACCCAGACTATCATTGGTTTTTTTCATGCCTATGGCAACAAAAAAGGCTGGCTTCTATATACAAAATGTTAATGAGACTCATTTAGAGCTATACCAAGACTTTTTTTTTTTTTTTTTTTTGAGACTGCAGGTTGTACAATGTAACCATGATTCTGAGGCTCACATATAGCCAGGATTTTGTAGATTTTATACATCTGCCATGGAAAAGAGGAGAGGATTTTTTTTTTTTTTTTGAGATGGAGTCTCACTCTCTTGCCCAGGCTGGAGTGTGGTGGCACGATCTTGGCTTACTGAAACCTCCACCTCTGGGGTTCAAGTGATTCTCCTGCCTCAGCCTCTGGAGGAGCTGGGACTACAAGTGCATGCCACCACACCTCATTAATTTTTTTTGTATTTTTAGTAGAGACAGGGTTTCACCATGTTGGCCAGGCTGGTCTTGAACTCCTGACCTCAAGTCATCTGCCTGCCTTGGCCTCCCAAAGTGCTGGGATTACAGGTGTGAGCCACCATGCCTGGCCAATACCAAGACTTATGTATGTGGTCAAATACACAGGCTACAGAGCAACAAAAAGATGCCCTAGAAAGACGTTGTAGAGGAGAAACTTTACCTCCTTGTCCATAAGAATAATCACTTAAAAATCCCTCCTCTTTGGCTGGGTGCGGTGGCTCTCACCTGTAATCCTAGCACTTTGGAAGGCCGAGGCAGGTGGATCACGAGGTCAGGAGATCGAGACCATCCTGGCTAACATGGTGAAACCCCGTCTCTACTAAAAATACAGAAAAATTAGCCAGGCATGGGGGCAGGCGCCTGTAGTCCCGGCTACTCGGGAGGCCAAGGCAGGAGAATGGTGTGAACCCAGGAGGCAGAGCTTGCAGTGAGCGGAGATCGTGCCACTGCACTCAAGCCTGGGCTACAGAGTGAGACTCCGTCTCAAAAAAAAAAAAAAATCCTCTCCTCTTTTCCGTGGCAGATGTATAAAATCTACAAAATCCTGGCTATATGTGAGCCTCAGAATCATGGTTACATTGTACAACCTGCATCTGTATATGATAAAGCCCAAAAATGGTTACAAAAGCCTGAATCTCTCCTTCAGCATTCACAAGTGGATTATTTAGTGATGCCAAGAATTCTCAAAGAAAGAAAGAGGGGACATCCTTGGCAAAAGTGAAGAGAATATAGAAAAATATCTTCTCTGTCTTGAGAATGAACCCATAAGATAGTACCATTATTTCCTTAATTTAGTCCTTAAACATACATTTGATGAGCTAGATTTGAGAGAATTCTCCTTCTTTTCAATGAGGTTCTAAGTATATAATATTCAATTAGTGAACATGATAAATGAAAAAGAATTAGAAAACTTATTCCCATAGCTGACACACCCTATAGGAGTAAAGGCATTGATAATTGTTGCCACTTGGTTTGACTGAATTTTCTGATAAACCTAAATGGCTAATACAAGATGGTCCCCAGTGATCACTCCCCATTGGAATCCATTCCCTTTTGAAGCCCCCTCCCACACTGTATCAAGTTTGGTCTGTGAAACCAATAGAATATGGCAGAAGTGATGATCTGTCACTTCTGATGCTAGGTCATAAAAACACTGTGGCTTCTATCTTCCACTCTCCTGAATCACTGGGTCTGGGAGAAACTAGCTGCCATGTTTTGAGGACACTTCAGCAGCCGTAGGGAATGGTTCACTTAGCAAGGAAGCGAGGCCTCCTGCCACAGCCATGTGAACGAGCCCACCTTGGAAGCAGGTCCTTCAGTCCCAGTCCAGCCTTCCGGGGACGGCAGCTCCGTCACTCTTTAACAGCTTTTTGAGATCCGGAGTGAGAACCCTCACTTAGGGTTAAGCTAAGCTGCTCCCATATACCTAACCCATAGAAACTATAAACCAATGTTCATTGTTTTAAGGTGCTAAGGTTTTTGTTTTGTTTTGAGACGAAGTTCCGCTCTTGTTCCCCAGGCTGGAGTGCAATGGTATGATATCAGCTCATTGCAACCTCTGCCTCCGGGGTTCAAGTGATTCTCCTGCCTCAGCCTCCCCAGTAGTTGGGATTACAGTTGCCTGCCACCACACCTGGCTAATTTTTTTTTTTTTTTTTTTTTTTTTAGTATAGATGGGGTTTCACCATGTTGGCCAGGCTGGTCTCAAACTCCTGACCTCAGGTGATCTGCCTGCCTCAGCCTCCCAAAGTGCTGGGATTACAGGCGTGAGCCACCACAACTGGCCAAGGTGCTAAGTTTCACAGTAATTTGTTATAAAATAATTGATAACTAACACAGGTGTCATAAAAATTATAAGTAGGCTGAACATAACATCAGAAGAGTAACTATGTTCTGAAATAGTCCTTTAGTGACACCTCTTTATTCTCTGCCTGTGAACTCTCTCAATGAGAAGTGAAGACAGTGAGATCCACTTAGCACCATACTCTGTGAGATTTTGTTTCATTGATCCTTGAGGGAGAAGATGCCCTTTAATTTGTACTTCTGTCCAGTGAAAATAGACCTCAGGAATATTTTGTATAGGTGGAGCTGGGTACGTAGGTGGATAAGCAGAATGTGAAACCCTAAAAAATTCTGATGTTTGCCAAAAAATAAAGAGAGGTGAGGGTAGAATACGCTGTCAGATTTGTTCAGTTTTCCAAGGGCTGTGAGTTACATAGTTATATCCTTTTGTCAAAACTCATCAAATTGCACACTTAAGGTGTGCACATGTAAATTTTACCTCAATAAAAAAGAGCTGTAAAACAAGCCATTTTACTTCCTGAAAATTTAGGGAGCTATACATTTACAATTTGTACAGTTTTCTGTATATATTTCAATAAAAAATTGGCCAAAAATTAAAAAAAAAGTAAAGATTTGTGGCCGGGAGCAGTGGCTCATGCCTGTAATCCCAGCACTTTGGGAGGCCAACGTGGGCAGATCACAAGGTCAAGAGATAGAGACCATCCTGGCCAACATGGTGAAACCCCATCTCTACTAAAAATACAAAAATTAGCTGGGTGTGGTGGCATGCGCCTATAGTCCCTGCTACTCGGGAGGCTGAGGCAGGAGAATCGCTTGAACCTGAGAGGCAGAGGTTGCAGCCAGCCAAGATTGCGCCACTGCACTCTAGCCTGGCAACAGAGCGAGACTCCATCTCAAAAAAAGAAAAAAAAAACAAAAACAGTCAAGATTTGCTAAGGAGGCAAAGAAGAAGTTGGGAAGAAGCTACCTGTTAAGAAAAAAAAAAAGGACAATGGCAATAACTGGGATCATAATTCCCAAGTTTTAGGTTTATACACAAAAATGAGGCAGTCAAAAACAAAAAAAGAAAATTTTTAAAAATGAGGCAGTCAGTCAAAGAAGTCAGCATCCAACATTCCTGATTGCAATGCAGTCAACGTTCATGGAGCATGGAGATACAAGAAAATAAAAGATAAGAAGATTGGAAAGATTTTACTACTCCAGCTACTTACAAAATCCAGGGCCTGTCTCTCTCAGATAAGCAGAGAGATTCTCCTGGGCTTTTGGTTTGCTTTTTTTGTTTGTTTAATTTAGTTTTTGCGTTTTGGTGCTTCTATCAAGTAGGAATGACTTTAATTAGTGTATTTTAGGTATTTATGATGTATATTCAAATTAAAGATAAATGAAGGAAGAAGTGAAGAAAAGGGGGAATGAAATAAGGAAGAGAAAGAATAGAAGGAGAGGGGTGAAAGCAGAACAGGGAGGTTGTCACTGGGTGTATGGATGAGGCAACTCTCACCAAAAGTCTCGCAGATACCACAGGTTGGGAGATCTGTGAGGGAGCCATTACAGTACTATTCAAATGAAAACACCTATCCATTAGTCCATTAACTGACGTTACTGACATCGGTCCATTAACCCATTCATTCACTCATTCAGTCACTCATTCGACAAATATTAAATGAACAGGTATTACGTGCCAAGCCTATTAAAGGCAATAAGGATCAGCAATTTTAAAACAGGTAATATTAGTGTTGGGCACAGTAGTGCACTCCTGTAGTCCCAGCCCAGGAGTTTGAGCTGCAGCAAGCTATGATTGTATCACTGCACTCCAGCCTAGGTGAAAAAGCCAGACCCCCATCTCTAAGAAAAGAAAAAGAAAAATGAAAAGAAAACAGGTAAAATTCTTACGTTCATGAAGTTGTACTCTAATGGGGAAAGAGACCATAGAAAAGTAAACAAAATGTAATACATGAATATGTCAGCTGATGATTGATGATTAATCACAAAGGCAGAATAAAGAGATGGGTATTTAATTTAATTAAATGTATGTATGTATGTATGTATGTATGTATGTATGTATTTTTGAGACAGGGTCTTGCTCTGTCGCCCAGGCTACAGTGCAGTGGCACAGTTATAGCTGTGAGCTAATTTTTTAAATTTTTTTATAGAGGTGCGGTCTCACTGTGTTGTCCAGGCTGGTCTTAAACTCCTGGCCTCGAGTGATCCTGCCACCTTGGCCTCTCAAAGTGCTGAGATTACAGGGATGAGCCATCACGCCCAGCCAAGGATAGGTATTTTAAACAGGGTAGTCAAAGCAGTTTTCCAGGGAGTCAGAGGTTGCAGTGAGCCAAGATCGCGCCATAGCACTCCAGCCTGGCGACAGAGCAAGACTCCGTCTAAAAGAAAAAAAAAAGCAGGTTTCTGTGATGAGATGACATCTGACCAGACATAAAGGAAGTAGGCTGGGAGCCAAGAGGATGTATGAGGTAAGAACATCCCAGGCAGACAGAAGAGCAAAAGGCTTCAGGTAGAAAGAAATACATGTATGCCGGGCACAGTGGCTCATGCCTGTAATCCTAACACTTTGGGAGGCTGAAGTGGGAGGATTGCTTGAGCTCAGGAGTTTGAGACCAACCTGGGTAATATGGTGAGACCTCATCTCTACCAAAAAAAAAAAAACATGTATATATACATAGTTTTAAAATTAGTCCAGCATAGTGGCAAGTGCCTGTAGTCCCATCCCAGCTACTCAGGAGGCTGAGGTGAGAAGATCGATTGAGCCTGGGAGGTCGAGGCTGCAGTGTACCATGATTGCACCACCACTTCAGCCTAGGTCACAGAGTGAGACCTGTCTTAAAGAAAAAAAAAAAAAAAAAGCACCCTTGGCATGTATAAGAAACACACAGCAGTCTTGTGTGGCTGGAAAGAACTGAGTGAAAAGCAAAGGATAGGAAATCAATTCACAGGGAGTGGGTGACCAGGTCACATAGGACCCTGAAGGCTCGTAGAGATTTTGGAATTAATGAGTGAGATGGGAAGTCACAGAAGGCTTTTGAGCCAAGGAGCGACATGATCTGACTTACATGATCTGGCTATGTGGAGAATGGACTGGAGGGAGGTAGAAGGAGGAAGGTCATGTGCAAGCTGCTGCAGTAAACCAGGGCGATGAATTCTGGGGTCTTGGGCCAGGCTGGTGGCTGAGGAGGTGGTGAGGAGGAGAGGACTAGGCTGTACCCCGCAAAGACTCAGAGCTCCATGGTTCTCACCTGAACACCCATCTCCTTGGATTTCTGTCTCCATCATCCGAAGCTTGTCTTCTTTTCCCAACTGTAATATCACATCTAGTTTGAAGGGTTGATAGCCTGTGAAAAAGAAATGGCATATATATAAAGTGAATGCATTATAGTCAAAAATTTTAATTCCAACACCACCATTTTCATGCGCTCTAAGTAGTATTTTTCAAAATTGTGATCATGAGCTATTGTCTGAATACCTTTTAATTTGTGATCCGGTACACAAATACATAAATGTAAATCACTGAAATCAAGTGATCAGATAATTTGATCCTAACCATTATCTACTTTTATCACATCTTCTTTCCTGTTTTTACTTACAATTTTCGTTGCACTGAATGCAGTTCCTGACAAGGAGCTATAATATTTCTACTTCATTTCATTAAACACAATAATAATGTAACTCACCAACTGATTTCAAAACCCACCAAGATTTCACAACTGCAATTTGAGAAAAATAGACAAGGTATAGACAAGATGTCCCTGAGGAATTAGAAAATTCACATCCCCAAGTTCAGGGAAGCATTTTAAGCGTCCCAAAGTCTTAAATAATTGAAAGCAGGACAGTCCAGAGGGCTGATATTCAGTTACAGAAGGTGCCTGTGCTCACCCACTGACAGCAGGTTCCTGAAGTTCTCCAGCATCACATCTTGGTACAGCTTTCTCTGGGCAAGGTCCAGCAACCCCAGCTCCTCCCTGGTGAAGACCACAGCCACATCCTTGAATGTCACCATCTCCTACAACATCAAGCAGATGTAATCTCAATCTTATGGCCAATAACTGCTGGGAGAGAGGCAGCACTGAGCAGGTAGAAAGAACAGGCAGGAAGACGTTCTGGATTGTGAGGGCCTCGAATGAACTTTAAGTAGCTTCCTCGTTTTCTCCATCCCACATGCCAATCTCATAGACTACTTTTCCACAGTCACATCAAAAGTGTGTGCTACTAAAAAATAACCCCTGTGTATTTAATTTGGTGACATTTGTAAGTATTCCAACAGTAAATGCCCCAGCACTGTAAATCTTGAATCACACGGAATACGTATTTTATAACTTGACTGATACTACCAAATTGTCCTAGAAATGTTGGGTCAATTTAGTCCCAACGCTGAAAAAGGTGTTTGTACATGCACGTTTATAGTAGCACAATTTGCAATTGCAAAAATGTGGAACCAACCCAAATGCCCATCAATCAATGAGTACATAAAGAAACTGTGTGGCCGGCCGCAGTGGCTCACGCCTGTAATCCCAGCACTTTGGGAGGCCGAGGTGGGTGAACCACGAGGTCAGGAGTTCAAGACCAGCCTGACCAACATGGTGAAACACCGTCTCTACTAAAAACACAAAAAATTAGCTGGGTATGTTGGCAGGTGCCTATAATCCCAGCTACTCGGGAGGCTGAGGCAGGAGAATTGCTTGAACCTGGGAGGCGGAGGTTGCAGTGAGCCAGGATCGCGCCATTGCACTCCAGCCTGGGCAACAGTGCAAGACTCCGTCTCAAAAAAAAACAAAAGAAAAGAAACCGTGGTGTGTGTGTGTGTGTGTGTGTGTGTGTGTGTGTGTGTGTGTGTATATATATATGATGGAATACTACTCAGCCATAAAAAGGAACGAATTAATGGCATTTGCAGCAAGCTGGATGATATTGGAGACTATTATTCTCTGTGAAGTAACTCAGGAATGGAAAACCAAACATCGTATGTTCTCTCTCATAAGTAGGAGCTAAGCTATGAGGATCCAAAGGTCTAAGAATGACACAATGGACTTTAGGGCCTCAGGGGGAAAGGGTGAGAAGGGGGTAAGGGATAACAGAGGATGCCTCTGGGGAGTAAGGAACTGACTTGAAAGAGACAGGAGGGACCTTTTTGGGGTAATATAAATGTTCTATATCTTGTTCTGAATGGTGGGCTAATGCAATTATACAACTGTCGAAGTGGGATATAAAACTGTTATTGACCTGACCACTTAAGATATATATAATTTTTGTAAGTAAATATTGCATTTTTAAAGCCCCATGAAAAAGTCTTGCAAATTGAAATACTATTTAGAGACAGCATTGTGTGTTTGTTTTGTAGCCTCTGAAAAATTAGACAAAAAATGAAAACCCTTCTGAGACAAATACATAAAGGAACACTAAATCATATAAAACTCTAGTAACAACATTAACTGAAAAAAGAAAATTGTATATAGAATGTGATTGTAGTTCTTTAAAATACACTGACAAGTATAGATATAAGACATACAATATGTAAATACATATAAAATAGTATGGGGGAAATAGATTATTTGTATGCAATGTAGTAATGTGGAGGTTTTCTCCCATTTTTTGATATCTACGAATTTTTGCACTACTACTTGTGAAATAAAGATGATAAAATAAAACTACCAAAACAAAAGCTAAAGACATAAACAAAAAATTGAACCAATCGAAAATCAAGTAACTAGCAGATTCCAAATACCTGTTTTCCTCCTTTATCTTTCCCAAGGAAGAGAAAAAAAAGTGTCTAATCTTTGAGGAAAAGAGATGTCATTTTAAGAGATAAAAATCAAAACTCAACTCACCTGAAACTTGGTCATTTTCTCCTGCTCCTTCTGGGGAAGGGCAGGGTCCTGGGAAGGCAGAACTGGGAAAAGAGAAAGAAGCCATGAGAAACAGGCCCTAGCCCACATGGCTGTGCTGGCTGAATTTTTAAAAGGTGGCCGGGCATGGTGGCTCATGCCTGTAATCCCAGCACTTTGGGAGGCCGAGGCAGGCAGATTGCTTGAGCTCAGGAGTTCGAGACTAGCCCGCAACATGACGAAACCCCATCTCTACAAAAAAATACAATAATTAGCTGGGTGTGGTGGCACACACCTGTAATCCCAGCTACTTGCAGCAGAATGTACTGGCTACAAAAGTGGATTCTGGGGTCACAAGGTCTGGGGTCAAATCCTGGCATGGCTACTAACTCTGTTTAAGCTAATTAACCTCCCCATTCCTCAAATTTGTCACCTGCAAATGAGAAAAATAGTGCTTTCTTGCAAGATTATTGTAAGGGTTAAATGTGTGAACAGATGGAAACTCGTATAACTGATTTCCCTGCAAGCTGCAGAAAAGCAGATGATATTATGCATCATAAAATTGTTGTTGCAAATGTCTTTTGCCATCATTTCCAATAAGAGAGTCTTTTATAACATCCAGATTTCAAAGACTGTACAATGCTTTATCTTATGAAATTCACCTTTACCTCTGAAAAGTCTATAATTCTGATTGGCTATATTACTTACTACTTTGTTGTCCTATAATATTTAATTGATATCAGCATTCAGTTTTGTAAAAGGTATAAATACTTATGAATTTTCTTCATGTAGCCAGGAGAGTCTCAATGGTGTATCTCCCTTTCCCGTGCTCACTGTCGTAAGGAAATACTAATTTAAAATGTGTCTCTGCTAGCTTTTTTTTAAACAAAAGTTTGACAGTATCTGTCTCACTTAAATGAAAAATACTGTAGTACTAATAACAGATTCTAATTTACAGTTGCTTTGGGGATTAATGAGCAAATCGAATAGTCTTGGCTAGGCTAAACCATAGAGACAAAAAGTAATAGTTGCCAGGGGCTGAGAGAAGAGATAGTAAAGAGTGATGGCTAGGGCATATGAGGTTTCTTTTGGGGGTGATACAAATGTTCTTCAATTAGAAAATAGTGATGGTTGTACAACCTAACATTGTGGATACACTAAATACCACCGAATTGCACACTTTAAAAGGGTGAATTATATGGTATATGAATTATGACTCAATTTTTTAAATGGGGTAAAAGCCTTGGTTCTGTCTGTGGCACATTATATAAGCTCTCAATAAGTGATGATATGATGACTGTCGTTCCCATTTAATGGATGAGGAAGCTGAGGATTACTGAGATTAAGTTGCCCAAGGTCACAGAGCTGGTGAGGTGAGACTGCATCTGAATCCAGCTGAGTCCAGAGCCTGTCTCTTAATCGTGTCTCCTTCTCTAATCAGAAATATGAAGACATGGAAGGAATCATGTCTTAGAGATCAGAGAAGGGGAAGTTGGAGGGTATGAACTGCTGAAAATGATCTGCTGAGGGATACTGGAGCCAGATGATGAGGAACCTAATATCCTAATTGACTCTTCTGACTTACTAGCTCTTTGTGCCTATTTCCTCACCCATAAAGTGAGGACAATAACAGTATCTACCTCGTAGGGTTATTAAGAGGTTTCAGTGAGTATATACAAGATAGCATTCAATACAGATAGCTACTCCTGTTCGTGGGTCCTCCTACTTCAGGCAGAAACACTCTAGTAGGGACGAGAGCAATGTATTCTCTTCTGAAAGCTAGGGAGAGAGATCAATTTTTAATATCCAATTCCCTTTGTTCTGGTCCTATATTTACCTGCACCCTCCTGCTCTGCTCAGTAACAGGATTTTGCAAGACTTGACATTTCACGACATTTAGTAGAAAAAAACAAATGGGGTTTGGGGTGCCTGGCTCAGCTCTGCTCACTACATGTACCAGGGCCACTTTTCGAGGCCTGAATTTCCAGACTTTGTTCATTCCTAGGTTGTCAAGTCCTCTCGTGCCTTTGCTCCTGCCACTCTGCCTCCAGAGAGGACCAGCTTCCCTGTCCTTCTCTTGTAATCCCTCCTCTTGGAAGCCTTCAGCGTAGCTGGGGCATTTGGGGTATAATTAGTAAATCAAGCATCTGTTTTGCCTGTGAGATAATGAACATTACTCATCTTTTTACCCCAAGCACCTAGAATATAGTGAGTATTTGATGCACACAGAATCAAAGAATGACACACAGTCAGACAAGGATTGTACTAATTGATCTCCAAGATTCCTTTAAGCTACAAAATTCTCAGGCTATTAAATTAATTGGGAGGAGGAGAGGATGAACTTTATATGTCAATTTCTTCTGCGTTTTTAATTTCATTTGCTTTGCTCAAGCAACATCAAGGTCATCCTTAAAAGTGAAATCATTAGGCCAGGCGCAGTGGCTCACGCCTGTAATCCCAGCACTTTAGGAGGTCAAGGCAGGCAGATCACTTGAGGTCACGAGTTCGAGACCAGCCTGGCCAACATGATGAAACCTCATCTCTCCTAAAAATACAAAAATTAGCCAGGCATGGTGGCGGGCATCTGTAATCCCAGCTACTCGGGAGGCTGAGGCACGAGAATCACTTGAACCTGGGAGTGGGAGGTTGCAGTGAGCTGAGATCGTGCCACTGCACTCCAGCCTGGGAGACAGAGGGAGACTCAGTCTCAAAAAAAAAAAAAAAAAAAAAGTGAAATCATTCATAAAAGGGTCAATCCATAGACTGTGGATAATGTAAACCCTATCTATTTATTTATTTTAATAGCAGTGTCAGGTATTTACTCAAATGTCATCTCCTCAGAGTTCTTCCCTGCAAATCCTTAAAAAAATTTTTTTTATTATGACTCTTGAGCATCCCCCAGTCATTGCCTAAACTGTGAAACCATTTCTTTTCCTCTTTTTAATTTTTTTGAGACAGACTCTCACTCTCTTGCCCAGGCTGGAGTGCAGTGGGATGATCTCAGCTCACTGCAACCTCTGCCTCCTGGGCTCAAGCGATCCTCCTGCCTCAGCCTCCCAAGTAGCTGGGACCACAGGTGTGTGGCTAATTTTTAATTTTTTTGTAGAGATGGAGTCTCACTATGTTGCCCAGGCTGCTGTTGAACTCCTGGGCTCAAGCCATCCTCCCGCCTCAGCCTTCCAAAGTGTGGGATTACAGGCGTGAGTCACTGCACCCCCATGGGACTGACATTTCTCAGGGCTGAAGGAGAGTGGCACAAAGGTCAAGAACCCACTCTGCCTGAGCTCAGCCTGAGCTCAAACTCCCAGTTCAGGCTCTTTCCTGTTGTTTTACTTTGGGAAGATAAATGTTTTACCCATCAGTGTTGTCATCTGTAAAACAGGAATTACAATATTATCTTTGTTCTGAAGATTAAGCTAATTAATGCATATAAAGCCTATAGAAGAGACCCTGGCACTCAACGTATTAACAAATTTTATTATTACTCATTCACGAACACATGCCTAATCCAACCTCTCATTTATTCCATAAATATTTGAGCATTTGCCCAGCAGGAAAAATAATATTGCTAATGAGTGTGGGAAATCTGTTCTCCAACTAAGCAGAAATAGCAATAGCATATATTAAGTCCTCTCACGTTGGGACAATGTTACCAAGAGCCAGGGGGTCAACACCCTCCTCTCTGCAGCCCTCCGGTTAGTCAAGGCTGAGGAAGGAAAGGAGGTTGGAAGATATCTAAACTCTGTTTCTGGTCCAGGATGAATGACAGTGGACATCCCCAGGCACCACATGGAGGTGAGACACACTCATGCCTTAAAAGGGAAGGAAAAATAAAAAAGATGGAGAGAAAATTGACACCCCCGTCCCCCCACGTTAGGAATCCAGGAACAGCCTCGCGAGGTGCAGAGATCAGAGAAGGGCGAGTAGCGCTGCACCTGGAGCTCAGAACCCACTGCGGGCTCACAGAAGCTTTCAGAGACTGAATGCCTCTCCTCTCCAGGAAGAAATAACAGATTGGCAACAACCAGCCACCTTTTCAGTGTGTGTCAGGATCGGTCCTACGCATTTTTACATCTATTTATCTTAAGTAAATCTCACGAAACCCCTACCAGTTAGGTACTACTATGAAACTCACTTTACAGAGGAGAAACGGAGAAATTAAGAAACTACCAAGATTATATTGCCAGAAGACAGCAGAGCGTGTGGAAGGTGGGGAAGGCGAGGGAACTTGAGCGCCCGGGAGACCTTCAAACCAAACGTGCGACCAGGAGCCATTCCCAACTTGGAGACCCATGCACCGCCCTAAAAACAAAGGGCAAGCAAACCGTCGTCCCCGCCCTCTGCGACTTCCCTTCACTGAGAGCGAGGGCAGGCACCTGCGAGTCCAACGCCCAGGCCAGGAAAGCTCGCCGTAGATGCAGAGGTTCCGCGCTGACTCACCTCCCAGAGGGGATAGATGACGGCTGCTTCGCCCTCCTGCAGCGGAAGTACACAAGGTTGCAACGGCTTCTGCACTACACTTCCCAGAATGCCCGAGCGGAAACAGGCTACCGCCCTGCCCAGCCAAGAGGGACCAAGAGGGGCCAGGTGCAGTGGCTCACGCCTGTAATCCCAGCACTTTGGGAGGCCAAGGGGGGGTGGATCACTAGGTCAGCAGTTTGAGACCAGCCTGGCCAACATGGTGAAACCCCGTCTCTACTAAAAATACAAAAATTAGCTGGGCGTGGTGGCACATGCCTGTAATCCCAGCTACTCCAGAGGCTGAGGCAGGAGAATTGCTTGAACCCAGGAGGCAGAGGTTGCAGTGAGCCAATATCGTGCCACTGCACTCCAGCCTAGGCGACAGTGAGACTCCAGCTCCAAAAAAAAAAGAAAAAAGAAAAAAAGAAAATCAAGAAGAAGAGAAATATTTACAGTTCTGTACGGTATTGATACTGTAAGTTTACACCATCTGTTTACAAAATAAACCATCTTTCTGAAATGGCAGGCAGCTGCAGCTTCAGACCTCATTCTACAGTACATATCAAGCAATTCAACTTTTTCTTATAATGTCATGACTTTTCTATGCATCTTGGGAGCACTTGCAACATCACTAGTGGCAGTTCACATAGGTCCCATGGTAGTATTCAAGTTTTATAGTATTGCACTAAACACAATAAAAAATAAGAAACCTTTAGATCACTTTTTACTGTAATACGCAATTTACTAGAGAGATGAACTGCTCACTTTGAGATGATTAGCATTACTTGGAATTTTAAGCAGATATTTACACACATGAGCTCACCACAACAGTGACAGGAGATAGCTATTAAATTATTACAGTAGCACAGCATGTACTACAGTTAACTTTATGCAGGCTTGATTTAATATTGCATCTTTGTTTTACATTTCTCTTGACTGTGAACGTACAGTCTGTGTTTGTGTGTGTAAGTTTTTATAAGTTTTACCTTTTTTTAATAGATTCATGTATATTTTATGGTAGTAAATGATAAAATAGACTAATATCTACATATATTTTATGCATTCATGATATACCTAAATTTTTCTTAATTGTTTGATATTTCTAGACTACACGGCTTATCTGTGAGCTTTTTCAAATTGTTGCAAATTTCCAAAAAAAATTGCAATATATTTGTTGAAAAAAAATTCACATATAAGTGGACCCATGCAGTTTAAACCTGTGTTGTTCAAGAGCCAACTGTATTGTAATTTGGAAAAAAACAACATCTAAATTATATCTTGAAAATGCTTCTTCCCTTATTTCAATTTAAATTTTTTTTTGTATCCACTCAGCTTGCTCTTGAGATGATAAATGCAATAGAATGATCATCAATAGATCAAGTCAATGTGGTATCAAAAATGAAGTAATATTTAGCAGCCTTGTAAAAGCACATATATCAGGACTTCTTGCAGAGGCTTTGTTTCCAATGTGATTTTCTCTAGAAAGGAGAAAGTTGTTTTATTTAAGTTATGGGGGTGGGTATTGTGTATAGAGTGGGGAACTGCCTTTGATATTTTCTATCACAAATTTTTTTAGCTCAGTCAGCAGAATTTTATTATTTTAGCACCAAAGGAATCCTGAATCATGTTTTGTTTTCATCTCAAAGTATTTTCTAATTTCCCTGTAACTTCTATCCCCATCGGTTTTTATGAGTGTGCTGTTTAATTTCCACACATTTGTGAATTTTCCAGTTTTCCTCATTACTGATTTGAGTTTCATTTTTTTGTGGCCTGAGAATACATTTCATGTGACTTTATCTTTCTGTTGATACGTGAGATTTTTTATTTTTATTGAGACCTGTTTTGTGGCCTAATGTATGATCTATCCCAGAAAATGTTTCATGACCACTTAAGAAAAATATGTATTCTGCTGGTTTTAGGTGGGGTGCTTTGTATATATCTGCTAGGAGTTTGGTTTATGTTTCCAAATCCTCTAATTCTTTATTGATCTTTTGTCTGGTTGTTGTATCCATTATTGAAAGTGAGATACTGAAGTCTGAAAACATTGTAGAAATATTTATGTCTCCCTTCAGTTCCATCAATTTTCACACCATATATTTGGGGACTAGCTGTGTAATGTCTGTATTGTTATATCTTCTTGATGGATTGACTCTTTTGTCAATATATAATGTCATTGTTTGTCTCTTGTCAAGTTTTTTACCTAAGTCGATTTTGTCTAATATTAATACAATTACTTCAGTTCTCTTTTTTTACATCCTGCATGGAATAATTTTCTTCCATTTTTTCACTCAACATTTTTTGTCTTTGGATTGCAAATAAGTCTCTTATAGACAGCATATAGTTGGATCATGCTGTTTTATCCATTCTGTCCATTTTTGCCTTTTAACTGGAGAGCTTAATCTATTTGCATTTAAATTAATTCCTGATTTTAAAACGGCCTTGCTTCTTTCACTTTGTGATCTGTTTTCTACATGGCTTATCTTTTTTGTTCCTAGGTCTCTTGATTAATGCCTTCTTTCCTAGGTCTCTTGATTAATGCCTTCTTTTCTGTTTGATGTTTTTGCAGCGTACCTTTTTCTTTTTTTTTCCATTTTGAGACAGGGTCTCACTCTGTCACCCAGGCTGGAGTGCAGTGGTGTGATCTCAGCTCACTGCAACCTCTGCCTCCTGGGTTCAAGTGATTCTCATGCCTCAGCCTCCCAAGTAGCTGGGACTACAGGCATGCACCACAATGCCCAGCGAATTTTTGTATTTTTAGTAAAGACAGAGTTTCACCATGTTGGGCAGCCTGGTCTTGAACTCCTGACCTAAAGTGATCCACCCACCTTGGCCTCCCAAAATGCTGGGATTACAAGCGTGAGTCACCATGCCCGACCTGTAGTGTACCATTTAATTTTTCTTCTTATTCCCTTTTCTGTATATTTTCTTAGTGATTACCCTGTGGTATACAGTTAACGTCTTTTTTTCTTTTTTGAAACAAGGTCTTACTCTGTCACCCCGGCTGGAGTGCAATGGGTGTGATCTTGGCTCACTGCAGCCTCAAATTCCTGGGCTCAAGTGGTCCTCCAGCCTCAGACTCCTGCATAGTTAGGACTACAAAAATGTGCCATCACACCCAGCTAATTAAAAAAAAAATTGTAGAGACAGGGTCTCACTATGTTGCCCAGGCTGTTCTCAAACTCCTGGCCTCAAGCAATCCTCCTGCCTCACCCTCCCAAAGTGCTGGGATAACAGATGTGAGCTACCACAGCTGGCCTATTTTTCCAAATTTTATTATGAAAAAATTTAAAGATGCAAAAGTGTTGAATAGTATTAATTCAAACTATATTGTAATACATTAAAGAAGTTAATATAGCTTGAATTAATACTAACCTAGCTTCCAAAATATAAAAAATCCTGCTCCCGTATCTCTGTCCTCCTCCCTTTAGGATTTGAAAAATTACATCTTTATACATTGTGTGCCCCATTAACATAGATTTGTAACTATTTTACTCATTTTTCTTTAAATCATATAGGAGTTATGAGCCAATAATACAATAATATTGGCTTTTGTGTTTACCTATGTAATTACTTTACCAGTGTTCTTTATTAATTTATATGGCTTCAAGATTTAGTGTTTTTTCACTTCTGCCTGAAGTATTTTGTATTTCTTGTAGGGCAGGCCAACTAGCAATGAACTCCCTCAGTGTTTGTTTATCTAGGAATGTCTTAATTTCTCCTTCATTTTTGAAGGATGGTTTTGCCAGATATAGGATTCTTGGCTAACAGGTTTTTTTTATTTCATTACTTTAAATATGTCATCATACTGGCTTCTGGAGATCATGGTTTCTGATGAGAAATGGGTTATTAATCTTATTATAGAGGCTTTGAACATGAGGTGTCACTTTCTCTTGTTGATTTTGAGTCTCTGTCTTTTTATGGTTTGATTATAATGTGTCTTGGTGTGGATCTCTATGCATTTATTCTTCTTGGAGTTAGTTCCTTGAGCTTCTTCTATGTGTAGATTCATGTCTTATAAGTTTGAGAAGTTTTTGAACATTATTTCTTCAAATATTCCTTATACTCCTTTCTCTCTCCTCTTATTGTGACTCCCATTGTGCATATGCTGATATGCTTGATGGCATCCCACAGGTATCTGAGTTCTACTTACTTTTTCTTCTGCTCCTCAGATGGAATAACTTCAATTTACTTATCCTTTAGTTCACTGATTTTTCTGCTTGCTTAAATATACTGTTGAAATCCTCTAGTGAATTTTCATTTCAGTTATTATACTCTTCAGGTCCAAAATTCATGGTTTTTAAATAATTTCTACCTATTTGATATCTTTTTTTCAGACATGATTCTCCTGGTTTATTATTTTTGTTCATGGTTTCCTCTAGTTCTTTGAGAATATTTAAGACAGTTTATTTAAAGTCTTTGTCTGGTAAGTCCAGTGTCTGTGTTTCCTTGGGGACAGTTTCTGTTCATTTATTCTGGGAATGGACCATAATTTTTTATTTGCATGCTGTGTACTTTTTTTTTGTTTGTTTTATAATGTGGTATCTCTTAAAGTCAGATTCTTCCTCCTGCTCAGTTTGTTCTTATCTTATTGTGGATCGTAATGGTTTGTTTAGTGACTGTTACAGGTTTAATTTTGTCTCCCAAAAAGATATGTTGAAGTCCTAACCTGTGAACATGACCTTACTTTGAAATAGGGTTTTTGAAGATGCAATCAAGATGAGGGCATTAGGGTGTACCCTCATTCGATACGACAGTGTCCTTATTAGAAGAGTAACATACCATATTAAGACTGAAACACATGGGGAGAATGCCATGTGACCACAGAGACAGAGCTTGAAGTGATACAGCTAAAAGCCAAGGAATATCAAAGATCAATGGATACCAGCAGAAGCTACTAAGTGGTAATGAAAGAGAGCATGGCCCTTCTGACACTTTGATTTTGGAGGTCTAACCTGGAGAAAACTGGGAGAGAATGAATTTTTGTTGTTCAAGCCACCCAATTTTGTGCCATGTGGTAAGAGCAGCTCTGGGAAATGAATAGTGAGTTTTCTAAACTACTTTTTTTGTAAAACTGGTATTCCCTGTATTGTGTGGTATCTAAGGCCTCTATTCTTTTCATTTATTTTTACCCAGTGTGTTAACAGGGATTTCCTTGAATGTCTGGATGAAAAACAAACAAAAAAGGAAAAATATTTGCCCACTCTTTGCGCAATGACTCTTTGTTGGAGCCCTCTTTCGGTGCTTAGCCAGGTCATTTACAACTCTGCCAAAGCCTTCCCTTACTGCTTGCACTAAGTCAAAGATCAGTCAGAGGTGAAAGCTTGCAGTTTTTTCAGGTCATTTCTGAACATATGTTCTCCTCTGAGTATGTGCATGCCTTTCTAAATTTCCTGGTGTATGTGGGGAGCTTTTCAATACCCTACTTCCTCACAGAATCTCTCTCCCCAGATTTTCCTCCCAAGTTGTCATTCTGTATATTGTTTGCTTCAACAGTAATCTCTTACCTCAAGTGACAGTGGGTTGTTCATTTGCCTTTCAATGATTTAGAGGAATGTACTCTTCAATTAGCCACTTTTCCACCATGATAGAATTCCAAGTTAGATAAGATAAAACCAAGTAACTTGCAACAGTCTTTCAGGTAGCCCTCAGACAGTTCAAAACAGACAAACACAATTGAGAACAAGTTCTGCTCCACTGCCTCTGGAGCAAGAGATCAGTGTCCTACACTGGTAATATAGGCTGTCACCTTCAAGACCATCACCCAGCTGCAGAGAAAAGTAAATCAAGGGCAAGTGAAAGCACCACAAAGCTCCCCTACTATTTTTAAGTTGCTGTTTTCTCTATTCTACATTCCCTGGGTTGCTGTAAACCTTGGACTACTTTTCAGAGTTCTGATGACATTGATTCTGACAGTTTTTTAAAAATCATTTTTGTTGTTTTGTTTCTGTGGAAGGATGGGCCGTTGAAGCTACCTACTCCATCATTTCTCTGACATTACTTTGCCACTCTTTTTTTTTTTTTTTAATACTGTAAGTTCTGGGATACATGTGCAGAATGTGCAGGTTACGTAGGTATACACATGCCATGGTGGTGTGCTGCACCCATCAACCCGTCATCTACATTAGGTATTTCTTCTAATGCTATCCCTCCCCTAGCACCTCAACCCTCAAAAGGCCCCAGTGTGTGATGTTCCCCTCCCCGTGTCCATGTGTTCTCATTCTTCAACTCCCACTTATGAGTGTGAACATGTGGTGTTTGGTTTTCTGTTCCAGAGTTAGTTTGCTAAGAATGATGGTTTCCAGCTTCATCCATGTCCCTGCAAAGGACATGAATTAATCCTTTTTATGGCTGCATAGTATTCCATGGTGTATATGTGCCATATGTTCTTTATTCAGTCTATCATTGATGGGCATTTGGGTTGCTTCCAAGTCTTCTCTATTGTGAATAGTGCTGCAATAAACATACGTATGCATGTCTCTTTACAGTAGGATGATTTATAATCCTTTGGGTATATACCCAGTAATGGGATTGCTGGGTCAAATGGTATTTCTGGTTCTAGATCCTTGAGGAATTGCCACACGGTCTTCCACAATGGTGGAACTAATTTACACTCCCACCAACAGTGTAAAAGCATTCCTATTTCTCCACATTCTCTCCAGTATCTGTTGTTTCCTGACTTTTTAATGATCACCATTCTAACTGGCATGAGATGGTATCTTATTGTGGTTTTGATTTGCATTTCTCTAATGACCAGTGACGATGAGCTTTTTCTCATATGTTTGTTGGCTGCATAAATGTCTTCCTTTGAGAAGTGTCTGCTCATATCCTTTGCCCACTTTTTGATGGGGTTAGTTTTTTTTTTTTTCCTAGTAAATTTGTTTAAGTTCCTTGTAGAATCTGGATATTAGCCCTTTGTCAGATGGATAGATTCCAAAATTTTTCTCCCATTCTGTAGGTTGCCTGTTGACTCTGATGATAGTTTCTTTTGCTGTGCAGAAGCACTTTAATTAGATCCCATTCATCAGTTTTTGCTTTTGTTGTCATTGCTTTTCGTGTTTTAGTCATGAAGTCTTTGCCCATGCCTATGTCCTGAATGGTATTGCCTAGGTTTTCTTCTAAGGTTTGTATGGTTTTAGGTCTTATGTTTAAGTCTTTAATCCATCTTGAGTTAATTTTTGTATAAGGTATAAGGAAGAGGTCCAGTTTCAGTTTTCTGCATATGGCTAGCCAGTTTTCCCAACACCATTTATTAAATAGGGAATCCCTTCCCTATTGCTTGTTTTTGTCAGGTTTGTCAAAGATCAGATGGTTTTAGATGTGTGGTGTTATTTCTGAAGCTTCTCTTCTGTTCAATTTGTCTGTATATCTGTTTTGGTATGAGTACCATGCTGTTTTGGCTACTGTAGCCTTGTAGTATAGTTTGAAGTCGGGTAGCGTGATGCCTCCAGCTTTGTTCTTTTTGCTTAGGATTGTCTTGACTATAGGGCTCTTTTTTGGTTCCATATGAAATTTAAAGTAGTTTTTTCTAATTCTGTGAAGAAAGTCAATGGCAGTTTGATGGGAATAGCCTTGAATCTATACATTACTTTGGGAGGTATGGTGGCCATTTTCACGATATCGATTCTTCCTATCCATGGGCATGGAATGTTTTTCCATTTGTTTGTGTCCTCTCTTATTTCCTTGAGCAGTGGTTTGTAGTTCTCCTTGAAGAGGTCCTTCACATCCCTTGTAAGTTTTATTCCTAGGTACTTTATTCTCTTTGTAGTAATTGTGAATGGGAGTTCACTCATGATTTGGCTGTTTGTCTATTATTGGTCTATAGGAATGCTTGTGATTTTTGCACACTGATTTTGTATCCTGAGACTTTGCTGAAGTTGCTTATCAGCTTAAGGAGATTTCAGGCTGAGATGATGGGCTTTTCTAAATACACAGTCATGTCATCTGCAAACAGAAACAATTTGACTTCCTCTCTTCCTATTTGAATACACTTTATTTCTTTCTCTTGCCTGATTGCCCTGGCTAGAACTTCTAATACTATGTTGAATAGGAGTGGTAAGAGAGGTCTTCCTTGTCTTATGCCAGTGTTCAAAGGGAATGCTTCCAGCTTTTGCCCATTCAGTATGATATTGGCTATGGGTTGGTCATAAATAGCTCTTATTATTTTGAGATACATTCCATCAGTACCTAGCTTATTGAGAGTTTTTAGCAAGAAGGGGTATTGAATTTTATTGAAGGCCTTTTTCTGCATTTATTGAGGTAATCATGTGGTTTTTGTCATCGGTTCTGTTTATGTAATGGATTATGTTTATTGATTTGCATATGTTGAACCAGCCTTACATCCCAGGGATGAAGCCAACTTGATCATGGTGGTTAAGTTTTTTGATGTGCTGCTGGATTCGGTTTGCCAGTATTTTATTGAGGATTTTTCACATTGATGTTCATCAAAGATATTGGCCTGAAATTTTCTTTTTTTGTTTTGTCTCTGCCAGGTTTTCTTATCAGGATGATGCTAGCATCATGAAATGAGTTATGGAGGAGTCCCTCTTTTTCTATTGTTTGGAATAGTTTCAGAAGGAATGGTACCAGCTCCTCTTTGTACCTTTGGTAGAATTTGGCTGTGAATCCATCTGGTCCTGGGCTTTTTTTTTGGTTGGTAGGCTATTAATTACTGCCTCAATTTCAGAATTTCTTATTGGTCTATTCAGGGATACAACTTATTCCTGGTTTAGTCTTGGGATGGTGTATGTGTCCAGGAATGTATCCATTTCTTCTAAATTTTCTAGTTTATTTGCATAGAGGTGTTTATAGTACTCTCTGATGGTAGTCTGTATTTCTGTGGGATCAGTGGTGATATCCCCTTTATCATTTTTTATTGTGTCTATTTGATTCTTCTCTTTTCTCTTCTTTATTAGTCTGACTAGTGGTCTCTCTGTTTTGTTAGTCTTTCCAAAAAGCCAGCTCCTGCATTCACTGATTTTTTTGAAGGGTTTTTTGTGTCTCTATCTCCTTCAGGTGTGCTCTGATGTTAGTTATTTCTTGTCTTCTGCTAGCTTTTGAATTTGTTTGCTCTTGCTTCTCTACTTCTTTTAATTGTGATGTTAGAGTGTCGATTTTAGATCTTTCCTGCTATCTCCTGTTGGCATTTAGTGCTATAAATTTCCCTCTAAACACTGCTTTCGCTGTGACCCACAGATTCTGGTACGTTGTGTCTTTGTTCTCAATGATTTAAAATAACTTATTTATTTCTGCCCAAATTTCATTATTTACCCAGTAGTCATTCAGGAGCAGGTTGTTCGGTTTCCATGTAGTTGTGCAGTTTTCAGTGAGTTTCTTAATCCTGAGTTCTAATTTGATTGCACTGTGGCCTGAGAGACTGTTATGATTTCTGTTCTTTTGCATTTGCTGAGGAGTGTTTTACTTCCAATTATGTGGTCAATTCTAGAATACATGCTATGTGTCACTGAGAAGAATGTATATTCTGTTGATTTGGGATGGAGAGTTCTGTAGATGTCTATTAGGTCCACTTGGTCCAGAGCTGAGTTTAAGTCCTGAATATCCTTGTTAATTTTCTGTCTTGTTGATCTGTCTAATATTGGCAGTTGGGTGATAAAGTATCCCACTGTTATTGTGTGGGAGTCTTAAGTCTCCTTGTAGGTCTCTAAGAACTTACCTTATGAATCTAGGTGCTCCTGTATTGGGTGCATATATATTTAGGATAGTTAGCTCTTCTTGTTGCATTGATCTCTTTACCATTATGTAATGCCCTTCTTTGTATTTTTTTTATCATTGTTAAAGTCTGTTTTATCAGAGACTAGGATTGAAACCCCTGCTTTATTTTTCTTTCCATTTGCTTGGTAAATATTTCTCCATCTCTTTATTTTGAGCCTATACTTTGCCATTCTTAAAACAGTTTATACTTAATGGATTTGAAATTGGAATATTGTCAGGTACAATTGGACTGGAATGGGGAGCAAAATGTAGCAATAACTCCTGTAGTTCAAACACCTGGTAATATGAGGTCTCTGTAACTCTAGGGGGTGGAGGGGAGGTGGAGACAACTGGGGATAACATAGGATTGGATAAATGAGCTAATGCTGGAGCTGGAGAGAAGAAAATGAACAGAAGTCCACAATATGAACTGCAAGGTAGTTCTAATTATGGGATTCAGGAAAAAGAAACTATATTTTCACTGTTCTCATTGTGAAGCCTGGAGTTAGTTAATGATAGAAATAGGCTTTTAAGAACTTTTATTCTGGATGAAAGCAGGACTAGGGAAACAAGCTTTGCAGAAAAATAGTAAGATTGGAATGAGGCAAGAGAAAACCCATTGACAACAAAAAATAAAAAAGCATTCCAATCTCTCAGGGATGAAAATACCATCCTGAGCAGCAGCCAGTAACATATATGGGGTCTGTGGACTGGGTCTTTGTTAGGTTTTAAAACTGCGTTGTTAAACGTGTGTTTAATTTTTCTTTTCCAGTGGTGAGTTAAAACACAATGGCCAGTTAACAATACTCTTCCCATGGAGTGAGGCTGTAGGGAAATGTAATACTTTCTAAAATTGTGTAAATATGAAGATATGGATGTGTAACTGTCTATATGTATTATAAATGAGAGAATACTGAGACTCTAATCAAATAATTAAACTAGGCAAAGGAAAAAATAAGGCCCATTAATGCATTTGGGGAAATTTGCTTTAAATTTTTTTCTATACTAGGTAATATATTTACATGGTACAAAATTAAAATAATATAAACAATATACCTTGAAAACTCATCCCATTCTGACCCAAGGTTGTTTGCCTATACCAAAAGCCCATGTACCACATGTAATCTTTGTGTTTTTTTTTTGTTGGTTTGTTTTTTTTTGAGATGGAGTCTTGCTCTGTCACCCACGCTGGAGTGCAATGGCACAATCCTGGCTCATTGCAACCTCTGCCTCTTGGGTTCAAGCGATTCTCCTGCCTCAGCCTCCCAAGTAGCTGGGATTACATATGTGTACCGCCACGCCTGGCTGATTTTTGTATTTTTAGTAGAGATGGAGTTTCACCATGTTGCCCAGGCTGGTCTCGAACTCCTGACCTCAAGTGATCTGTCTGCCTCGTCCTCTCAAAGTGTTGGGATTACAAGCATAAGTCATCACGCCCGACCAGTGTTAGTTTTTCGTGTATACTTTCAGTGGGTCTTTGTGCACATGAAAAATTCAAGAAGTATATGCAAATGAGCTTTTTCTAATGTACTAAAATATACACCCTTCCATCCTTTGGTTTATTACATGAAGAATGTAGTAAGAAACAAGAGTTTCTAGGTGAATGAATATATTTCTGTGGATTTTCAATGGTAGTATCTGTATTTTTAAAATAAAAATAAAAACAATCACACCTAGACACATCATATTGAAACTGCAGTAAATTCAAAATAAAGAGAAAATTTTGAAGGCGGCCAAAGGCAGGGGATGGGTGAGGAGACACAATACATACAAAGAATCAAAGATGAGAATTACAGGACATGTCTCATTAGAAACTATGCAAACCAGAATACAAAGAGTATAGAAAGAAAAAAACAACAACACATAATTCCATACCCAGCAAATACATCCCTCGAAAATGAAGATATAATGAAAACTTTTTAAGACAAAAACTGAAAAAATTCAGTAGCAGCCAACCAGCAGTACAAGAAACATTAAAGAAAGTTCTTCAAACAGAAAGGATGCTATATAAAATTTGGTAAACTTGCAAAGTAATGACGATTTCCAGAAGCAGTTAAGAATTTAACTTTTAATTGCTCTGAAAGACACTTGACTCCTAAAGCAAAAATAATAGCAATGTACTGTGGCTTTATAGCATATGCCAACGACAAATGCTTGACAATTGGACAAAAGTTTGAAGGAAGGAATTGGGAGTGTACAGTTGTATAAGTAAAGAGTATATATTCAAAATCTCATTAACCAAACACCACCTGTTTCCCAAAAACCTAGTGAAATAAAATAAATAAAATAGTATATATTATTTAAAGAGAGGCTGTCATTAACTATAGATGAATATTGTAAATTCTACAGTAAACGCTAAAACAATAATGAAAAGAGGTACAGGTTGAGTACCCCAACCTGAACATCCAAATGCTGTAAAATCTGAATTTTTTTGAGTGCTTACATGACAACTCAAAGGAAATGCTGATGGGAGTGTTTTGGATTTCAGATGTTCAGACTGCAAATACTCAACTGATAACTACAATACAAATATTCCACAATCTGAAAAAATCCGAAATCTGAACACTCCTAATCCCAAACATTTTGGGTAAGGGATATTCAGCCTGTAAAAATAAGCTAATTGTGGATACGATATGAAATCATATTTAAAAATTAGCAAAAAATGTGTAACAAAAGGAAAAGAAACAAAGAAGGTAACCAAAAATAGATTTATATCTGACCATATCAATTACTAAATGATATATAAATGACATAAACATACCAATTATAACAAATCATCAGATTGGAGAATAAAGCAACAATAATCAAATTAAAGCTGGAGTGGCTATACTACTATTAGGCAAACACTAATAAAAGGCTACAGTGGGCCGGGCGCGGTGGCTCAAGCCTGTAATCCCAGCACTTTGGGAGGCCAAGGCAGGCGGATCACGAGGTTAAGAGATTGAGACCATCCTAGCTAACATGGTGAAACCCCATCTCTACTAAAAATAGAAAAAAATTAGCTGGGCATGGTGGCGGGCGCCTGTAGTCCCAGCTACTTGGGAGGCTGAGGCAGGAGAATGGCATGAACCTGGGAGGCAGAGCTTGCAGTGAACCGAGATCGTGCCATTGCACTCCAGCCTGGGCGACAGAGCAAGACTCCCTCTCAAAAAAAAAAAAAAAAAAAAAAAAAAAAAAAAAAAAAAAGGCTATAGTGGTGATATTAAAAGCAAACAAAGTAGGCATCAAAACAAGGATTATTACCAGAAATAAGAGGGACATTAAATAATAATAAAGAGGTAATTTCACCAAAAAGACATAAAATTAAATGTGTATGCACAAAACAACAGAGCTTCAAAATATACAAAGCCAAAACTGATAAAGACAAAGACTAAACAACCCACAATTAACAGCTGGAGACTTCATTCTCATTAATCAATAAAACAAATAGAAAACCAGTAAGTCATGATGAACTCTTGCCGTGATGGAAAAAAGAAAAGAAAACCAGTAAGGATATAGAAGACCTCAACAACATTATTAATCAACATCATTAAAACATACACCAAGATGGATCATACTCTGGGCCATGTAATTCACTGCACCAATTTAAAAGAATTGAAACCACACAAAGTATATTCTCATATCACAACAAAATTAAATGAGAATCAATAACAAAACAATCTCAGGAAAATCCCCCACTACCCTTAGAAATTAAATAACCCATGGGTCAAAAAAAACCCCATGAGTTAGAAGAGAAAAGGGAAAATAAGAAATAAAAATAAAAAGATAACATATCAGAACTTGTAGAATGCCACTAAGGCAGCATTTAGAGAAAAATTTAGAGCATGAAATGCTTATATTGGAAGAAAAGGAACTTACATCAATTATCTAAGCTTTTTTAAGCTTAATAAACTTTAAAAAAAAAAGCTGGGTGCAATGGTTCACACCTGTAATCCCAGGATTTGGGGGAGGCCAAGGCAGGAGAACTGCTTGAGCCCAGGAGTTTGAGACTAGCCTGGGTAACAGAGTGAGACCCTGTCTATGAAAAAAGAAAAACCCCTAAGCAAGAAAGAAGAAAACAACAAAAATGAAAGCAGAAATCAACCAAACGAAAAGGATAACAATAGTGAAGAAAAAGCAATAAACTTTGAAAAGAACAAGAAAACAAAACAGAAATTACCAATTGTAGGACTGAAAGAAGGATATGATTACAGATCCTAATGACAGGCCAGGTGCAGTGGCTCACGCCTGTAATCCCTGCACTTTGGGAGGCTGAGGCAGGTGGATCACTTCAGGGGTCAGGAGTTTGAGACCAGCCTGGCCAACATGGCAAAACCCCCTCTCTACTAAAAATACCAGCTACCCAGGAGGCTGAGGCAGGAGAATCACTTAAACCTGCCCCGGAGGCAAAGGGTGCTGTGAATGCAAGATTGTGCCACTGCACTCCAGCCTGGGAGACACACACACACACACACACACACACACACACACACACGCCAGATCCTAATGACATTAAAATGATAATAAGGAAATATTATGAACAACTTTATGCCATATGTGACAACCTAGATGAAATAGACAATGTATTTAAAAAAGAAAAACTACCAAAATTTATTCAAGAATAAACAGACATCCTGAATATTCCTATACCTATTAATGAGATTGAATTCAAGTTAAAACACCTCCAGAAACACCACCACCAGGCCTAAGCCTCTTATATGTACCAAACATTTAAGGGAAAAGAAACTACCAATTCTACACAAACATTTTGAGGAAAAAGAAGAAAATAAAGAGGAGAAAAACACTTCCCAACTCATTTTATAAGGCTAGCATTATCTTGTTACCAAAATTAGAAAAATGCATGAAGACAACAGATCAATATTCCTCATAAACATAGACACAAAATTCTTCAACAAATACCAGCAAGTCGAATATATGAAAATAATACTACATCATGATTAAGTAGGTTTATCTCAGGAATGCAATGTTGTTCGAACATTTTAAAATGAATGTTAAGTCACTATATTAATAGACTAAAGAACAAAAACTCTTCAATCATCTTAGTAGATGCAGAAAAAGCTCTTAGGGAAACAAGCAAAGAAACAGAAAACATATTGGAAAACAAGAAATAACTGTCTCCATTTGCATACAACATGATTATGTATAAAGAATGAAAAAGTTACCAGAACTAATAAATCAGTTTCAAAAGGTCCTGGGATGCAATGTTAATATACAATGTTAATATAAATAAGTTGCATTTCTATATACTATTATGAACAAATAGAAACTTACAACAGAACAAAATTTTCAGGAATTTTTTAAGTACAAGTCTAAGAAAACAGGCAATATCTGTGTACTGAAAAATACAAATCACTGATGAAATAAAAGACCTAAATAAGTGAAGAGACATGCCATTTTCACTGATTGGAAGACTAAAGAAGTCAAATCTTCCAACACACTTCCCATTAAAAGCCCTGCAAATATTCTTTAAAAGAATCAACAAGATGATTCTACAACTTACATGAAAAAGCAAAAGAACTAGAATAGCTAAAACAATTTTGAAAAAGCAAAGTTGGAAGACTCGTGCTACCTGATTTAGAGAGAATTACTATAAAGCTATGTTAGTAATCAAGAACAACTGGCTGTGTATGGTGAAGAGACAAAAAGATCAACGAGCTAGAATGGAGAGTTCAGAAATAGGCCCACTCATATACGGTCAATTGATTTTTGACAAAGACACAAAGTCAATTCAATGGAGAAAAGATCATTTTTTCAACAAATGGTGTTGGCATAACTGGACATCCATAGTTTTAAGATGAATAAACGTGTTTTGTATTATATATAAGTATTATCTAAAAATGGATCATACATCTGTATGTAAAACCTAAACTTGGCCAGGCATGGTGGCTCACGCCTGTAATCCCAGCACTTTGGGAGGCCGAGGTGGGTGGATCACGAGGTCAGGAGATCCAGACCATCCTGGCTAAAATGGTGAAACCCCGTCTCTACTAAAAATACAAAAAATTAGGTGGGCGTGGTGGTGGGCACCTGTAGTCCCAGCTACTCGGGAGGCTGAGGCAGGAGAATGGCGTGAACGCGGGAGGCGGAGCTTGCCGTGAGCCGAGATCGTGCCACTGCACTACAGCCTGGGCGACAGAGCGAGACTCCGTCTCAAAAAAAAAAAAAAAAAAAAACACCTAAACTTATAAAGTTAGCAGAAAACATAGGAGAAAGTCTTTGAGACCTTGGATTAGGCAAAGGTTTCTTAGATATGACACCAAAAGCATGATACATCAAAGAAAATTATGATAAACTAGACTTCATAAAAATTTTAAACTTCTGCTTAACCACAGACTGAGTGAAAAAATTTTGGAAATCACATGCCTGATAAAGCACTTGTATCAATAATATACAAAGAACCCACAAAACTCAATAAGAAAACAAGTAACCCAATAAAAAAATGGGCAAAGTATTTAAGTAGACTTTACCAAAGATATGATAATGGAAAACAGCACATGAAAAACATGTTTAGAAAAATGCAAATTAAAAACACAGTGAGATACTACTAGGGTAGAATGGCTAAAATTAAAAGAGACCGACCGTTACATATTTTGATGAAAATGTGAAGAAAAGATGCACACTGCTGGTGAAAACGTAAAACAGCACACCCACTTTGGAAAAGAGTGGAAATTCCTTAAAAAGTTAAACACGGGCAGGCACAGTGGCTCACGCCTGTAATCCCAGCACTTTGGGAGGCTGAGGCAGGTGGATCACAAGATCTGGAGTTCGTGACCAACCTGGCCAGCACGGTGAAACCCCATCTCTACTAAAAATATAAAAAATTAGCAAGGCATGGTGCCACATGCCTGTAGTCCCAGCTACTCAGGAGGCTGAGGCAGGAGAATTGCTTGAACCCCGCAGGCCGATGTTGCAGTGAGCCAAGATCATGCCACTGCACTCCAGCCTGGGCAACAGAGCAAGACTCCGTCTCAAAACACACAAAAAAAAGTTAAACACAATGTTTGGGGTGATGGGCATCCCAACTACACCGATTTGATCATTACACATTGTACACATGTATTGAAATACCACATGTACTCCTCCAAATTTCTATAACTCTGATAAATAAAAATACCAAATTAAAAATACAATAAAAGTTATACATATATTTACCATATGATCCAGTTATTCAATTCCTAGCTATTTATCCAAGATAAAATATATAGTCGAGTTATATATGGTATATATATATATATTTCTAGACTATACATATCTCCATGCAAACACTTGTACACAAACAAGTGTTCATAGCATGTCATAGCATTTATAATAGCCAAAAGTTTGAGAACTCAAATCCCCATCAACAGATGGATTTTTTTTAAAAAATTATGGTATATCTACACACTTACAGTAATGCTCAGTAATAAAGAATTAATTCTATACAAACAACAAGGATGAATCTCTTTCTGCAAGAAGTTAGGAAAAAAAGTATATACTGTACAGTTTCCATTTGTTAGAATTGTAGAAAATGCAAACTATACAGTGTCAGAAAGCAGATCAGTGGTTGCTTGGGGATTGGGGAGGAGCAGAATGGAGATTAAAAGGGAGATATGAGGTGACTTTGAAGAATGATGGATATTTTTGCTATCTTGATTGTGGTGATGGTTTCAAAGATACACATATTAAAACTTTAAAAATCGAACACTTTAAATATGTACAGCTTATTGTATGTTAATTATACCTCACAACTTAAAAGGGGGAGGGAAAAAGAGAAGAGAAATATGGGTATACATTGTCAAAAGGCTCTCCAACTTAGAATTTTCAAGTGAATGGCTATCCTAAAACCTGCATTTTTAAGATTATTATTTCTGAGTCAGGGCCCCAGGCTGGAGAGCAGTGCAACATCACAACTGCAGCCTCAACCTCCTGGGCTCTAGCAATCCTCCCACTTCAGCCACTGAGCCTGTAGCTGGGACTATAGGCACGTGACACAATGCCCGGCTAATTTTTTGATTTTTTTGTAGAGATGGGGTCTCACTATGTTGCCCATGCTGGTCTTGAACTCCGGGGTTCAAGCCATTCTCCTGCCTCAGCCTCTGAAAGTGCTGAGATTACAGGCATGAGCCACCATGCCTGGAAAAAGCTGCATATTTTTAAATAAACCTGATTTTGTGGAGGAACTGCCAAGTAAATAGTTTCAGGTAAGTCCTAAAAAGGATTCCTTCCTCAAGTGGACTGCAAAATTACAGTTGGAAGAGGTACATTCAGTTAGGTTACAACTGCTAGGTTAAAGCTTCAAACATGGCTGTTCTTTTTCAACATTTGAGTTAATTTTTCAGTATTGGATTTTTAATCATCAAACAAGAAGAAATATTTAAAAATTAATGGCATCAACGAGGTCAGAAATGTAATCAAGGACATAGGAAATACAAAACATATCTCCTAGATCGAGGTGTCCAATCTTTTAGCTTCCCTGGGCCACACTAGAAGAATAATTGTCTTGGGTCACCCATAAAATAGCTGATGAGCTTTAAAAATTTGCAAAAACAATCTCATGTTTTAGAAAGTTTATGAATTTGTGTTGGGCCACTTTCAAAGCTGTCCTGGGCTGCAAGTTGGACAAGCTTGCCTAGATTATTGACTTAGTATAGGAAAAGCCTGAGTCGAAATGGAGCAAAAGACTTCCTAGGCAAATTTCGTTCTTTTTGAAGGATATTCCATTCTTATATTTGCACTTTACTTGTGTGAAATGGGATGCATGCTCTACAGAATGTAAACTTAGGAGTTCTGGCCTTGCAATGTAATTTATGCACATAGCATTTAAGAGTAGTTTTGAAGTCAGCAAGATAGACCTGAGTTCAAACTGTGGTTGTGACATTCACTACTGACTGACTTAGGGAAGGTACTTAAACCTGTAAAACCTAAGTTTACTTACCAAAAAAAAAAAAAAAAACCAATAACATTTATTCATAGAATTGCAGATTAACTACACATTGGACACACAGCACATTGCTTCATATATGGTCCCAATTTTCTGTAAAAAATATGCTTGTGTTTTCTTATGTCAATTCGAGCATTTTTTTTAAACCTAAAAGATTTGAGAAGTACTGAATTGAGATAATACATATCTGTAGTATGTATGTATCTCAGAAGCAAGGCTTCTGAGAAACTAAAATTTGCTTAGATCAGAGAACGGCAAACTTCCTAAAAAGGGCCAGACAGTAATGTTTTAAGTCTTGCGGGCCACAGATGGTCTCTGTAGCATTTTTTTTTTCTTACAACTCTTTAAACATTTAAAATCTCAGCTCTCGTGTTGTACAAAGAGAGGACACAGGCTAGATTTGGCCAGCAGGCTATAGTTTACTGATCCCTTCCTTAGAAATTTCAAATATAAATTAGCAGAAATCTAGTAATAGTGACATCTATGTTGAAAATAATAGTTAACACTATACAGGTCTTACTATATGCCAGGCATATAGTTTTAACCCTTACCACAGAACTAAAAGATATTATCCTCAAACATTGAAGACACAAGCAAATTGAGGAATAGAGAGGTTAAGCATTTTGCCTGCAGTTACGCAACTAGCAAATGGTTACACTGAGCAAGAAAGTCTAATTCCAGGGTTCCAGGGTTGGCTTTTTCTTTTCTTCTTTTCTTTTTTTTTTTTTTTTTTTGAGATGGAGTTTCACTCGTTGCCCAGGCTGGAGTGCAATGGCACGATCTGAGCTCACTACAACATCCACCTGCTGGGTTCAATTGATTCTCCTGCCTCAGCCGAATAGCTAGGATTACAGGGGCTAACCACCACGCCTGGCTAACTTTTTGTATTTTTAGTAGAGACAGGGCTTCACCATGTTGACTAGACTGGTCTGGAACTCCTAACCTCAGGTGATCCACCCACTTCGGCCAGCCAAAGTGCTGGGATTAAAGGCGGGAGCCACTGCACCCAGTTGGCTTTTTCAAGATGGGGTCTCACTGTCACCCAGGCTGGAATGCAGTGGTCCAATCACAGCTCACTGCAGCTTCAAACTCCTGGGCTCAAGTGATCCTCCCACCTCAGCCTCCTGAGTAGTTGAGACTATAGGTGTGAGCCACTGTGCCTGGCTGACAGTCTGCTTTCTATTATACTCTACTACTTTATTACCAATATTCTGACTTGGTCTCGTTAACACTAGTTTCTCCTAAAATGCCTTGGTCCTCTCAAGAAGCAGTAGAGGGATGTGCTTTGAGAACTTTGTCAAACTACCTCTGAGAAGGTTCAGAGAATGAGAGGTAAATAAAGTAAAGCAATGCTAATCAATGGCATCCGTGACACTCACAGGCTAGGAGAGCTCCGCAACACTTCACCAGAAACCATTCCTTAACACTATCTGCAAGGAAACATTGACTGGAAGGCTCTCATCTGAATATATCTATCTTTGGATATTTCTATCAGATACTTTTCTTCATGGCCCTACGGGAACATTTTATTTGGTTTAAAGGGTCAATACCCTGAGAATAGGAAAAATTATAATGTTTGGGAGACTATGCCATTCAAAAATCATCTCTGGCATCAGTCATCCAATACTCCCGTTCTCTCTGAAAGACAGAACCCCCAAGTTCTAGTTGGATGCATGTCCACATTCCCCAGTAAATATATGAATGATACTGGGAGACAAATTTCTGATTCTTGAAGAATGAAGATGCAACATAGAATGGGGGTAAGGCTAGAAAAAAAACACTATGATATTAATTTAAGAACTAGAGATAAAAGCAGGAACTCATCATTAATTCTTTCTACCTTTCTACTTCTCTTCCTATCTGTATAACTCTTTCCCCTCCTTCCTAGAGGGAAAAAAAAAAAGGCACAGCTATTACCCAGATCTTGATGTTTAACTACCATCCCCCAATCAGAAGAATCTGAGTTCTCAAAGAAACAGCAAATTCCATGGATGGTGCAGGAAGGGTACAAGATGAGCTTGGAACACTGTATTGTGTCAGAGTAAAGATGTGCTCCAATTTATTTAAAAATACATGATGGGCAAACAGGACAGAAGGGAAACTTCCTTAGAGTAGAACAACAATCTAACAAGTGTTGGAGGAATGATGAAAGTTGAATATATCACACTTTCGCACCATCAGAGCAATTACTGATTTAGACCAGACTTACAGAATGCTTAAACTAGTGGAGGAAAATTTACTGAAAAACAAGCTATTTAGAGTCAGAAAGTGTCTCCCCAGGAGTTGCCTTTGTAATTATTAATTACAAAGAAAAAAATAGTAATTTCGCAGTGGAAAAACCCAGCACCGCCCTCCCCAATCAAGTGTTCCAAGTTAACATCACCTATAAAGGTACAAACATACCTCGTTTCCTCACGTGCTGCACACCACTTACAGAGTCCTCATGGGAAAAAAATGTGTAATTTAAATCCAATTGTAAGGAAACCTCAGGCAAATCCAAATTAAGAGACATTCTACAAAATAATCTCAAAAATATCAAGGTCATTAAAAACAGAGGTAGCAACTCAGATTAAAGGAGTCTAAATGCAATGTGTAATCTTTGGACTCTAGAGCAGAAAAACAATAAATATATTATTGGGATAATTTTAAGATTTAAATAAGGTCTGTAGGTTACATAGTGTTATGTATCAATAATAAATTTTCTTTCTGGGTGCAGTGGCTCATGCCTGTAAACCTTGCATTTTGGAAGGCTGAGGTGGAACGATCACTTAAGCCCAAGAGTTCGATACCAGCTTAGACAACATAGCGAGAGCCCATCTCTACAAAAATCTTAAAAATTAGGTGGGCATGGTGGTCCACGCCTGCAGTCCCAGCTACTTGAAAGGCTGAGTGGGGAGGATTGCTTGAGCCCAGGAGTTCAAGGCTGCGGTGAGCTATAATCACCACCCTGCACTCAGCCTGGGCAACAGAATGAGACCCTGTCTCTAAATAAATAAATCACTGGAATGTTGTACTGTAACTAAGTAGATATCCTTGTTCTTAGGAAAGCACACTTAAGTATTTAGTGTAGGGAGAAGGATGTCTGTAACATATTCATATGGCAAAACTTTATATATAAATGCGTTTAGTATGTATAAGTATCAGTATATACACGCTCATACTTATTGAGAGAATAATTCAAACATCTTAACAACTGGTGAATCTGGGTAAAGAGTATATGGGAGCTTTTATATAATTTCTGTAATTTTTCTGAAAGTTTCAAATTATTTCAAAATAAGTTTAAAGAAATATAAAAATATACATAAAGTAAAATCCCATTATTTAGAGAGAACTATAATACCCATTCATCTATGCGTTTTTACAAAATAGGATCACATAAAAATCTCACATTTTGTTTTTCAAGTTAATATATTCTGAACATCTTCCAATATCCACAGCTAAAAATTTACCTTTTCCCATTTGATGTCTGCATAGTGTGCCACTGGATTGGTAAAGCACAAAATACTTTGGCAATCCAAGTATTTCTATGTTTGCTACTAAAACAATGATGCACCGACTATCCTCTTTTCTCTTTCTCTTGCTCTCTCTCTCTCTTTCTTCTTTATTTATTTGAGATGGAGTCTCGCTCTGTCACCAGGCTGGAGTGCAGTGGCGCAATCTTGGCTCACTGCGAACTCCACCTCCTGGGTTCAAGCGATTCTCCTGCCTCCGCCTCCCGAGTAGCTAGGACTACAGGCACGTGCCACCATGCCTGGCCAATTTTTTGTATTTTTAGTAGAGATGGGGTTTCACCATATTAGCCAGGATGTTCTCAATCTTCTGACCTTGTGATCCGCCCACCTTGGCCTCCCAAAGTGCTGGGATTACAGGCGTGAGCCACCGTGCCCGGCCATACTACTATCCTTTAATACACCTCTACAGCAGATATAAATTTACTTCTGAAGATCAAAGATTCATCTCTGGGGATATATTCCTTAATTTTACACCTATATACCATATAAAAGAATCATGAGTCCTTAGCTACAGAAAATTTTTAGTAATTTTATTCATTTTTCATAGCTTTACAGCTTTTATGAAAATAATGATCACTGTAAGTATAAAATGAAAATTAAAGAAAAGGGATAATAACCCAAAACTCTCCCTGGCCAAAAAACCAGTTAGCATATGGCAAATATCCTTCCACACATTATCTTCAGGCATATATTCACAATGAAAGGTGATCATTTATATTAACTAGATCTTACCAAGAGAGCCACCAGCCCTATTTCTCCCCTAAATACGAGTTCTATTCCTGTTCATGGTTCTGTGTTATCATCTTGATGGATTTGTTAGAAAGATTCCAAGTGTGAACAAACCCCCTTCCACTCTCAGTAGTTTTACAGGGTTTACCACCAGCATGGACTAGCCAAAAACTTGAAGATGTGCATTCAGACAAAAGTTGGTAACACATTTCTCATTTCTAAAGCTTTTTACCAGTATGGACTTTCTGATGATATGTAAGACGTGAACGGTGACGGAAGTCCTTATCACATATGTCACATTTGTATGGTTTTTCTCCAGTGTGGACTCTCTGATGGGCTTCAAGACGTGCACTCTGACTGAAGCCTTTACCACACTCTTCACATTTAAAGAGTTTTTCCCTGGTGTGAACACCCAGGTGGACTCGAAGATTTGAGGGGAGACTGAAGGCCTTACCACACTCCTCACATATATGGGGTTTCTCTCCCGTGTGGACCCTCTGATGATGGCGAAGATTCAAGCTCCTACCAAAGCCTTTCCCACACTCTTCACATTTGTAAGGTTTTTCTCCAGTGTGGCCTCTCTGATGGTATATAAACTGCGAACTGTATCTAAAGCCCTTTCCACACACATCACATTTGTATGGCTTTTCCCCCGTGTGGACTCTCTGATGGGATTGAAGACCAGAGGACTGACTGAAGCCCTTACCACAGACACCACATTTGTATGGCTTCTCTCCAGTATGGACTCTCTGATGTACCCGAAAATCTATGGCCTGACTGAAGCTCTTATCACACTGCTCACATTTATAGGGTTTTTCTCCTGAGTGAACTCTTTGATGTGCATGAAGATTTGATCTCCAACTGAAGCCCTTCCCACATTCCTCACATTTATATGGTTTTTCTCCAGTGTGAATTACTTGGTGTAGTTTAAGATTTGAACTATAACTGAAGTCCTTACCACACACATCACATCTATATGGTTTCTCTCCAGTGTGGACTCGCTGATGGGTTTGAAGCTTTGAGGACTGACTGAAGCCCTTCCCACACGTTTCACACTTGAATCGTTTCTCCCCAGTGTGGACATTCTGATGGACTTGAAGATTTGAAGCCTGACTGAAGCCCTTACCACACTCCTTACATTTATAGGGTTTCTCTCCCGTGTGAACTCTGAAATGAATATGCAGATCTGTATTACGGGTAAAGCCTTTCCCACACGCCTCACACTTGTATGGCTTCTCTCCTGTGTGGACTCTCCGATGGCATATTAATGGTGAATTGTGGCTGAAGCCCTTACCACACACATCACACTTGTAGGGTTTCTCTCCAGTGTGGACTCTCTGATGGATGTGAAAATGTGCAGCCTGAGTGAAGCCCTTACCACATTCCTCACATTTATAGGGCTTCTCACCCCTGTGGACCCTCTGGTGAACACGGAGATTAACACTCCAACCGAAGCCCTTACCACACTCTTCGCATTTGTATGGTTTTTCTTCAGTGTGGACTCTCTGATGGCACTGAAAATTTGAACTTTGACTAAAGCATTTACCACATTCCTCGCATTTATAGGGTTTCTCTCCAGTATGAGTTCTGTAATGAATGATAAGACCCGTGCTGCTACTGAATCCCTTGCCGCAACTGTCGCATCTATAAGACTTCTCTCCTGTATGATTAGATTGATAAGAATGAAAAGAGCTCTTATTGAAGCAATCACCAGATTCATGACATCTATTGAGTTTCTCTCCTGGGTGAATTCTCTGATGAGTTCGCAGATGTGAGCTTTGACTGAAGCATTTTTCTCCTGTATGAACATTCGGATGAAGGGGAAGCCTTGGGCTATAACTGAAGCCCCTTCCACACTCACCACATGGATGGGGTTTCTCTCCTAAGGGTAATTTCTGATTGGAGCCATCACTAATGATTTTGCCATATTCATTACCTTTGCAGGGTTTTGGTTCTGTGTCAGTTTTAATATGCTCATGAAATGGTGATTTCTTCATGAAGTCTTCATGTATTTGCAGGTTATTTTTCACATCAATTTGCTTACCTCTACTCTGAATCTGTGACTCACTCAGATATGTATTCCCGCAAGAATGCTGGGTTCTCCAAAATGGAAACTCTTGATTTTCAATATAAATAGAGCTATCTCCTTTAGGGTTCATTATATTGTTCTCATTTTCAGAAACCTGAATAGAGTCACCTTGTAATAACTGGGAACTCTTCCCCTGAAGACACCTGGTTAATTCACTTGCAACCTGTTTCCAGATTTGCCAGCAGGACAGCTCTTGATTTGAAAGGTATTTTAATGCAAATTTTTGGAGTGTTTCCATCTTATTTTGATGCTTGCTGCCTATTAAAAAAGAAAAAAGGCAATATTTAGAGATGAGGGCAGTAAATGCTTTCTTCAGAAATATCAGAATTTCACACTTAGGCCATGGGAGAAAGCCTTGATAAACCAGGCGAAAGGTGACCTTGTCCTTACAGCATCGTGTATTCTTTTGACATGTTTTTCATACAGGTGTAAACGAAGAGTGGGGTCAACAGGCTCCCATTCACTAAGTATAAACATGATCCATGTAGAACCGTAAGTCTAACAGTTTAATATGAGAGCTAAAAGCTAAAATCAGGTAGCTGCAGGGCAACAAAAAGAAAATCCATATTCCAACCTACAATAACATCAATGAACAGCCTACTCACCTCTTCCTCAGTAGGCTTATGACAAGCGGGATTCTAATAACTAGTTAGGTTAAGAAAAGTTCAGACTGTAGGCATGAAATACTATTTTAGATCCTGATAGAAATTATTCTCCAACAGATTTGGGAAGGCAGTTGGAATAATATGATTGTTCTAAAACCTGGTAGAAATCCAGGTCTCTGGACAAGTGGAAAAGGGAAAGCTAATCTTGTATAACTAGGAGAGAACTTCGGAGAGGAAATAGAGCATAGTGCAAACTCTCAAAGCCAACACAGAAGACGAAGAGAGGGAGAGGTATGTTCAGCTTGGAAACTTCCTCCCAGAAAGCAGGGAGCCTTGCTTGTTCTCTCGCTCCCTTCAGGTCTCTGCTCACATGTTACATGTTACTTTATCTGTGATGCCTTCCATAACACACGATGTAAAAATAAATCAACGGTACCACCATACGCCATTTTTTTTTTAAAAAACAGCGTCTCGCTCTGTCGCCCAGGCTGGAGTGCAGTGGTGTGATTTCAGCTCACTGCAACCTCCACCTCCTGGGTTCAAGAGATTCTCCTCCTCAGCCTCCCGGGTAGCGGGGATTACTGGCGCATGCCACTACACTCAGCCAATTTTTGTATTTTTAGTAGAGATGGGGTTTTGCCATGTTGGCCAGGCTGGTCTCGAACTCCCGACCTCAAGTAATCTGCCCACCTCGGCCTCCCAGAGTGCTGGGATTACAGGCTGAACCACCACGCCCGGCCTGCCATACACCTTCGACTCTTTCCAGTTCAATTACCCTGCTTGACTTTTCCCCACAGTACTTATTATTTGATTTACTATATACTTTCCTTTGTCTCTTTAGACCCAGTAGAATGTAACGGTCATGAAAAAAACACGCATTTTGTTTTCTTCATTGCTTTATCCCCACTGTTAACAAGGGTTTTCAAATTGTTGCAATGCATTAGTGCACCATGAAACCAAGTATGTAACTTGTGACTGACAAAAAAACAAAAAACAGAATAAGACATGCTTAGTGTATTAAAAGCAATAAGAGTACTACTATAGGAAATACTTGTTTTAGTTGGTAAATATACACATAAATATAAACATATTTATGCTTAGTCAAGATGTAAAATTATACTTATGTTGAGGGTCATGGTTAGAAACGTATGAAAGACCTTGGCTTAAAATGTTTAGGGGGTGGTTTACCAAGTCCTAATCAAATAATTTGCCTAAATGAAATGTTACATTCTAATAATACAAACTGAAAAAAAAATAGCAACAGGTGTCTACACATTTCTGGATATGGCAGGCTGAGTAATGACACCCCACCCCCAAGAGATGTCCACAGCCTGAACTCTCAAACCTGTGAATAGTTAATGTACATGGCAAAAAGGAATTTACAGGCCAGGCACAGTGGCTCACACCTGTAATCCCAGCACTTTGTGAGGCCGAGGCAGGTGGATCACTTGAGGTCAGGAGTTCGAGACCAGCCTGGCCCACAACATGGTGAAACCCCGTCTCCGCTAAAAAACTAAAAAAACAATTAGCCTGGCATGGTGGCAGGCACCTGTAAGCTACTAGGGAAGCTGAGATATGAGAATCGCTTGATCCCAGAAGGCAGAGGTTGCAGTGAGCCAAGATTGCACCACTGCACTTTAGCCTGGACGACGGAGCATGACTCCGTCTACAAAAAAAAAAAACAAAAAAACAAGCAATTTATAGATATGATTAAATGAAAGCTCTTAAGGAGATTATCCTAGATTATCCAATGAGCCTAAAGTAATCACAAGTCCTTACAAAAGGGAAGAAAGAGGGAAGCCACCCAGATTTCACCCTATATATCTCTCCCTTTTGCTGCTTCCAACATGTATCTTTTTTGCTATAATAAAACTGTAAGTCCAGCACCTTCCCGAGTTCTGTCAGTCATTCTAACAAATTATCACGGGAACTCCCAAATTTGTAGCTACTTGGTCAGAGGTGAGCAAAATTATCTGGGAATCCCTAAACTTAGAGCGATATATAAACTTAGAGCGATATAGAGAGCAGTCTTGTGGAAAACTATGCCCTTACTCTGAAAGTCCGGCCTAACTTCAGGTGTTTGGTGTCAGAAGTCACTGCAACATGTAAAGTGCTTCTCACATTGCTGGTGCTAGAAGCTAAGATTAATACATGTGGATGCAAATTACACTGGAAACCCAATTTAGAAATTCTGGAATTTTCTTTGCCTAATCAGGACTCACCTCAACTCCACAGGTATGTCAGTGCCTCTGGACTTCTGGAAATGTCCAATTCAAAACTGCTAAAGAACTACTGTATGTAGGTTATATAACTGTTTTGGTATTAGAGGGAAGGGGAAATGGGAAAGTGGGAAGTCAGCTGTATGGATAAGGCAGTTTTCACCAATGAGTAAAGCCAACTTGAAATTGATACAGGGAAACTGATGAACTATAATACCTGCCATATTGCCACTGATAATTTTTGATAGTGAAGTTCTACATTCCAACAACTGTGAATAGCTTTTATCTTCTAAGGTTAGTAGGTTTGAATATTTACATGTCCAAAAATGTCTTAGAAATTACTAATTATGTTAGACATTCACTAGAAGACAGTGTTCCCAAATAATTAATCACACTGGTGTGCTCTCAATCTATGAGCTAACTCTGAGTAAAAGGGATGTGATATCTACTTGTCTCCATTCTCTGTAAGTTTTTTGTTAAGAATTCTTATAAAAACAAACCCTTTGGCTGAGCATGGTGGTTCATGCCTGTAATCCCAGCATTTTGGGAGGCTGAGACAGGTGGACCACGATCTCAGGAGTTCGAGACCAGCCTGGCCAACATGGTGAAACCCCATCTCTACTAAAAATACAAAAATTAGCCGGGTGTGGTGGCAGGCGCCTGTAATCCCAGCTACTCGGGAGGCTAAAGCAGAATTGCTTGAACCCAGGAGGCGAAGGTTGCAGTGAGCCAAGATCATGCCACTGCACTCCAGCCTGGGTGACACTTTTGGGAGGCCAAAGTGGGTAAGATCAGAACTTCAATACCAGCCTGGCCAACATGGTGAAACCCCATCTCTATTAAAAATACAAAAATTAGTTGGGCATGGTGGTGGTCACCTGTAATCCCAGTAACTTCGGAGGCTGAGGCAGGACAATCACTTGAACCCGGGAGGCAGAGGTTGCAGTGAGCCAAGATGGCACCACTGCTTTCCAGCCTAGGTGACAGAGCAAGCAAGACTCGGTCTCAAAAAAAAAAAAAATTCACATCATCTAGGAATATCTAATTTTTACTTTTAATTTTGTGTGTGTGGGAGACAAGGTCTCACTATGTTGTCCAGGTTGGTCTCAAATTCCTGGGCTCACTTGATGCTCCTCCCAAGTAGCTGGGACTACAGATGTATGCTAACATGCCTGGCTAAGATATATATATATATATATATATATATATTTTTTTTTTTTTTTTTTTGTAGAGATGGAGTCTCACTATGTTGCCCAGGTTGGTCTGGAACTCTTCAGCTCAAGTGATCCTCTCACTTCAGCCTCCCATGTAGCCAGGATTACAGGTATGTACCACCATACCCAGCTTACTTTTAATTTTTAAGTCAATAGACCTGAGGAATATGCAAATTCAAGAGAAAGCAAAGAAGGAGAGAAAGGAAAGGTAAGGGGATGGAAAATGGAAGGAAGATGGTATTTTAAATTAAAATGGTAAATTTAAACATAGAAGGCCTCTCTAATGATATAACATTTGAGGAATGACCTGAGTGCAGTAAGTAAGGTGCTGGGGAGCCTCTCCACCAAGGCAATGAGGAGAGCTAATTAGAAGCCATGGAAGAGAAGGGAACTTGGTATGCTTAACAAATACTCCAACGGCGGCCAGCATGGCTGAAATGATCTAAGCAAAGGGAAAGGAATGGGAGATCAAAGAGAAACTTGGTGAGATGAGACCAGGTAGGGTCTTGCAGTTCAGTACAAGGACTTTGAGTGAAATGGGAAGGTTGTGAAGGCTTCTGAGCAGAGGAATAACATCATCTCATGTGTTCTTTAAAGAACCATTCTGGGCCGGGTGCGGCAACTCACATCTGTAATCCCAGCACTTTGGGAGGCCGAGGTGGGAAGACTGCTTGAGTCCAGGAGTTTGAGACCAGCCTGGGCAACACAGCAAGACCTCATCTCTACAAAAAATAAAAAATTAGCCAGGTATCATGATATATACCTATAGTCCTAGCTACTTAGGAGGCTGAGGTGGGAGGACCACTTGAAATCAGGAGGTTGAGGCTGCAGTGAGCTACAATCATGCTGCTGCACTCCAGCCTGGGTGACAGGGTGAGACCCTGTCTCAAAAAAATAAAGATTAAAAAAAGAACCACTCCGGCTACCATTTAGAAAGCAGATTATAGGAGCACAAGGGAGGAGGTGGGGAGACCAGCATGGAAGCTATTGTTATAATCCAGGTGAAAGATTTTAACACTCAGACCAGGGAGGTCATGGACATGGTAAGATGCAGACTAACCAGTACCTGAAAGAACAGACACAGGGTTCTCACCAGAATACCTACTTCTTTGGGTTTCTGTTTCCATCATCCAAAGCTTTTCTTCTGCTTCCAATTGGGATACCATATCTGGTTGGAAGGGAAGATGCCCTATGAAAATGTAGATTTTTATGTATTTAAGATGAACACACAACTAAAACACATTTTTGTCTGAACCCTATAAGCCTCACAACCTCTATAGTGATATTTTATTATTTTATTTATTTATTTTGAGACAGAGTCTCACTCTATCGCCCAGGCTGAAGTGCAATGGCACAATCTCGGCTCACTGCAACCTCTGCCTCCAGGGTTCAAGCAAGTCTCCTGCCTCAGCCTCCCGAGTAGTTGGGATTACAGGCACCTGCCACCACACCCGGCTAATTTTTGCATTTTTAGTAGAGATGGGGTTTCACCATGTTGGCCAGGATGGTCTTGAACTCGTGACCTCAAGTGATCCACCCACCCTGGCCTCCCGTATTGCTGCAATTAAAGGCGTAAGCCACCATGCCCGGCCTCTAGAGTGATTTATTTTAAGATGTTTTAAGATCATGAACTATAATAAGAAATTTAGGTTGTAGCCTAGTTCATATATATATAATATATCTCTCTCTCAAGTTATACTTGGCTAATGTCTGTTTTCATCACATTTGCAATGCTGTATCTCACACCATTCACTGAAAATTGTCAGTTTTTGTTGCAATGTGAGCAGTTCCTGATAAGAAGCTCTGATATTTTCTATCCTTATCTGTTTTATTTCATTGAAAAAAAAGCCAGTACAGTGCACTAAGTTAATGCATTGATGGGTTTCATTTGAAAGACAACGTATTTGAAAGATAAAGCATAGAAGCTAATGTGTCCATTTACGGTTCATTTAAAACAGGGTTTTGCAACTGCAGCACTACTATTTTGGACTGGCCAATTCTCTGTTGGGGGCACTGTCCTGTGCACTGTAGGAGATTTTGCAGAATTCCTGGATACTACCCACAAAATGCCAATAGCACCCCTCTGTCAGGTGTGACAACCATTTCCAGACATTGCCAAATATCTTCTGGGGGCGAAATCACCCATGGTTGAGAACCAGCAATTTAAAAGGACAGAATTTTGCCTGAGCAGAAAGACCAGAAAAACCTATCCTGTTTTCCCAGGGATTAGAAAACCTTTTGTCTTCAAGAGCAAAGAACCATTTTAAAAGGTCCAAACCCTTAAACACCTGAGAGCAAAGAGATTCTCAAGGGAACTGAAGTTCAGGGTCAGAGAGTGCCTGTCCTCACCCACTGCAACCAGGTTCTTGAAGTTCTCCACCATGACATCTCGGTACAGCTTCCTCTGGGTAAGATCGAGCAGTCGCAGTTCCTCCCTGGAGAAGACCACAGCCACATCCTTGAATGTCACAGCCTCCTACAATATCAAACACATGTAACCTCAATCTTACAACCAACCTTCACTAGAAGAAGGGTGGCATCAAGAAGGAAAAGAGCACCACAAAAAAGTTGTTATAGATTCCAAGAGATCTCAGTCAATTTTCAGCTGTTACAGTTTTCCCTGTCTCACTATCTCCTACGCTCATCCCCATAAAGCCTGTAGTTTATCACTGTTTTTTGTTTTTTTCTTTTTTGAGATGGAGTCTCACTCTGTCACCCGTGCTGGAGCAGTGGCGCAATCTCTGCTCACTGCAACCTCCGCCTCCCGGGTTCAAGAGATTCTCCTGCCTTAGCCTCCCAAGTAGGTGGGATTACAGGCGTCTACTACCATGCCCGGCTAATTTTTGTATTTATTTAGTAGAGACGGGGTTTCACCATGTTGGCCAGGCTGGTCTCAAACTCCTGACCTCCAATGATCTGCCCGCCTTGGCCTCCCAAAGTGCTGTGATTATAGGTGTGAGCCACTGAGCCTGGCCCTATCATTGTTTTTAACGTTTGCAAAGTTCACAGGCCTTCAGCAACCCCCTGGACAGGTATATAGCTCTTCCTGTGCTTTCAAGGCACATGTCACATCCACCTACTACAGGATGCACAGCTGCTTAATTTAAAGCACTGGCTCTGGAGTCTGGCCAGGTTCAAATTTCAAGGTTTTGCCTTTTACTAGTTATAGGACCTTGGGCAAATTCCTTAATCTCTCACTAACTGAATTTCCTCTTCTTTATCATTGTATCTAAATTATAAGGTGTATGAGCCTGACACAGAAGGATCACTTCAGCCCAGGAGTTTGACGGTGCAGTGAGCCATGATTGTGCCACTGCACTTCAGCCTGGGCAACAGAGTGAGACCCTGTCTCAATTTTTAAAAATAAATTTTCAGGCTAGGCACAGTGGCTCACACCTGTAATGCCAGCACTTTGGGAGGCCGAGGCGGGCAAATCACTTGAGGCCAGGAGTTTGAGACCAGCCTGGCTAAGATGCTGAAACCCCGTCTCTACTAAAAATACAAAAAAATTAGCCAGGCGTGGTGATGTGCGTCTGTAATCCCAGCTACTCAGGAGGCTGAGGCAGGAGAATCACTTGAACCTGGGAAGCGGAGGTTGCAGTGAGCCAAGATGGCGCCACTGCACTCCAGCCTGGGTGACAGGGGTGAGACACTGTCTTAAAATAAATAAATTTTTAGAATTAAAATAAATAGATCATAAAGTGTTTGAAAGGATCAGATGAATGAATATATGTCAAGCACTTAGAAGTGCCTAGCACACCATACATGCTCAATAAACTCGAACAACGCATATCTTTATCATCTCTTTTGTCCTATTTTGTGACTACATACAACAGGATTCCTTGGAACTGAAGATTTATCTCTAACCAATCCAAATAATGTACAATTAATTACAGATTTTTACTTATAACCAATACTACAAAGATCCTTTTACAGAGCTCATGGCCAAGAAGTAGCAACTGCAAAGTCATAGAATATTTACTTTAAAAGTTTTGAGGGGTGGAGCCAAGATGGCTGAATAGGAACAGCTCCGGTCTACAGCTCCCAGCATGAGCAATGCAGAAGACGGGTGATTTCTGCATTTCCATCTGAGGTACTGGGTTCATCTCACTAGGGAGTGCCAGACAGTGGGCGCAGGGCAGTGGGTGCAGCACACTGGGTGTGAGCCAAAGCAGGGTGAGGCATTGCCTCACTTGGGAAGCACAAGGGGTCAAGGAGTTCCCTTTCCTAGTCAAAGAAAGGGGTGACAGACGGCACCTGGAAAATCAGGTCACTCCCACCCTAATACTGCGCTTTTCCAATGGACTTAAAAAACGGCACACCAGGAGATTATATCCTGCACATGGCTCGGAGGGTCCTACGCCCACAGAGTCTCGCTGATTGCTAGCACAGCAGTCTGAGATCAAACTGCAAGGAGGCAGCGAGGCTGGGGGAGGGCGCCTGCCATTGCCCAGGCTTGATTAGGTAAACAAAGCAGCCTGGAAGCTCGAACTGGGTGGAGCCCACCACAGCTCAAGGAGGCCTGCCTGCCTCTGTAGGCTCCACCTCTAGGGGCAGGGCACAAACAAAAAGACAGCAATAACCTCTGCAGACTTAAATGTCCCTGTCTGACAGCTTTGAACAGAGTAGTGGTTCTCCCAGCATGCAGCTGGAGATCTGAGATCCGGCAGACTGCCTCCTGAAGTGGGTCCTTGACCTCCAAGCAGCCTAACTGGGAGACACCCCCCCAGTAGGGGCAGACTGACACCTCACACAGCTGAGTACTCCTCTGAGACAAAACTTCCAGAGGAACAATCAGGCAGCAGCATTTGCAGATCACCAATATCTGCTGTTCTACAGCCACCGCTGTTCTGCAGCCACCGCTGCTGATACCCAGGCAAAAAGGGTCTGGAGTGGACCTCTAGCAAACTCCAACAGACCTGCAGCTGAGGGTCCTGTCTGTTAGAAGGAACACTAACAAACAGAAAGGACATCCACACCAAAAACCCATCTGTACATCACCAGCATCAAAGACCAAAACTAGATAAAACCATAAAGATGGGGAAAAAACAGAGCAGAAAAACTGGAAACTCTAAAAAGCAGAGCGCCTCTCCTCCTCCAAAGGAATGCAGCTCCTCACCAGCAATGGAACAAAGCTGGATGGAGAATGACTTTGACGAGTTGAGAGAAGGCTTCAGACGATCAAACTACTCCGAGCTTCAGGAGGAAATTCAAACAAATGGCAAAGAAGTTAAAAACTTTGAAAAAAATTTAGACAAATGTATAACTAGAATAACCAATACAGAGAAGTGCTTAAAGGAGCTGATGGAGCTGAAAGCCAAGGCTCGAGAACTACATGAAGAATGCAGAAGCCTCAGGAGCCGATGCGATCAACTGGAAGAAAGGGTATCAGTGATGGAAGATGAAATGAATGAAATGAAGCGAGAACGGAAGTTCAGAGAAAAAAGAATAAAAAGAAACGAACAAAGCCTCCAAGAAATATGGGACTATGTGAAAAGACCAGATCTACGTCTGATTGGTGTACCTGAAAGTGACGGGGAGAATGGAACCAAGTTGGAAACACTCTGCAGGATATTATCCAAGAGAACTTCCCCAATCTAGCAAGGCAGGCCAACATTCAGATTCAGGAAATACAGAGAACGCCACAAAGATACTCCTCGAGAAGAGCAACTCCAAGACACATAATTGTCAGATTCACCAAAGTTGAAATGAAGGAAAAAATGTTAAGGGCAGCCAGAGAGAAAGGTCAGGTTACCCACAAAGGGAAGCCCATCAGACTAACAGCGGATCTCTCGGCAGAAACTCTACAAGCCAGAAGAGAGTGGGGGCCAATATTCAACATTCTTAAAGAAAAGAATTTTCAACCCAGAATTTCATATCCAGCCAAACTAAGCTTCATAAGTGAAGGAGAAATAAAATACTTTACAGACAAGCAAATGCTGAGAGATTTTGTCACCACCAGGCCTGCCCTAAAAGACCTCCTGAAGGAAGCACTAAACATGGAAAGGAACAACCAGTACCAGCCACTGCAAAATCATGCCAAAATGTAAAGACCATCAAGGCTAGGAAGAAACTGCATCAACTAACGAGCAAAATAACCAGCTAACATCAAAATGACAGGACAAAATTCACACATAACAATATTAACTTTAAATGTAAATGGGCTAAATGCACCAATTAAAAGACATAGACTGGCAAATTGGATAAAGAGTCAAGACCCATCAGTGTGCTGTATTCAGGAAACCCATCTCACGTGCAGAGACACACATAGGCTCAAAATAAAAGGATGGAGGAAGATCTACCAAGCAAATGGAAAACAAAAAAAAGGCAGGGGTTGCAATCCTTGTCTCTGATAAAACAGACTTTAAACCAACAAAGATCAAAAGAGACAAAGAAGGCCATTACATAATGGTAAAGGGATCAATTCAACAAGAGCTAACTATCCTAAATATATATGCACCTAATACAGGAGCACCCAGATTGATAAAGCAAGTCCTGAGTGACCTACAAAGAGACTTAGACACCCACACAATAATAATGGGGGACTTTAACACCCCACTGTCAGCATCAGACAGATCAACGAGACAGAAAGTTAACAAGGATACCCAGGAATTGAACTCAGCTCTGCACCAAGTGGACCTAATAGACATCTACAGAACTCTCCACCCCAAATCAACAGAATATACATTTTTTTCAGCACCACACCACAACTATTCCAAAATTGACCACATAGTTGGAAGTAAAGCTCTCCTCAGCAAATGTAAAAGAACAGAAATTATAACAAACTGTCTGTCTCTCAGACCACAGTGTAATCAAACTAGAACTCAGGATTAAGAAACTCACTCAAAACTGCTCAACTACATGGAAACTGAACAACCTGCTCCTGAATGACTACTGGGTATATAACAAAATGAAGGCAGAAATAAAGATGTGTCTTTGTTCTCATTGGTTTCAAAGAACAACATACCAGAATCTCTGGGACGCATTCAAAGCAGTGTGTAGAGGGAAATTTATAGCACTAAATGCCCACAAGAGAAAGCAGGAAAGATCCAAAACTGACACCCTAACATCACAATTAAAAGAACTAGAAAAGCAAGAGCTAACACATTCAAAAGCTAGCAGAAGGCAAGAAATAACTAAAATCAGAGCAGAACTGAAGGAAATAGAGACACAAAAAACCCTTCAAAAAATTAATGAATCCAGGAGCTGGTTTTTTGAAAAGATCAACAAAATTGATAGACCGCTAGCAAGACTAATAAAGAAAAAAAGAGAGAAGAATCAAATAGACCCAATAAAAAATGATAAATGGGATATCACCACTGATCCCACAGAAATACAAACTACCATCAGAGAATACTACAAACACCTCTACGCAAATAAATTAGAAAATCTAGAAGAAATGGATAAATTCCTCAACACATACACCCTCCCAAGACTAAACCAGGAAGAAGTTGAATCTCTGAATAGACCAATAACAGGCTCTGAAATTGTGGCAATAATCAATAGCTTACCAACCAAAAAGAGTCCAGGACCAGATGGATTCACAGCAGAATTCTACCAGAGGTACAAGGAGGAGCTGGTACCATTCCTTCTGAAACTATTCCAATCAATAGAAAAAGAGGGAATCCTCCCTAACTCATTTTATGAGGCTAGCATCATCCTGATACCAAAGCCAGGCAGAGACACAACCAAAAAAGAGAATTTTAGACCAATATCCTTGATGAACATTGATGTAAAAATCCTCAATAAAATACTGGCAAACCAAATCCAGCAGCACATCAAAAAGCTTATCCACCATGATCAAGTGGGCTTCATCCCTGGGATGCAAGGCTGGTTCAACATACGCAAATCAATAAATGTAATACAGCATATAAAGAAACCCAAAGACAAAAACCACATGATTATCTCAATAGATGCAGAAAAGGCCTTTGACAAAATTCAACAACCCTTCATGCTAAAAACTCTCAATAAATTAGGTATTGATGGGACATATCTCAAAATAATAAGAGCTATCTATGACAAACCCACAGCCAATATCATACTGAATGGGCAAAAACTGGAAGCATTCCCTTTGAAAACTGGCACAAGACAGGGGTGCCCTCTCTCACCACTCCTATTCAACATAGTGTTGGAAGTTCTGGCCAGGGCAATCAGGCAGGAGAAGGAAATAAAGGGTATTCAATTAGGAAAAGAGGAAGTCAAATTGTCCCTGTTTGCAGATGACATGATTGTATATCTAGAAAACCCCATTGTCTCAGCCCAAAATCTCCTTAAGCTGATAAGCAACTTCAGCAAAGTCTCAGGATACAAAGTCAATGTACAAAAATCACAAGCATTCTTATACACCAATAACAGACAAACAGAGAGCCAAATCATGAGTGAACTCCCATTCACAATTGCTTCAAAGAGAATAAAATACCTAGGAATCCAACTTACAAGGGATGTGAAGGACCTCTTCAAGGAGAACTACAAACCACTGCTCGATGAAATAAAAGAGGATACAAACAAATGGAAGAACATTCCATGCTCATGGGTAGGAAGAATCAATATCGTGAAAATGTCCATACTGCCCAAGGTAATTTATAGATTCAATGCCATCCCCATCAAGCTACCAATGACTTTCTTCACAGAATAGGAAAAAACTACTGTAAAGTTCATATGGAACCAAAAAAGAGCCCACATCGCCAAGTCAATCCTAGGCCAAAAGAACAAAGCTGGAGGCATCATGCTACCTGACTTCAAACTATACTACAAGGCTACAGTAACCAAAACAGCATGGTACTGGTACCAAAACAGAGATATAGATCAATGGAACAGAACAGAGCCCTCAGAAATAACGCCACAGATCTACAACTATCTGATCTTTGACAAACCTGAGAAAAACAAGCAATGGGGAAAGGATTCCCTATTTAATAAATGATGCTGGGAAAACTGGTTAGCCATATGTAGAAAGCTGAAACTGGATCCCTTCCTTACACTTTATACAAAAATTAATTCAAGATGGATTAAAGACTTAAACATTAGACCTAAAACCATAAAAACCCTAGAAGAAAACCTAGGCATTACCATTCAGGACATAGGCATGGGCAAGGACTTCATGTCTAAAACACTAAAAGCAATGGCAACAAAAGCCAAAATTGACAAATGGGATCTAATTAAACTAAAGAGCTTCTGCACAGCAAAAGAAACTACCATCAGAGTGGACAGGCAACCTACAAAATGGGAGAAAATTTTTGCAACCTACTCATCTGACAAAGGGCTAATATCCAGAATCTACAATGAACTCAAACAAATTTACAAGAAAAAAGCAAACAACCCCATCAAAAAGTGGGCGAAGGACATGAACAGACACTTCTCAAAAGAAAACATTTATGCAGCCAAAAACCACATGAAAAAATGCTCACCATCACTGGCCATCAGGGAAATGCAAATCAAAACCACAATGAGATACCATCTCACACCAGTTAGAATGGCAACCATTAAAAAGTCAGGAAACAACAGGTGCTGGAGAGGATGTGGAGAAACAGGAACACTTTTACACTGCTGGTGCGACTGTAAACTAGTTCAACCATTGTGGAAGTCAGTGTGGCGATTCCTCAGGGATCTAGAACTAGAAATACCATTTGACCCAGCCATCCCATTACTGGGTATATACCCAAAGGACTATAAATCATGCTGCTATGAAGACACATGCACATGTATGTTCATGTCCCTACAAAGGACATGAACTCATCATTTTTTATGGCTACTGGGTGTATACCCAACGGATTATAAATCATGCTGCTATAAAGACACATGCACACGTATGTTTATTGCAGCACTATTCACAATAGCAAAGACTTGGAACCAACCCAAATGTCCAACAATGATAGACTGGATTAAGAAAATGTGGCACATATACACCATGGAATACTATGCAGCCATAAAAAAGGATGAGTTCATGTCCTTTGTAGGGACATGGATGAAATTGGAAATCATCATTCTCAGTACTATCGCAAGGACGAAAAACCAAACACCACATGTTCTCACTCATAGGTGGGAACTGAACAATGAGAACACATGGACACAGGAAGGGGAACATCACACTCTGGGGACTGTTGTGGGGTTGGGGGAGGCGGGAGGGATAGCATTAGCAGATATACCTAATGCTAAATGACGAGTTAATGGGTGCAGCACACCAGCATGGCACATGTATACATATGTAACTAACCTGCACATTGTGCACATGTACCCTAAAACTTAGTTTAATAATAATAAAATTTTAAAAAAAAGAAATGCTGATATCCAGTGAGTAGGACTAGAATTCACCACTGTCATCTCCAGTCTGCAGTTTCAAAGGAAGCCACATGGGGCTGGGTGAGAGGGGAGGGCCACAGCTGGATCAATCATTGTATAGATGTGGATACTGTGATCGGTATCTTTATCTGGGCATTTTTTTTCTATTAACATTTTTTTAAAGTTAAAAAAAAAAAGGAAACAACAGGTGCTGGAGAGGATGTGGAGAAATAGCAACACTTTTACACTGTTGGTGGGACTGTAAACTAGTTCAACCATTGTGGAAGTCAGTGTGGCAATTCCTCAGGGATCTAGAACTAGAAATACCATTTGACCCAGCCATCCCATTACTGGGTATATACCCAAAGGATTATAAATCATGCTGCTATAAAGACACATGCACACATATGTTAATTCTGGCACTATTCACAATAGCAAAGACTTGGAACCAACCCAAATGTCCAACAACGATAGATGGATTAAGAAAATGTGGCACATATACACCATGGAATACTATGCAGCCATAAAAAAGGATGAGTTCATGTCCTTTGTAGGGACATGGATGAAACTGGAAACCATCATTCTCAGCAAACTATCGCAAGGACAAAAAACCAAACGCTGCATGTTCTCACTCATAGGTGGGAATTGAACAATGAGAACACATGGACACAGGAAGGGGAACATCACACTCCAGGGACTGTTGTGGGGTGGGGGGAGTGGGGAGGGATAGCATTAGGAGATATACCTAATGCTAAATGACGAGTTAATGGGTGCAGCACACCAACATGGCACATGTATACATATGTAACAAACCTGCACATTGTGCACATGTACCCTAAAACTTAAAGTATAATAATAATAAATAAATAAATAAATAAATAAATAAAAGAAAATCAACATCCAAAAAAAAAAGTTTTGAAAGCGTAATGGCAGATTTTCCTCTCCAAAGATTTTCCCAGTTCACTCTTCATGCAACAGTACAAGCATTCCTGAATCTCTAGACCCCGGCTAAATAGGACTCAGTTCCTTTTTCTAAAAAAGTCATTGACAATATAAGTAAAACCAATATATAAATAGAAAGCTATTTTATTAACATTTTCACACATTTAAATTATTAGTGAAGTTTTTTTCATAAATTTCTTTTCTTTATGACACTCCTATTCATTTCTTTTGCTCATATTCCAGTTGGAATTTTCTCTATATTACTAATCTTAACAGGAATTTAAGCTATTAGACCTTTACCTAATGTTTAAGTATATGCCACCGGTTTGCTGCTGTCTCTTACCATCATACCTGATAGCTTTTGCTGTAGGGAAATTTAAAACACTTACATAAAAACTGTGCTTGAGCATCTACGTTCATGGAATGACTAAGAGACAAAACTAGAGAAGAGACAGTAATTGAGATGGAAACTGGATGAGGGGCATTGTTGGGGTCTATCCTCCAAAAGGTAATATCAGGGCCAGGTGCACTGGTTCACGCCTATAATCCCAGCACTTTGGGAGGCCGAAGTGGGTGGATCATCTGAGGTCAGGAGTTGAAGACCAGCCTGGCCAACGTGGTGAAACCCCGTCTCTAATAAAAATACAAAATTAGCCAGGCGTGCTGGTACATGCCTGTAATCCCAGCTACTTGGGAGGCTGAGGCAGGAGAATCGCTTGAACCTGGGAGGCAGAGGTTGCAGTGAGCTAAGAACATGCCATTGCACTCCGGCCTGGGTGACAAGAATTAAACTCTGTCTCAAAAGAATAAAAAGGTAACATCAGGTACTTCTATCATATGTGCTCATCTCTGTGAATGGAAAACTCTTTTGTTCTGTCTGCCTTTACATGAAAATAGAATGCCAGATATTCCTAATAGTTGGAAGCTTCAGTGTCCAATGAGTCAGCTACCTGGGAAATTTGGGGCAGTTATAAAATGTTCCCATAACCTGTTTCTTCATATTTAAAATGCAAATAAATCATCTCCATCCTCACATCTGAAAAATGCAATGACAGATGGAAAGGGCTAGCAAGACATCTAAGTACTACTAGACCTTACGTACATGTAGTTACTTTGATGAAATAAATTCATACAAGAAATAAATGAGTGATAAAAACATAAACGGGAAAAATATATAGCTCTTCTTCTCTGAAAGCATCTAATAAAATTACACCATGTCATTCTTTAGATGTTCTGTTTACAAAACACCTGAGGGAACTGACATGAAACTGAGACATAAACCTCTTCAATGCAGAGTTCCTAAAACTTTAAGGACAAATAATATTGAATTCCACCAGAATTTCTTTTGAAGGAATTGTTTTTATATGTAGGGAAAAAAGTCACTGGATTTACTTTAAAGTAGTAAAATTCTTAAAATTTCTGAATTTCTGAAAGGCTAAATAAGAAATAGTTTTTGTTGTCTTTTAAGGGCACTGCAATTCAATGGCATATGATGTACTCACTTACAATGCAGGTGATGCAATTAAGTGGAGAATGCACAATTGAAAATTTCATCTACTCAAGTATTGCAAAATGTGTATGAAAAAGGAACATGGGAAAATGAAAAAAGCTAGTTCATAAGCAGGGTAGTAGCATAGATTATTTCTGATTAAAGCTTCTATTATTTTTTCAAACACTGTTTTGTAAAATAGTAAAGGTGATAAACTAAAACAAAAAAACACATACATGTCAGCATACCACATGTCCTGAATATCTGTTTCCCACTAACCTTTCCAAGAAAGAGAAAAAATAAATCTGTTATCTTTGAGAAATAAATCACATTTTAAAAGACAGCAAGGAATCCTTTACGTACCTGAAACTTGGTCATTTTCTCCTGCTTCTTCTGGGGAAGGTCATAGTTCTGAGATGGCATAACTGGGGGAGACCAAAGACGCCATGAGACACAAGCCTGCTGTTAGCCCATGTGTACATATGAGGAAATTAGAGAAATAGCCCTACATTCAGACAGGTATAGCCACATACAGCTTGGTAAGCAGAACATGGACTGTATTCCAGCTACTAAATGGCATGATAGTTCAGTGCCATTGGGCAGTGAACAGTCTGCACAAGTGCAGCATCCTTGCTACAAGGATTTCTGATGGCAGAGACAGCAGGAAACGAGAGGCAATGTAACAACATATGAGGGCTCTCAAGTCAAGTATCTGGGTTTAATTCCTAGAAATGATACTTACCAGCTGTGTAACCTTGGGGATATTAAAAACCCTCTCTGTGCCTCACTTCTGTTATGTGTACAATGAGGATATGGTAAGAATCATAAATCGTACCTCCCTCATAGGGTTTTTCCAAGGATTAAATAAGTAGATGGAGAGTTCTAAGAACCAGGAGTCCCTTTCTCTTATAGTTACAAAAAAGCTTCTTCATGGCTTCTTGCTGTTTAGCCAGGCCTGGCACAGTGGCTCATGCTTGTAATCCCAGCACTTTAGGAGGCCAAGGAGGGAGGATCACATAAGGTCAGAAGTTTGAGACCAGCCTGGCCAACACGGCAAAACCTCATCTCTACCAAAAATAAAAAAAATCAGCCAGGCGTGGTGGTGCGGGTCTGTAATCCCAGCTACTTGGGAGGCTGAGGCATGAGAATTGCTAGAACCTGGAAGGTGGAGGTTATAGTGAGCCAAGATCACGCCAATGAACTCCAACCTGGATGACACAGTGAGACTCTGTCTCAAAAAAAAAAAAAAAAAAAAAACAAGCAGATGATACTTTGCATCACACACTTGCCTTGCAAATATTGCTCTCCTATGAAAGTCACCTTTAATTTCTGAAAAGCCGAAATCTGACTTAAGGTTTCTTTTTAGTAATTTGTTGCCCAGCTAGTAATATTTTACTGACACTGTTATCAGTTTTCTAAAACGTATCATTCTGGGTCAATTTACTTCATGAAGCCTGGAAACGATCATTGGTACATCTCTTTTATTTTATGTGCACAGAGAAAAACACACAGCAAAGAGAAAGATAAAGCACAAACGAAAAATCAAGAAACATGAAAGATAAATTGAGAGGCTTCCGTATTTGTCTAACAGGAATGGGAGAAGAGAAGGCAGGATGGAGGGAATGACTGAGAGGTTTTAATTTCAAGATGCAATTGCTGAGAATTTCACACAATTGGTAAAAGATACAAGTTCGCATATAGAAATTCTAAACAGTATAAATAAAAATAAACATACCCTAAACAAATCACAATAAAACTCAGAAATGCAAAAGACTAAACGAACATAAAGAACTGGAAACAACAACCTTAAAGCTCCTAGAAAGAAAATATAGTTGACCTAAAAGAAATAACAATTAGATTGACAGAAATAGGGTAACAGAATGGAGATTTAAAACAAATGAATATTACCTCCAAAATAAAGAAACTGTCAACCTGAATTCTATGTTCAACTAGATGATTATTTACATGAGAAAGAAACAATATTTTAGCTGAAAAAAAAAATGAAGAGAATTTATAACCATGTGAACCCTAAAAGATGGACTGCAAAAAGCAATGGTAAGAAAACATTTGTGACTATATTGGTAATATAATAATCTTTGTTTAAAAAAAGCCAAAGAACTATAATGACAAATTTTGAGGGTGGTTATAATAAAAAGTAGACCTATAAAAACATAGCTTTTTTTTTTTTTTTTTTAAAGGTACATCTTTTTTTTTTTTTTTTTTTTTAGAGAGAGAGTTTCGCTCTTGTCACCCAGGCTGGAGTGCAATGGCACAATCTCAGCTCACTGCAACCTCTGCCTCCCAGGTTCAAGCGATTCTCCCACCTCAGCCTCCTGAGTAGCTGGGATTACAGGTACGCACCACCACGTCTGGCTAATTTTTGTGTTTTTAGTACAGACGGGGTTTCATCATGCTGGCCAGGCTGGTCTCAAACTCCTGACTTCAGGTGATCCACCCGCCTAGGCCTCCCCAAGTGCTGGGATTACAGGCATGAGCCACCGCACCTGGCCCCATCTTCTTTCAGATTTTTTTTAGTCTCAATATTCTTCAGAATAAGAACACATGCTGATTAAGTTTAGTATTTGCTAAGAAAGAGAATATTTTTAAAGTTAGAAGAATGACACAAAACCATATAAACTCCAGACCAGTTGAGCACAAATAAAAGGGAATAAACTGAACAAAAAAAGACAAGAAAGGAGAACAAAATATACACACAGATAGTAAAAGCAAATTATCCCAGACTGCACTAAAAAAAAAAAAATTATACATATATATTCTAAAAGACACTACGAAAACATAATGACAAAAAAGTTTGAAAGAAAAAGAACAAAAAAAAGATATACTGTACTGAGCAAATGGCAAATTACAGCTTCAGTTTCAGAGGTCATGGTAGAAAATAAAAAAAAAACTGACCTCAGCTACTCGGGAGGCTGAGGCAGGAGAATCGCTTGAACCCGGGAGGCAGAGGCTGCAGTGAACCGAGATGGCGCCACTGCACTCCGGTCTGGGCGACAGGCGAGACTCCGTTTCAAAAAAAAAAAAAAAACTGACCTGATGTCTGGCGTATGCTTTAAGACAACCATCTGCAGCCTTTTTGGCACCAGGGACCAGTTTCACGGAAGATAATTTTTCCACGGATGGGGGCGGGGGAGATGGTTTGGGGATGATAGGTTCCACCTCAAATCATGAGGCATTAGTTACATTCTCATAAGGAGCGCACAACCTAGATCCTTCACATGTGCAGTCCCTCCTATGAGAATCTAATGCCCCTGCTGATCTGGCAGGAGGCAGAGCTCAGGCGGTACCCCTCCAATCACCTCCTTCTGTGCTGTCAGGTTCCTAACAGGCCACAGACTAGTACCAGGTCCGCTGCCCAGAAGTTGGGACTCCTGCTTTAAGACACTCTAATTTAAAAAAAAAAAAAAAAGTGGGGTGGAAGGAGGAGGAGATGGTCTGCAGCAAATGTTGAACCTGAGTGTTGGTTACGTGGAATTCACTGCACCACTCTTTTGACAGTTGAATATGCTTGAAATTTTTCGGCTGGGCGCAGTGGCTCACGCCGGTAATCCCAGCACTTTGGGAGGCCGAGGTGGGCGGATTACCTGAGGTCAAGAGTTCAAGATTAGCCTGGGTAACACGGTGAAACCCCGTCTCTACTAAAAATACAAAAATTAGCTGGGAGTGATGGCGCACACCTGTAACCCAGTTACTCGGGAGCTTGATGCAGGAGAATCACTTGAACCTGGGAGGTGGAGGTTGCAGTGAGCTGAGATCACGCCACTGCACTCCAGCCTGGGCAACAAGAGTGAATCTCCATCTCACAAAAAAAAAGAAAAAAAAAGAAAAAAGAAAATTTTCATAATAAGAAAAAAACTACTACACAGAATACCAAACCTATTTTGAGAAACATCCATAGCATATACTAAAGGGAAACACATTAAAGTGTTAGCAGTTTTATTATAAGTAATTTAAGTTTTCTGAATATAACATCACTGTCCAATAGAAATATACTGAGACACATAAATAATTTTAAATTTTCTAGCAGTAACATATAAAAAAGGCAAAAAAACAAAAACAAAAATAGGTGAAGTTAATTTCAACAACATAATTTAAGCCAATGTATCCAAAATATTACCATTTTGACATATAATACAAAAAATTATCAATGAGCCATCTTACATTTTTTGTACAAAGTTTTTGAAATCCAGTGTGTATTTAACACTTACAGCACATCTCAATTTGGACTAGACACATTTCAAGTGCTCCTAGGGCACACATGGCTTATAGCTACTGGATTGGATAGTGCATCTCTATAATGAGCATTCATTACTTCTATAACTAGAATATGACATATTTTGACATGGAATGAAATTAAGTAAGTGAGATGTTGCAGGATTTTTCTAAAAAATTCAAAATTCATCAGTGCAGTTTTTGAGGTCTTCCACAGTAAAATCCATACCTACATTCCCAAGGCTGATTTCCAACGACTCACCGGTAGCCATATGGATTACTATTTAAGATAACTGAAGACGACTGTATCATTGAGATTAAGACCACAGACTCAGAAAAAGGAATAGAAAATAAACAACAACAAAAACCAAAGAAACAAAAACAAACAAAAAAGATCACACAGTCTGAAAAGGAATGCTTGGGTTCAATCCCAAATCCACCTCTTACTATCAGTTGAATAACTTCGGGAAAGTATTTAATAACATAAACTCTGCCTAATTTCCTCATAACAAAATAACAAGACCTACTTCATCAATAGCTATGGTCCACAGACGAATGCCTTAAAATCAAAGTGGTAAGATGTTATTGGTAATACTCATTTCCAAGTAGTTTTCCTACCCACTCTCACATTTATTCAACAAATATTTCATCATTTTTCAGTAGTAACTTACTGAGTGACGGAAACTTGATTAACTGAAAGGACAGAAAATGGAACAACAAAGTGCGTTCAAGAGCAGGTACCTGGGGCTATGCTGGGAGAAGCCAAGAAGTCCCTCCTTCCTCCTCTTTGCAAATTCGGAGGCGGTGAATAAAAGGATGCTGTCAGCACGATGGAGTCTCTATCCCGGATAAACGGCGGTAAACATCCCCACGCATTGGAGCCCGATGACTCAATCCTTCTTAAAAAAAAAAAAGATCTGTAAAAGTTCGGGAAGAGCTCGGTCTCCTGAAGGATACGACAGAAAGGCCATGGCATAAAGCCCTGACTTTTCTTCTCTCTTCACTGGAGCTTCCAGTAAAAAGGGCGCTTGTGAGGGAATCACTGTATCAATAGCAGGAGCCAACCCAGTATCAGGTGCCACCACTGTTCTAAGGTTTGACCCGTATTATCTTGTTTAATTCTAATTACAACCCTACACAGTAACGACTATCTTTATTGCTATTTTAAAGATGAGGAAACAGGAGCGCGGATCATAGGTAACTCGCTGTTTATTATACCCACAGAACTAGCGGCGCTGCTTGCCAAGTGCGGGAGGAGAGCAAACTTCCCGCCCTCGGCCTCTCGGCCTCCGCCGCGGCCGCGACCTCTCCATCCCAAGACTGATGGCTGGGGAGCGCCTATTCCCAAGCACAGGCTGAAAAGGTTCAAGAGGGGTCGTGGGGGTGCAGGGCTGACTCACCTCCCGGACCCAAAAGATGGTGGCGGCCTCGCTTTCCGGGGCGGAAGTGGCTCTGCCTGCCCAGAGCTCCTGAACTACCCTTCCCAGAAGGCCCGCGCTCCTGCGGCCCAATTGTTTCCGGACAGAGTTCTGGAATACGTTTCCCAGAACTTCCAGAAGGAAAAACCATCCAGGTGCCGCCCTCTTCGCGCTTGAAAAAAAAAAAAACAAAAAAAAAAACGGAGCGAGCGAGTGAGAGAGGGTTACGGAGAGTGTGACAAAATTCTCGGAGCTCCCGGACTACAACATCCAGAATCCTCTTCACGGCTTATTGCTGTTTAGCCAGGCTGAAGCAGTTCTCTGATGTCAGTGGAATTTAGGTTTTTCTTATTAACAAAAAGTAACAGCAAATATGTGAAGAATTGGAGCCCTAAAATAAAAAAAGACTCCCAGCACTTTGGGAGGCCGAGGCGGGCGGATCACGAGGTCAGGAGTTCCAGACCAGCTTGGCCAATATGATGAAGCCCCGTCTCTACTAAAAATATAAAAATTAGCCGGGCGTGGTGGCGCGCGCCTGTAGTCCCAGCTACTTGGGAGGCTGAGGCATAAGAATCGCTTGAACCCTGGAGGGTGCAGTGAGCCAAGATCGTGCCACTGCACTCCAGCCTGGGCGACAGAGTGAGACTCTGTCTCAAAAAAAAAAAAAAGAAAAAAAAAACTATTATAAGAAACAGATCACGTGATCCTGTACTAATAGAATTATACCCACCACTTCCAAAAAAAAAAAAAAAAAGGGCAGAGGAAACCCTTTAAGTTTTTACATTTAACAGGATCGACTAATAGAAAAACTACTCTTTAGATACTAAAAGAATGAAAGAGCAATCAAAAAATGCAACGAAGGCAGAATATATTATGGATTTCCACTTTTCTTAATAGCACAGTCATATAATTCAGAACAACTTGCTTACTGAGGATAGCTAGACATAGAAAACACAAGCTTTGGCATATGGTAGATCAACTCCACAAAGCAACTAGGGCCTCTGTAATCATTCCTCAAGGAGTTTCTGAATTTGAAAGATGAACAAATTTATTACTTCAGTGTTTAAACCTTGATCTTTATTTGCTTAAATGTATAATGGAATTGATGTTTCCAAGAATTGAGGGTTGAAAGAAGAGAGCAATACCTAAAAATATCCACATATCTACTACAGTACATGTTTGCAGTTCTCATTTACTAAATATATATTCTTTATTCTGTTATATACAACTATCTCTTATAAAGAACCAAGTATGTGCCAGGAACTAGTTCAAACTATTCAGACTATGGGACCCTCACTACATTTTCACAACTTTTTTCTTTTTTTTTTTGTTCTGTTTTGTTGTTGTTGTTGTTGTTGTTGTTGTTAGACAGAGTTTGGCTCTTTTGCCCAGGCTGGAGTGAAGTGGCATGACCTCGGCTCATTGCAACCTCCGCCCTCACACAAGGTTCAAGCAAGTCTCCTGCCTCAGCCTCCCAAGTCGCTGGGGTTATAGGCACCCCCCTCCCCACCACGCCCAGCTAATTTTTGTATTTTTAGTAGAGACGGGGTTTTGCCATCTTGGCCAGGCTAGTCTTGAATTCCTGACCTCAGGTGATCCACCCGCCCCGGCCTCCCAAAGTGCTAGGATTACAGGCATGAGCCACCACACTTAGCCCATTTTCACAACTTTTTTAAAACAAATAATGTCCTCTAGTTTACTCTTTGGGATCCAGAGGCAGAGAGAGGTTAAGTATATCTCCTAAGATGGAAATTTGATTATTTTCACCTGCATGTCTATCCAGTGCCCTTAAGAGAAGGTTCAAATGCTTTAACAAGTCGCACAAACAGGAATTTTCCAGATGCTGTTTCTCTCTTGGAATCCACTTTCCACTCTACATGTCCAGCCATAGTGGATTACTTGTACTCCTACAAAAAGCCTCTAATTCTTTGTATTTGGTGTTCCTTCTGTCATAACCTGCTACTCTTTTCCCTCCTGGGTGACGGTCTTCATCCATA